>NC_000020.11:36314719-36617749 GCF_000001405.40 Homo sapiens | reverse complement strand
GAGTAGCTGGGATTACAGGCGCACGCCACCACGCCTGGCTAATTTTTTGTATTTTCAGTAGAGATGGGGTTTCACTGTGTTAGCCAGGCTGGTCTTGATCTCCTGACCTTGTGATCCGCCTGCCTTGGCCTCCCAAAGTGCTGGGATTATAGGCGTGAGCCACCGCGCCCGGCCCATTAACTTTTGTTTTAATTTTTTTTTTTTTTTTTTTTTTTTGAGACAGGGTCTCACTCTGTCATCCAGACTGGAGTGCAGTGGCACAATCTTGGCTCACCGCAACCTTCACCTCCCGGGCTCAAGCAATCCCCCTGCCTCAGCCTTCAGAGTAGCTGGGACTACAGGCATGAGCCACTCTGCCCAGCCTTGTTTATTTATTTTTTTAATTGAGATGGAGTCTCGCTCTGTTGCCCAGGCTGTAGTGCAGTGGTGTGATCTCGGCTCACTGCAACCTGTCTCCTGCGTTCAAGCAATTCTCCTGCCTCAACCTCCCAAGTAGCTGGGACTACAGGCGCACACCACCACACCTGGCTAATTTTTTTTTTTTTTGTATTTTTAGTAGAGGCAGGGTTTCGCCACATTGGTCAGGCTGTTCTTGAGCTCCTGACCTCAGGTGATCCGCCCACCTCGGCCTCCCAAAGTGCCGGGATTACAGGCGTGAGCCACTGCACCCGTCCCCGGCCTTGGGTTTTTTATTTATTTATTTATAGAGTCTTGCTCTGTTGCCAAGGCTGGACTGCAGTGGCACAATCTCGGCTCACTGCAACCTCTGCCTCCTGGGTTCAAGTGATTCTCCTGCCTTAGCCTTCCAAGTAGCTCGGACTACAGGTGTGCACCACCACACCCAGCTAACTTTGGTATTTTTAGTAGAGATGGGGTTTCACCACGTTGGCCAGGGTGGTCTCGAACTGGGATTACAGGCGTGAGCCACTGCCCCTAGCCTGTTTTAATATTTTAAATGTGCTTATATGGCCAGGCACGGGGTGGTTCACGCCTATAATTCCAAGTACTCAGGAGGCTGAGGCAAGAGGACTGTTTGAGCCCAGGAGCTGTGATCATGCCACTGCACGCCATCTGGGCAACAGAGCGAGAGCATGGCTCTAAAAATAAATTAAAATCTGGCTGGGCGCGGTGGCTCATGCCTGTAATCCCAGCACTTTGGGAGGCTGAGGCAGGCGGATCACGAGGTCAAGAGTTCGAGACCAGCCTGGCAAATATGGTGAAACCCTGTCTCTACCAAAAATACAAAAAATTAGCCGGGCGTGGTGGTGGCAGGCGCCTGTAGTCCCAGCTACTCGGGAGGCTGAGGCGGGGGAATCACTTCAACCCAGGAGGCGGAGGTTGCAGTGAGCCGAGATTGCACCACTGCACTCCAGCCTGGGCAACAGAGGGAGACTCTGTCTCCAAAAAAAAAAAAAAAGAAAATTAAAATAAAAAAAAAAAATGAAAAAATGAAACATGCAAAGCTGGTGAAACTGTCATTCATCAGTGTATGTAATGTATACATGTAGGTTGAGCAGCACTAATAAAACTGACATCCACGCGCCCACTTGCCAGCTGAAATTACCTAACAAGCCCTTTGTAGCCCCCTCTCATGCTTCACTGTGTTAATCATTCAGTTGCTTTTCTTCAGAGCTTTGCCGTGTGTGCCTGTGCAACATATAATGTCATGTTGGCTATCTTTGAACTTTAAATAGAATCAGGCTGAATGTATGCTCTGTAATGTTTTTCTGCTTAATTTCCAAGATTTCCTTATGCTTATATGTAGCAGTTATTAATTTTTACTGCTGTATAGCACTACACTCTATAATCCACAATTTATTCTACTCTTGAGCACAAACGGGCTGTTTGCCGTTTTTGACTTTTACAAACAATGCCGCTGTGCATATTGCTTGTGTGCTTCTGAGGTATTGTGCCTGGGAAGAACTGCTGGGTTGTAAGGTACGTGCATGTTCAGCTCATCTAGTTAATGCCAAACTGTTTCCAAGGTGGCTCGTACTAATTTCTCTTCCACCAGCAGGGTGGGAGGTCCTACTTCTCCACTTCCTTGCCAGCATCTTCTTGACAGTGTTTTTGCATCCTAACATATCTGCCACCTGAGTCTTTGTAAGAACAGCCAACGCTGAATGTTCACTCACACAGTGCCAGACCCTGTACTGAGGGCTCTGTGTGTGATTTGATTTCACCCTCACAAGACCCCCATCTATTATGAACATATTATTGATGACCAAGAGAGCAAGTCTTTGTCCTGCTTCTGCCCCAGACACTTCCCTTCTGCCGGGGCCCCATGGTCACGTTGCCTATCTTCGTTTCCCAGCCTAGGTGGGGCCGAGTCCCAGCAGGGCCTCAGTGCCACCCCTGGACCCCTTTCTCCTCAGGCTCTTACTCTCTGTCAGTCCGCCTCAGCCGCCCTGCATCCTGGGACCGGATCAGACACTACAGGATCCACTGCCTTGACAATGGCTGGCTGTACATCTCACCGCGCCTCACCTTCCCCTCACTCCAGGCCCTGGTGGACCATTACTCTGGTATGGCCTTTCCCTGCCTCCAGGACTAGGCTGGGATAGTCTGTGGGGAGGAGCAGGCAGTGGTGCCCTTGGATATTTTACCTACTGTGGAGTATTCAGACAGACAGAAGAGCGGCCTCCCCTATTTTCACGCCAGTCCCTATGCCAAGAAATGCAGGCTGGGAGCCCTGTCTTCACCTCGTGCCCTGGCAGAAAAGCCACAGACCTCCTGTGTAGGCTCAGGTCAGTACCTTGCCTACCACTCTGGTTCTGACTCAGAGCCCCTGGCAGCAGGCAGAGTTCTCTCCACAGGAACCGGGCACAGAGCTGCTGCTGTGTGGGATTCAATCCTGACTCTCCTTAGTACTTCCTGGTGCCTGTCCTTCAACAGACACTGGAAGATGCAGTCACTGGGCACAGCGTCAGGGGGCAGAGAGGGAAGAGCACTCTTGTGAAAACTCATTAGGGGTTTTCTGCAGGTCACTCTGTGTGGAAGTAGACAGTGAGTAGAAGTAGACTGAGCATTCCTTAGCTTTCTTCTTCCCAAAGCAATTTCCTAACCAGAAACTTGAGCTCAAGAGGTCCATGAACTCACCCTAAATCATACAGTGACTGTCTCCCAAAAGTTAGCCCAGAAAGACCTTTGACTACATCTGTCTCCATGAAACCAATAGCTTGGGGCTCATGTCCTATCACTCTTTGGTAACCATGCCCCCTCCTGCCAACTGCAGAGGGCTGTCAGGGTGAGGGCTGTTGGGGAGAAGTAGGGTGGAGTCAGTCATGTCAGGGATGGAGGTCTCTTCCTCAGAGCTGGCGGATGACATCTGCTGCCTACTCAAGGAGCCCTGTGTCCTGCAGAGGGCTGGCCCGCTCCCTGGCAAGGATATACCCCTACCTGTGACTGTGCAGAGGACACCACTCAACTGGAAAGAGCTGGACAGGTAAAGTTGGGGACTCCTGGAAACATGAAAGCAGGACCAAGAGTTAGAAGGACCCACCCCTGGGAAGCCACAACCCGGAATGTACCTGTCACACTCAGGGACACCTGGCAGCTGGAGCCAGAGTGCACTGACTCAACTCCTGGAGCACGGCCCAGGCTCGACAGGTGGGGCTGGGGAAGCTGATCTGATAGGGAACAGGGGAGCCCCATGAGGTCCTCAGCAGGAGTGAAGGGTTTTGAGAACAGTGCAATTTTGTGTGTAGTGAGTACAGGGAGGAGGAAGAGGCTTCTTGACCCAATTATCTTCCTTTGTCCACAGCTCCCTCCTGTTTTCTGAAGCTGCCACAGGGGAGGAGTCTCTTCTCAGTGAGGGTCTCCGGGAGTCCCTCAGCTTCTACATCAGCCTGAATGACGAGGCTGTCTCTTTGGATGATGCCTAGGCCCAAAGGAGAGGCCAAAAGGGAAACCAAGGCTGCACACCTAGAACCCCAATTCAGCCTCCTGGGCACCCCAGAGGCAAGGCTGTGCACTCAGGGAGGGAGGGTGGGACACAGAGGTGCATCTAGGGTCCCACCTGTACCCTTGCTCTTTCCTCTCTTAGCCCTTAGAAGTCACCTACTTCCTTCCAGTGCCATGATCCCACCTGCGACCTCTAGTGCGAGTGCAGAGAAGGTGGGACCAGGGCCAGGGTTCCAAAAAGAGAATAAGCCTCCTGGGGGGTCTGACCTAGTTAGTTCTTGAGTTTGGGGTTTCCAGTACCATCTGGATGCCCTGCCTGTTGAGCCCCATTCTACATCCCCACCATTAACCAGGCCCCACCCACAAGGTAGAAACAACCCCTAGAGTCAACGAGAAAGTCATTTTCAGAAAATCTACAAGTCTCGTTGAGACCACCACCATACCTCAGAAGGTAGGACTGTGGCCTAGAAGGGAAAGGAAAGCTGAGATGATGTCTTACCGTAGCAGCAGATCTTGGATGGTCCAGGCTCTATGTGACCTCCAGAGCAAAGAGAAAGACTTCGGACAGTCTAGGTCCTCAAATGTCCCCCATTGAGGACAACAGCCCCAGCTCTTTTTCTTTTTTTTGAGACGGAGTCTTGCCCTGTTGCCCATGCTGGAGTGCAATGGCACGATCTCAGCTCACTGCAACCTCCATCTCCTGGATTCAAACAATTCTCCTGCCTCAGCCTCCAGAATAGCTGGGATTACAGGCGTACACCACCATGCCTGGCTAATTTTTTTGTATTTTTAGTAGACATGGGGTTTCACCACATTGGCCAGGCTGGTGTCGAACTCCTGACCTCAGGTGATCCACCCACCTTGGCCTCCCAAAGTGCTGGGATTACAGGTGTGAGCCACGGCACCCAGCCTAGCTCTCAGATCTCTATTTCATTTTGTGGCTTACCATTCCCTAGCACACTGGCCTTGCCATCTTGTGGCCGAATAAAAAATAACACCTCTTAAGTCTAGCACACTGCAGTGAGGCCAGGCACCTCAGTGCTGGGCAGGGGCATCAGAAGGTGCTAAGCCCTCTCTCCACAATGCCAAGACGGAGACCACAGCCTACACCAAATCCAGCCCTTGATTTCCCTGCTGCCTCCATAAACAGAAAGAGGTCTGCTGGATCCGCTAAGGGATCAGGGAGAGGAAGAAAGAGGGATGGGGTGGGAGGCACCCCCTCCAGTGCTCCTACTGGTTCCCAAGCTACAGGTGGGGTGGGAAAGGCTTTATCAGGTATCATCAACAGGTTCTCAATTAAAGATTTGATTTATTCAAGTATGTGAAAACATTCTACAATGGAAACTCTTATTAGATGCTGCATGTACTGTGCTATGGACCACGCACATACAGCCATGCTGTTTCAGAAGACTTGAAATGCCATTGATAGTTTAAAAACTCTACACCCGATGGAGAATCGAGGAAGACAATTTAATGTTTCATCTGAATCCAGAGGTGCATCAAATTAAATGACAGCTCCACTTGGCAAATAATAGCTGTTACTTGATGGTATCCAAGAAGAAATGGTTGGTGATGGATAAATTCAGAAATGCTTCCCCAAAGGTGGGTGGTTTTTAAAAAGTTTCAGGTCACAACCCTTGCAGAAAACACTGATGCCCAACACACTGATTCGCGGTCCAGGAAACACGGGTCTTCCAAGTTCCAAGGGGCTGGGGTTCCCCAACGATCAAGTTCCTGTGCTGTAATCAAGAGGGTCCTTTGGACTGGATAGGGAGCACTTGGGAGCTGTACACCATCAGTCATAATGGATGGCAGTGTAAAAGATGATCCAAATGACCTAGTGAGGAGACAAGCACTGTTCATAGGTCACCTGGCTTAACACAGGCCGATTCCACAAAACAAAAATGCCAGATGAGAATGTAAACACGGGGCACTCTCCAGGGGCTATCCGTTGCACAGTCTGCTTGGGGGGTCTAAATTATTTCACTGAAATCACGCTGTCACTAACAGAACCCAGGACTGCCCTCCTGCACTTGCAAAGGAAC
This sequence comes from Homo sapiens, assembly GCF_000001405.40. Lineage (NCBI taxonomy): Eukaryota > Metazoa > Chordata > Mammalia > Primates > Hominidae > Homo > Homo sapiens. The sequence goes on along the minus strand of NC_000020.11, from coordinate 36,611,801 downwards.
TCCTGATAAGCTCCTCCCCTACCAAATGGCAACCCCAGGCCCAGGGAATTGAGGTGCAGATGTGGAAATGATTCAAGTAAAGCATATTACACTGCTAGCAGGTGCTGCGACTACCAATGTGAAAATACTATAACTTGTCAGCTGCATATCAAAGCAGGGATTCTCAAACCTTGGCTACCCATTGTAATCTCTTGGTTCTTTTAAAAAAACATATAGATGCCCCAGCACTACATCTCAAAAGATTTTATTGGTTTGGGTTAGAGTCTGGACACATAAGGTTTTGTGGTTTTTTTTTTTTTTTTTTTTTTGAGTCCTGCTGGGACTCAACAGGTACACACCACCACTCCTAGCTATTTTTTTTTTTCCCCTGTAGAGATGGGTTTCACCATATTGCCCAAGCTGGTCTCGAACTCCTGGACTCAAGCAGTCTGCCTGTCTCAGCCTCCTAAAGTGCTATAATTACAGGCATGAGCCACCATGCCAGGCCATGAGTATAATTTAAAAAAAAATGGGCCAGGTGCAGTGGCTCACACCTGTAATCCCAGTACTTTGGGAGGCGGAAGCAGGCAGATCACCTGAGGTCAGGAGTTCCAAGACCAGCCTGGCCAACATGATGAAACCCCATTTCTACTAAAAATACAAAAAATATCCGGGCATGGTGGCTCACACCTGTAGTCCCAACTACTCGGGAGGCTGAGGTGGGAGGATCACTTGAGCATGGGAGGCAGAGGCTGCAGTGAGCCAAGACTGCGCCACTGCACTACAGCCTGGGTGAAATGGTGAGCCTGTGTCAAAAAAATAAAGCGTACAGTTGAGAGGCTTTCTGTATAGGAACAGTTGTGCAAACATCACCACTGATTCCAAAACATTACTCCAAAAAGAGCCTGTTTCCTTTATCAGCTACTCTCCATCCCCTCCTCCCAGCCACTGGCAACCACTAATCTACTTTTTGCCTCTATGGCTTTGCTCACTGTGGAGATTTTGCATATGGAATTACACAACACATGGTCTTTTGTGTCTGGATTCTTCCACTTAGTATGATGTTTTAAGGTTCATCCATGTTATATAGCATGTATCAGGACTTCATTTTTTTTTTTTTTTTGAGACGGAGTCTCGCTCTGTTGCCCAGGCTGGAATGGAGTGCAGTGGCGCGATCTCGGCACACTGCAAGCTCTGCCTCCCAGGTTCACACCATTTTCCTGCCTCAGCCTCCCAAGTAGCTGGGACTACAGGCGCCCGCCACCATGCCCAGCTAATTTTTTTAAGTAGAGACAGGGTTTTACCATGTTAGCCAAGATGGTCTTGATCTCCTGACCTTGTGATCTGCCCGCCTCGGCCTCCCAAAGTGCTGGGATTACAGGTGTGAGCGACCGCGCCCGGCCACTTCATTCCTTTTTAAGGCCAAATAACATTCTACTGTATGGATACATAGTATCTTATCCATTCATCAAGTGATGGTCATTTGGACTGTTTGTACTTTTTAGCTATTATGAAAAATATTTCCTAGTTTCCTTTTTGAGATGGAGTTTCCCTCTTGTTGCCCAGGCTAGAATGCGATGGCGCGATCTTGGCTCACTGCAACCTCCGCCTCCCGGGTTCAAGCGATTCTCATGCCTCGGCCTCCGGAGTAGCTGGGATTACAGGCGCCCGCCACTACACCCAACTAATTTTTTGTATTTTTAGTAGAGATGGGATTTCACCACGCTGGCCAGGCTGGTCTTGAACTCCTGACCTCAGGTGATCCTCCTGCCTTGCCCTCCCAAAATGCTGGGATTACAGGCGTGAGCCACCATGCTCAGCCCTCCTAGTTTCTAATATCTAGCCAGGCTTGAGAATCAGATGTAGAAGCTGACGATGGGCCCTGGATTTACACATTACAGGGGACTGTACAGTATATCAGACCACATCTTCTGGGATGTGGCTCAACACAGGCCATGGCCCTGAGCCTCAGAAGCCTTTAGAAAAATAGCACCCTGCTCACACAGTGTAACTCAATCAGTGGGGTCCCCTCCTGTGAGTGACACCTCATGAAATGAACAGTACCTGTTGTAAAACTATCAGCTACACATACCATGAACAAGGCAAAAGAGGTCATAAACCCTTCCTTCGTGAGCTCCCACGTGCCACCATATTCTTCCTCATCAATCTGTAGGTAATTGCTGAAGTAGAGGTACAGGACTCCTGCATTGATCAGGCAGAATCTGGAGCAACAGAGAACAAGTACCAAACATAAATTGAAAGCTTAGAAGACTCAGAACTCGGGGCCGGGTGTGGTGGCTCACACCTGTAATCCCAGCACTTTGGGAGGCTGAGGTGGGCGGATCACTTGCGGTCAGGAGTTCAAGACCAGCCTAGCCAACATGGTGAAACCCCATCTCCACTAAAAATACAAAAACTAGCAGGGCATTGTGGTGGGCGCCTGTAATCCCAGCTGCTCAGGAGGTGGAGGCAGGAGAACTGCTTGAACCCAGAGGCGGAGAGGTTGCAGTGAGCCGAAATTGTTCCACTGCACTACAGCCTGGGCAACAGCGAAACTCTATATATAGTGTGTGTGTGTGTGTGTGTGTGTGTGTGTGTGTGTGCGTGTGTGCGTGTGTGCGTGTGTGCGTGTGTGTGTGTGTGTGTGTGTGTGTGTGTGTGTGTGTAATATAGTTCTCCAAAGCCCCTTGAAGTAACAGAATGGCTGATAAGCCATCCCAAGCGGGACCTGACATGGGCCTCCAGGTAGCTCCAGCTAGGGTGTGGCTATGGGAGAAAAACATGTGAAGCTGCTGCTTCGTAGCCTAGTTGAGCAAGCAACAGTATACCCCCTGTATAACTCCCAGTGGGAGACCATTTCTGGATATCCACTGTCTGTTATTGCTACGGGATGCAAACGTAAAGATGACTGTTCCTGCCCTCAGCTCACCATCAATTAGGGGGCTAGGAACAGCAATGAGCCGGGCATGGTGGCTCATGCCTATAATCCCAGCACTTTGGGAGGCCAAGACAGGCGGATCACCTGAGGTCAGGAATTCAAGACCAACCTGGCCAACATGGCGAAACCCCGTCGCTACTAAAAATACAAAAAATAAGCCGGGCATGGGGGCAGACACCTGTAGTCCCAGCTACTTGGGAGTCTGAGGCAGAAGAATTGCTTGAACCTGAGAGGTAGAGGTTGCAGTGAGCCGAGATCACGCCAGTACACGCCTGCCTGGGCGACAGAGAAAGACTCTGTCTTTAAAAAAAAAAAAAAAAAAAAAAAAGAATGAGACCGATGCCAGACCTGCTGACTCATGCCTATAATACCAACACTTTGAGAGGCCAAGAAAGGAGGATCACTTGAGCCCAGGAGTTCAAGACCAGCCTGGGAAATGTAGAGAAACCTTGTCTCTACAAAATTTTTAAAAATTAGCCAGGTGTGGTGGCTCACACCTGTAGTTCCAGCTACTTAGGAGGCTGAGGCAGGAAAATCATTTGAGTCCAGGAGGTCGAGGCTGCAGTCAGCTGTGATGGTGCCAGTGTGCTCCCACCTGGGCAACAAAGTGCGGCCCTATCTCAAAAAAACAAAATGGAGGGACCTGAAATAACTTCTACCAAAGCCAAGGTTTAGGACATTAAGCACTGTGCCAGGAACAAGGGAAATGGTCGTCAAATACAGAAGTTCCTACTTCCCAAACTCGCACAGGTACAAAGGTCACAGCAGAACTAGAGTGCATGCCACGAACAAGTAGTCATAGCCTCTTGCATGAGGTCACTTTAGACCCATGAATGAATGGACTGGCCCAGCCTTCAGGAAGGCAGGAAGGTAACCTGCCTGACCTGAGATGCTCCTGAGGAGTGGTGCACCAGACCCAGGAGTGCCACTGTAGGGCTGCTTCTTTGCTTTAGTCATCACACACACACACAGCTCCAGAGCAGCAATGGCCTTTCCTGTAACAGGAAAAAAAGCCTCTATTTAAAAAGAAATGATACCATGAAAATATAAGATACCCAAGACTTACCCTGCTATTCCCAAGAACCCTCGTAATGGCAAAACTCCCCAAATGACACCCAGGACCACAGCAATGATCTGTCGGAACCAGTAGATCACATCTAAAAATTCATCCTGTAGAAAAGACAGAAAATGCAAGAATTATCTGGAGTGGGTGCCACAAGACAGCAAAAGGGGAGAATATTAAACCTTTCTGCTAAACATATCCAGGAAATTTGTTTCCCCCCAAAGGCAACAGTATGTGCTTCCTGTTTCACCTCTTACTTATACTAAAATGTGGTAGAAATGATACATTTAGGGGCTGGGCGTGGTGGCTGAAGCCTGTAATCCCAGCACTTTGGGAGGCCGAGGCGGGTGGATCACCTGATGTCAGGAGTTCAAGACCAGCCCGGCCAACATGGTGAAACCCTGTCTCTACTAAAAATACAAAAAATTAGCCGGGTGTTGTGGCGGGCGCCTTTAATCCCAGCTACTTGGGAGGCTGAGGCAAGAGAATTGCTTGAACCTGGGAGGTGGAGGTTGCAGGGCAACAAGAGTGAAACTCCGTCTCAAAAAAAAAAAAAAAAAAAGATACATTTAGACATCATTAAGCGATCACTTCCAGAATCTGTGCTCTAAATCAAAATTCTAGAGGTGCATATATAATATGGCCTGTAATGAAATGACTGTGATAATAATTGTGCTACTGGCCGCACATACGGATTAGAACCATAAATGCTGGAGGCAGGTGCCACTATATTTAAGTTTAATGGAAGAACACAGACGACTCAGGTTTCTGATCTGCCCTAGATTCCAGAAACCAGTCCTTATACAAGAAAAGAAAGAAATGACACAGCAGATTAGAGACTGCAGGTTTTGCAAGAGCTGGGCAGGGCTGGGGGCAGAACAAGGGCACCTTCAGGAAGTGCCTCCCATCCCCCTTTACAGGAACTTCAGGAAGGAAAATCCACTTCGGCAGCCCAGAAAACCAAGAAATGACTGCAAATATAATACGCTTTTCAAGCTACCTGGAATCAAGCTGTTTGTGATGGCCCCTTCCAGATCATGGAGCAGAGTTACGAAGCATCCTCCGAATGGGACGAGTAAGAACGTTCTGAAGTCCCAACCAATTCTCGCACATATCTGGTGGCGTTTCTCCACCCCCACACCTCACACTCACCCAGCGGGTGGTCTCAGTCTCCCCTCTTGACTCATGCTTATCAAAGTATTCGGTCCTTTACATTCAACAAGCAACAGCAGCTCAAGATTAGCGAGCCTCACTATGTGCAAAAGGCTTTAATGTACCACAGTACCCCACTTCAGAGTTATTCTGAGTTAAACGAGATTCCGCTTGCAGAGCACCTGGCACGTAGAAAGCATTCTCAGCAGAAGTCTGTTACTGTTAATGTTTGTGCTACTTAATTCGAAAGAAACAAGTAACCTACTCAAAACCCTACTGCACATAAAAGGCGGAGGCCGAATCGAATTCAGCTCCCTTTCCCAGTTCAGGCACAAACCCTGCCCGCGAATGACAACGCCTCTCCCCGCTCCTCGCCAATTCCGCATAACTAGGGGGCTTCATCCTTAGGCCACCCTTCGGGGAGCTCCAAGCCCAGCTGTCCGCCCAGTGCCCGCCAAGTTTGCTCTGACACCCTTGGGCCACCCGCCCCACTGCCCTACTCGATTGTGCCGGAACGAGGACGAGGGCAGGCCCGCGCCAGTCTTCCGTTCCCCGAGTCCCAGCCGACTCCTCGCACCCGCGCCCTGTTCAGACTCCACCGTACCTTATCCTCCCAGGCCGCGTCGCTCCGCAGCACCTTACTCCAGACGGAGACTTTGAGGGCCCCGTTGGCCAGCTGCGGCTGAGGCGGCTCCTCCTTCCGCCGCCCGCCGCTCATCCTCCCGTCGCGCCGCCCGGGCCGGGCCTGGGGCGCGCGGGCTGAGCCAAAGGGAGTCGGGGTCTAGGGTCGCAGGTCACGGCGCGGGGCGGCTGCAGGCTCAGCGGCCCGGTCCTGCGGCGCGCTGCGGTTCCTCACAACCTGGCCAAGCTACCCGGTTCCGCCGGCTCTACAGAGCAGGCGCCGCGAAGGGAGGGGCGGTGCAGTGTCGCGCGCCCTCCCGCCGACGTGCTCACGCAGCCAATCGGCGACCGCGAAGCCATCCGAGTGAAACAGCGACCGGCGCCTTGGCGCAAGCGCGCTACTCGTGGCGGAAATGACGTCAGCATCCGCCGGGCTCGCGGTAAGGTGTGAGGGGAGGGACAATCTTGGTAGAACGGTGACATGGGCGCCAGGAGGCGCTGTGGAGACCGAGGAGGTAGGGGAAAACCGAGGCTGGACGTCAGCGTCGCCCAGTCGGCCACAGCTGCCCCTCGAGCAGCGAGTGGGGCAGGAGCGGCTCTACCTTTCCTTGCGACCTACTCGCCTGCTGAGCCCAGACCTTGCTCCAGGGTAGCTCCAAGCTGCCCCACAGGATTTAGCCCGCTTATTTTCTCCCCTAACCCTGCAAGTTCTGTAGGGCCTTGTTGAAGATGTTAACTCTTCTGTAATAACTAACCATTTCATCTTGCCCAGCACCCTCTTTTGGCACACGAGAGCCCTGAGACCCCAAAAGAGGAAATGAGATTCTGAGGCCGTATAGCAAGGTGGACCCAACCGGGGACTCCTGGGCGGCAAATACAAGGATTGGGTTAGGTATCAGGATATCTGAGTGTTCACATACAGCGTCCTCACCATGTGCTGCGTCAGTGGTTCACAAAGTGAGCTTCCGGATCAGCAGCGGCCGTATCGCCTGGGAACTGGGTAGAGGCGCAGGTTCTCGGCCCCCATTCCACGCCTACTGACTCAGAACCCCTGGGGATGGGGCTCCTTCCGGTGGCCCTCCAGGTGGTGCCAGGCTCACTGTGCTGGTAAGTCCAGAGACCAAGGCACATCCCTTCTGGACAGTGGATTTTTTTTTTTTTTTTTTTTTGAGACGGCACGGTCTCTGCTCACTGCAACCTCCACCTCCCGGGTTCAAGCGATTCTCGTGCCTCAGCCTCCCACGTAGCTGGGATCACAGGCGCCCACTACCACGCTCCACTAGTTTTTTTTGTATTTTAGTAGAGACGGGGGTTTCACTATGTTGCCCAGGCTGGTCTCGAACTCCTGAGCTCAGGCAATCCGCCCATCTTGGCCTCCCAAAGTGCTAGGATTACAGGCGTGAGCCACCTCACCCGGCCTCTGGACAGTGGATTTATAAAGACAAGTAATGTATCTGGTACCTGGGTGTGTCTGACTCCAGAATCTGTGCTCTTAACCGTTAAACTTTAAAGCTGAGAGTATCTTTTTTTTTTTTAAACAGGTCAGAGTATCTTTTGCATACCTATCAACATTCACCTGTAATTCTTCACTTTTCAGGAGTAATAGAACCTCCCTAGGGAGGCCAGGCGCAGTGGCTCACTCCCATAATCCCAGCACTTTGGAAGGCCGAGGTCGGTGGATCACTTGAGGTCAGGAGTTCGAGACCAGCCTGGCCAACATGGTTGAAAGCCCGTCTCTACTAAAAATGCAAAAAAAATTAGCCGGGCGTGGTGGTGGGGACCTGTAATCCCAGCTTCTCAGGAGGCTCGAGGCATGAGAATTGTTTGAACCTGGGAGGTGGAGGTTGCAGTGAGCCAAGATCGCGCCATTGCACTCCAGCCTGGGCAACAGAGCAAGACTTGGTCTCAAAAACAAAACAAAAAACAAACAAAAAACCTCCTAGAGAGCTTTTCCAGAATACTATAGCTGCTGTTTTCCACCCCAAGCCCACCCTGACATTGTTTCAGTAGATTAAGTGGGGCTGGACCCCCAAGGTGAAACATACTGTGATCACGTTACTGTCTGGAACTGGTGGAAGGGCCGTATACGTTATATGGGTGCACTCCTTTTGTCCTAAGTTTCCCCGTGGGTCTTGTTCTTTTCAGCCCTGCCTCTTTTCTGATCCAGTTTCCCTCCCATATGAAATGGTAAAGCTTAGCCAGTTGAAGGAAATCAAAATATTTTACCCCAAAATATGGCTCCCTAGTATAATGACTATTTTAGTTTAGTTTTTAAGACAGGGTCTCACTCTGTTGCCCGTGCTCAAATGCGGTGGCATGATCAGGGCTCACTGCAGCTTTGATCTTCTGGGCTCAAGCGATCTTCCCACCTCAACTTCCCAAGTAGCTGGAGCTGCAGGCACAGGCACATGCCACCAACCTGGCTAAGATTTTTTTTTTTTTTTTTATAGACAGAGTCTCACTCTGTCGCCCAAGCTGGAGTGCAGTGGCATGATCTCAGCTCACTGCAACCTCTGCCTCCCAGATTCAACCAGTTCTATTGACTTAGTCTCCCCAGAAGCTGGGAATACAGATGCGTACCACCACAACCTGGCTAATTTTTGTATTTTTCAGTAGAGATGGGATTTTGCCATCTTGTCCAGGCTGGTCTCAAATTCCTGACCTCAAGTGATCCGCCTGCCTCAGCCTCCCAAAGGGCTGGGATTACAGGCATGAGCCACCACACCCTGACAGGTTTGTTTTTTTTTGTTTTTGTTTTTTAATTTTCTGTAGAGACAGGGTCTCACTATGTTGCCTAGGCTGGTCTTGAACTCCTGGGCTCAAGCAGTCCTCCCACCTCGGTCTCCCAATGTGTTGGGATTACAGGCATGACCCACTGTGCCTAGCATAATGAATATCTGAACTTGAAAACCTAATCAAGGTGCTGGAAGAGACTTTTCCCGTATCTACATAAAGATATGACTGACCCACCAAGGAGAAGAGTTCTTGTTCCTCTCCCTGTTATCTCACTTTCTTTTTTTTTTGGGACGGAGTCTCGCTCTGTTGCCCAGGCTGGAGTGCAGTGGCGCGATATCGGCTGACTGGGTTCACGCCATTCTCCTGCCTCAGCCTCCCCAGTAGCTGGGACTACAGGCACCCGCCACCATGCCTGGCTAATTTTTTGTATTTTTAGTAGAGACAGGGTTTAACCGTGTTAGTCAGGACAGTCTTGATCTCCTGACCTCGTGATCCGCCCGCCTCGGCCTCCCAAAGTGATGGGATTACAGGCGTGAGCCACCACACCCAGCTATCTCGCTTTCTATTGCAGAAGAGAAGACAGTGTAACCACACCTGAACAGACCCTTTTTCAAGGTAATGACTGTCTCCAAGAATAATTTAAATTCCAAAGATAACTATTTACAGGTTAATTTCTGTTTCTGATCCATTCTTCCTAATAATCATTTGTTGTCCCTCAGTAAAATTCCTTGCTCCCCCTTCCCATAACCTGTTCTACCAGGATCCAAGCCCCCATTCTTTCTGTAACCTCAAGATGGTACAGAAGCTTCTGTACCTGGTCGGGTGCAGTGGCTCACACCTGTAATCTCAGCACTTTGGGAGGCCGAGGCGAGTGGATCACCTTAGGTTAGGAGTTCGACACCAGCCTGACCAACATGGAGAAACCCCATCTCTACTAAGATTACAAAAAATTAGCCGAACGTAGTGGCATGTGCCTGTAATTCCAGCTATTCAGGAGGCTGAGGCAGGAGAATTGCTTGAACCTGGGAGACGGAGGTTGCAGTGAGCCGAGATCGTGCCATTGCACTCCAGCTTGGGCAACAAGAGCGAAACTCCATCTAAAAAAAAAAAAAAGAAGCTTCTGTACCTTATTGGGGAGTTGGGGAGCTGGGTCTTCATTCTGAAGACTCCTGTGTATACACGTTAAATCAAATTGTATGCCTTTTTTCCTGGTAATCAATCTGCCTCATATCACTGATTTTCAGGGAAACTTCAGAGGGCCAAGAGCTTCCAAACTGACTGGTTTGGAAGTGTACCATTGTTACAAAACCTCTTTTACAGACTCCCTGCTGGCATGTAGTTCAGAAGACAAACTAATGAATCTGTCACAGAATGTTGGAAGAATGACTAGCCCTTGGCCTAAAGGTAAGTTTTCACTCTGCCAGGTCTCCCCCTGGTGAAGATGTATAATGGGGAACCTGATCTGGGGGGATTAGGGAAGGGTAAACTCTGAAGGAAGACATTAGAAGGAAAAGAGGGAGGTGAAGGTGGGAGATAACATTTAGGGAAATGAAACCATGTGGGCTAATGGTAAGGAATGAAGCCACCAGAGGGGAAGCACGGGAGAATCATGCTGAAGAGTTTGCTTCTTATCCAGGGGTAGGGGAAGCCATCAGGTTTGCATCTTAGAAGGATCATGCTTGCTGCTATTTGGGGGACTGGATCAGAATGGGGGACTAGTTAAAAGGCTGTTAAAGTCATTTAGGTGAGAGTTGGTGAGGGCACTGAAGATGCAGAAAACTGGATTCAACAGTTCTTTTTTTTTTTTTTTTTTTTTTGAGACGGAGTCTCATTCTTGTTGCCCAAGCTGGAGTACAGTGGCATGATCTCAGCTCACTGCAACCTCCACCTCCCGGGTTCAAGCGAGTCTCCTGCCTTAGCCTCCCGAGTAGCTGGAATTACAGGCGCCCGCCACCACGCCTGGCTAATTTTTTTTGTATTTTTAGTAGAGACAGGGTTTCACCATGTTTGGCCAGGCTGGTCTCGAACCCCTGACCTCAGGTGATCCACCCACCTCGGCCCCACAAAGTGCTGGGATTACAGGCGTGAGCCACCATGCCCAGCCCGTTCTTTTTTAAATTAAACATATTACTTATTTATTTATTTTGGAGACAGAGTCTCGCTCTGTCGCCCAGGCTGGAGTGCAGCGACACCATCTCAGCTCACTGCAGCCTCTGCCTCCCAGGTTCAAGTGATTCTCGTGCCTCAGCCTCTGGAGTAGATGGGATTACAGGTGTGCGCCACCACACCTGGCTAATTTTTTGTATTTTAGTAGACATGGGGTTTCACTGTGTTACCCAGGGTGGTCTTGAACTACTGAGCTCAGGCAATCTGCCTGCCTCAGCCTTCCAAAGTGCTGGGATTACAGGTGTGAGCCACCACACCCAACCAAATTAAAAATATTTTTAAGGGCCTGGCATGGTGGTTCATGCCTGTAATCCCAGCACTTTGGGAGGCCAAGACAGGAGGATCACTTGAGCCCAGGAGCTCAAGACTAGCCTGGGCTACACAGGGAGACCCCGTCTCCACAAAAAAAAAAAGAAAGAAAAAAACAATTAGCCAGGCATGGTGGTGCACACCTGTAGTCCCAGCTATTTGAAGGCTGAGGTGGGAGGCTTGCTTAAGCCCAGAAGGTAGAGGCAGCAGTGAGCTGTGATCATCACACCACTGCACTCCAGCCTGGGTGACAGAGTGAGAGACTCTCTCAAAAAAAAAAATTGTTTTTTAAATTTTAGTAAAATATATCTAACAAAGTTTATCATTTCAACACTTATTAAGTGTACAGTTCAGTGGCATTAAGTGTATTCACTTTGTTCTGCAGCCATCACCACCATCCATTTTCAGAACTTTGTCACCTTGTAAAATTGAAACTCTGTACCCATTAAAAATAACTCCTCATTCTCCCATTTCCCCAGTCCCTGGAAACCAGTTCCATTCTACTTTCTCTGTAGGAATTTGACTGTTCTAATGGGTATCTCATAGGAGTACAGTATTCGTCCTTTTGTGACTGGTTTGTTTCAGTTAGCATTATGTCCTCCAGTTTCACCCACGTTGTAGCATGTGTTAGAATTTCCTTCCTTTTTAAAGCTGTTGTATGTACATACCACATGTTGCTTACCTACTGATAGACATTTGGGTTGCTTACACTTTGACTATTCTGAATAATGCTGCTATGAATTGGAGTGTACAAATATCTGTTTGTGTCCCTGCTTTGTTATTTTGGGCATATTCTCAGAAGTGGAATTGCTAGATCATATCGTAATTCTATTTTTAATTTTTTGAGGAAGTGTTGTTTTCCACAGCAGCTGCGGCATTTTACATTTCCACCAGCAGTGCACAAGGGTTCGGAGATACATGTTTTTTTTTTTTTTTTGAGAAGGAGTCTCGCTCTGTTGCCCAGGCTGGAGTACAGTGGCACAACCTCAGCTCACTGCAACCTCCGCCTCCTGGGTTCAAGCGATTCTTCTGCCTCAGCCTCCCAAGTAGCTGGGATTACAGGCACCCGCCACCATGCCCAGCTAATTTTTGTATTTTTAGTAGAGACAGGGTTTTGCCATGTTGGCCAGACTGGTCTGGAACTCCTGACGTCATGATCCGCCTGCGTCGGCCTCCCAAAGTGCTGGGATTACAGGTGTGAGTCACCGTGCTCAGCCTTTTTCTGCTGTTAATAATCATCCTACTAGGTGCAAAGTAGTATTTTCACTGTGGTTTTGATTTGCACTTCCCTAGTGATTAGTAATGATTGAGCATCTCATTAGACAGTATTTTTTTATGTCATATTTGTTTTTTCTTTTTCTTTTTTTTTTTTTTTTTGAGACAGAGTCTCGCCCTGTCACCCAGGTTGGAGTGCAGTGGTACGATCTTGGCTCACTGCAACCTCCACCTCCCAGGTTCAAGGGATTCTCCTCAGCCTCCCAAGTAGCTGGGATTACAGGTGCCCACCACTATGCCCAGCTAATTTTTGTATTTTTAGTAGAGACGGGGTTTCATCATGTTGGCCAGGCTGGTCTCGAACTCCTGACCTCAAGTGATACGCCCACCTCAGCCTCTCAAAGTGCTGAGATTACAGGCATGAGCCACTGCGTCCGGCTCTAGGTCATGTTTGTATTACATTGCGAAGCTCTGACCGTAACTCCAAGAGCCATTATGTTTGCATGGGATTGGGAGAGGTCACAGAAAGTTCTAGTTGGAAGGGTCCTCAAATCCTGCAGTGTAGCCCAAGGTCATAAGGGAAGTTAGAAGTTCAACAGGCATCTGAAACCTGATCCCTGTTCCTCCTCTTACCTCTCTAGGAGCAGACAAAGCTAAGCTGGCAGCCAGAGGGGAAGCCCTTGTCTAAAAGGTATTTTTGGGACTCAGACTTGTTCCCTATTTGCTTTCACCCAAGGCTTTCCTTATCTTAGGAAGCGGGGAACCTGGCTGAATCTCAGTGAATCCGTCTGGTTAAAATAAACATCTTGGGTGGTCTGAGTTGGAAAATAACTTGATGAAGGGTCAGATTTGAAAGTGGGAGAGACAGATTTGGAAGTAGGACAAATTTTGTCTTTGTGAGTTTGTAGCTGTTTAGTACTAGTTGAACACATGAGCTCAGCCTTAGGGCTATTTCCCAGCTGAATGCCTCGATAGCACTGCCAGCTGCTTGGAGTGGGGTTTGGAGAGGAAGGTATATTCTGAGGGGTAAGACTGGCCCCTCACAGGCACTGATGGATCACAGGTATCAGAAATCCTGGGGGCAACCATCAGCCATGGAAAGAGCACCTGTTGTTGGAATGGAGGTCTGAGATTGCATCCTGGTCTTTTTTTTTCTTTTTGGCCCACAATAAATGTCATACTAGCACTTAATGAACCCTCACTAGCTACCAGTCACTTCACTAAATGTTTTACATTCATTTGTTTTGTTTTGTTTTTGAGACAGTCTCACTCTGTCACCCAGGCTGGAGTGCAGTGGGACAATCTCAACTCACTGCAACCTCCACCTCCTGGGTTCAAGCAATTCTCCTGCCTCAGCCTCCGGAGTAGCTGGGACTACAGGCACCTGCCACCATGCTCAGCTAATTTTTGTATTTTGTAGAGATGGGGTTTTGCCACGTTTGCCAGGCTGGTCTCAAGCTCCTGACCTTGGGTGATCCACCCGCCTCGGCCTTCCAAAGTGATGGAATTACAGGTATAAGCCACTGCATCTGGCTACATTCGTTTTCATCCAAAACCTGGCTGGGCTTTTAACCATTAACCATTATGCTAAACTCTTCTCTTTTTATACCTTTACTTGCAATTTCTCTACATCGTGTGTGGATTACTTTGGTAATTAAAATGGTAGGGCTACACTTGACCTTCAAGTTACCATAGCCTCCTGGGAGCAAAGACGTCAGATGGTTCAGAGACCCTTCTTCCTCTCATCTTGTAACTTTGAAAGACAAAGAGTTGCTACTTTCCCAGCCCAGTAGTTTCCTGGGGATAGGTCAGTGTCCTGATAATGAATGGTGAAGGTCTCTGGAGCAAGATCATCAGAATCTCATGTGGCATCAGTGAAGAATGCAGATTCCTGCCCAGACTCTCTGGGCGTGAGGTCTGGGAATATGCATCTTTGTAAGCTTTCCTGATGATCTTGATGGATATTTAGGCTTGAGAATTACTTCTCTGGGTAATTAGGCCCAATTCTGCCACTTAAAAGCTGTGTGGTATGGGGTAAGTTATTTTACAGGTTGTTTTTCCCTCAGCTGTGTGCTGAGCAAGGATAGATAGTAACGTATAGATTATCCTATTTCATCCTCCCAAGAGGTAAGTATTACTATTCCCACTTTATTGATGATGAAAACTGAAGTTTGGAGTAGTGAACTGTCTTGCCTATGGTCATGACAGCTAATCAGTGACAGACCAAGAATTTGAAACCAGGCTTGGGTCATAGAGAAATGCCTTTGAAATCAGTAACACTGACAGCAGTGATGGTTATTTCTGCATCCTTCGAGTGCCACACCTTATCCTCTGCAGCTCTAGTGCATAACATAGCAAGGATACAGCCATACAAGGCAGACCTGGCCTCTGCCATATGGAGTTTTCATGTAGCAGCTTTCTTTTCTTTTTTTTTTTTTTGAGACGGAGTTTTGCCTTGTCACCCAGGCTAGAGTACAGTGGTGCGATCTCGGCTCACTCCAACCTCTGCCTCCCGGGTTCAAGCGATTCTCCTGCCTCAGCCTCCCGAGTAGCTGGGATTACAGGTGCCTGCCACCGCGCCAGGCTAATTTTTGTAATTTTAGTAGAGATGGGGTTTCACCATCTTGGCCAGGCTGGTCTCGAACTCCTGACCTCGTGATCTACCAGCCTTGGCCTCCCAAAGAGCTGGGATTACACGTATGAGCCACCGTGCCCAGCCCATGTAGCAGCTTTCAAGCTAGACTGTACTTTTAAAATCCAGAGTCCTCAGTCTTACCCCAGAGATGCTTATTCCTAGGGCTAAGTTGAGGCAAAAAAAAAAAAAAAAAAAAAAAAAAAGGTTCTAAGCCTGGGGGCCATGGAGAAACTACCATTCAAAAACAGTGGAAAGGAAGAGGACTTCCCTGACCACCCATCTAGAGGATGGCAGATCCCCTCCCCACCAATCACTACCATTACCTTTATTTTATTTTATTTTATTTTTGAGACAGAGTCTCACTCTGTCGGCCAGGCTGGAGTGCAGCGGCGCCATCTCAGCTCACTGCAACCTCCGCCTCCCTGGTTCAAGTGATTCTTCTGCCTCAGCCTCCCAAGTAGCAGGGACTACAAGCATGCACCACCACGCCACCCGGCCACCTTTTTAAACAAAACAAAACAAAAAAAATATTAATGCAAAGTCCAAAATCGATACCCAAAAGCTTGAAGCATCATCTTAGCCCTATTAAGAACAAGGGTATAGGCTGAGTGCGGTGGCTCACGTCTGTAATCCCAGCACTTTGGGAGGCTGAGGCAGGCGGATCATGAGGTCAGGAGTTTGAGACCAGCCTGACCAACATGGTGAAACCCCGTCTCTACTTAAAATACAAAAATTAGCCAGGGGTGGTGGTGCGTGCGTGTAATCCCAGCTACTCAGGAGGCTGAGACAGGAGAATCACTTGAACCCAGGAGACGGAGGTTGCAGTGAGCCGAGATTGCACTGCTGCACTCAAGCCTGGGCGACAGAGCAAGAATCTGTCTCAAAAAAAAAAGAACAAGGGTATAGAGAGGCGGCCAGGCTATACATAGCCAGCCCAAAGAGACAGCGGGTATTCACGACCAGGGCAGATACATTTAAAAGCTGTTTCCTGAATGAGACTCTAATAAAAAAGGTGGATGTCCTTAGATCATGTTCCCAGCGTCACAGGAGGGGCCCTAGCCACATTATCCCGCAGTTCACTTTCATTATCTAGAGTGCTTGCTCACTCCAGGGCTCATTTGAAGCTTGATGCAGAAGACACTTTTGGTTTCAGTTCCTTTTATTTTTTTTTGAGACAGTCTCGCTCTGTCGCCCAGGCTGGAGTGCAGTGGCATGATCTCGGCTCACTGCAACCTCCGCCTCCAGGGTTCAAGCGATTCTCCTGCCTCAGCCTCCCGAGTAGCTGGGATTACAGGGGTGCGCCATTCCCACCCCACCAATTTTTGTATTTTTAGTAGAGACGGGGTTTCACCATGTTGGCTAGGCTGGTCTTGAACTCCTGACCTCAAAAGTGATCTGCCCGCCTCAGCCTCCCAAAATGCTGGAATTACAAGCATGAGCCACCACGCCCGGCCGATGTGAATTGAATATTAAACTTACTTTGAAAAGCTGTAACAGCATGTGCCTATTCTGCTGAGCTCCAGGGCCAAGTGTGCAGTTTGAGAGATACTGAGAGAGAAATGGGGGAAAATCAGGACCTTGGGTGAATGGCTGAGGGAGCTGAGGCTCTTTAATCTGGGAAACTTGAGTGGGGAGGCTCTCTCTCCAAATTCCTGAAGGAGAGTGACCTGTAGGAGAGACCACCAAGATTTCATTCACAGAAGAAACTTCTTGTGCTGAGCCCACAGCACTGTTCTAGACAGCTAGATGATACTATGTTAGTAAGTGACCACTATATTACTTCAGGTAGGTTCTGGGCAGACCTGAGTGACCCTGAAGGAAAACAGACTTGAATTTGAATTCGAGCTCCATATTTATATGGGCTATATGAGTTCAGGCAAGTATCTGAAATCCCTACTCAGTTTCTCTTTTTTTTTAGAATAAAAAAAAATTAAAAAAACGATGGGGTCTTGGGGTCTCATTCAGTCACCCAGGCTGGAGTGCAGTGGTCCAATCACAGCTCATTGCAGCCTCAAACTCCCAGGCTTAAGTGATCCTCCAGCCTCAGCCTTGGAGTAGCTGGGACTGTAGGCACAAGCCACAGCCCACTCAGTTTCTTTACCTAGGGCATCTCACTTTCATGTGTGTGTGTACAAAAATTAAGAAATTGGGGCTGGGCACAGTGACTCACGCCTGTAATTGCAGCACTTTGGGAGGCCGAGGTGGGTGGATCACGAGGTCAGGAGATCGAGATCATCCTGGCCAACACGGTGAAACCCCGTCTCTACTAAAAAATACAAAAAATTAGCCGGGCATGGTGGCGCACTCCTGTAGTCCCAGCTATTTGGGAGGCTGAGGTAGGAGAATCACTTGAACCTGGGAGGCGGAGGTTGCAGTGAGCCAAGATTGTGCCACTGCACTCCAGCCTAGCAAGAGAGAGAGACTCCGTTTCAAAAAAAAAAAAAAAAAAAAGAGACTGAACATAGCACAGACCCAGACCCAGGCACACTCAACCAAACTCAGTTTCCCACTGTTGCAGACCTTGGTTTTTATAGTTTGGGCTGCAGTTAGTGTATTGTCATTTCAGTATGGCAGAAACGTATTAACAGCTAGTTTAAGCAAAAAGGGGAATTCACTAGCTTACATAATAGAGAAGTTTACAGGTGGTCCTGGTTTCAGACATGACTGGAGCTTCCATCTCATAGCTGCTTCTCTCTGTGCCGGGTTCACACTGCAGTCATGCTTGTTTCTTACCGAGAGAGGGGGAGGACAAAGTTGCCAGTTCCTCAAGGTTACATCCTCACCACTTAGCAACCCCAGAGCTTAACTGTTGATTCCAGGGAAGACTGGCCCAATGTGAGATGCAAATGCCCCCTTTACCCTGAGTTGAATGGGATACAGAATGGAGCTGGTGAAAGGGAATGGGGGTACAGCGTGCACAGAACTCACAGCTGGCTACTAGAGGGAGAGTAAAAGATGTAAAGCAAAATAAGAAGCCAGTGACTGCTTTGTCTTCAAGCCTGGGCCCTGAGCCCTGGTGGATCAATCAAGAACCCTGTTTCTGCTTAAAAAAACAAAAAAAAATTTTATTTGACAAAAGACAAAAAAGTTATTTACAGTAGTTTTTGCTCAAATAATTCAATGGGACAACTGTGCTTCTCCTCCAGGTTTATCTTACAACCAAACCCAAGCAGAGTCTGCCCTACCCAACACCCCATTTTACATAATGGGGAAATGCCAACCAGAATTCAGCAGCATGGCTCCCTCACCACCCTCCATTGCTCAGTGCACTGTGGGGAGGGAAAATCCCACCTCAGCCCAATACACTTCCAGAGTTCCCTACTACAGGCATCCTGCAGCAGTTGCACCAGACCTGGGCTCACTGACAGGGCTGGGATGGAAGAGGCTGGGCAAATGGCAGCATCAGTTAACCTGGATGAAGCCATGTTCATTCTTCCCCACTGGGCCTCAGGAGGGTGAGGATCCCTGATCCCCCTGGGGCACACGGGGAGAGGGCACGGGAGGAAGAAGCCAGAGGGAGGCAACACAGAGAGCCCAGGAAACTTGCCCACCTAGAGAGAGCAAAGCTCCCTCTCCTTCAGCGATCCGTTCACACTCCCACAGCAACAGATGGGCGACTCAGAAGTTGGGGAGCCTCTGTGATGGCTTCAGGGATCTTCCCAGAAAGTACAGAACACATGTTACTGTCTTTCTCCTGGCTAGATCCACCCACCCAAGTTAGTCAGTATCCAGGAACCTTTTCTCCTTGTGCCTGACCTGGTGATTTCAGGAAAACTAAAGGCTGTCGTCCTGATCTATCTTTTGGCCCAGTGACACTACTCAGGACAAAAATATTTTGGCTAGCAATAACCTAGGATTAGTGTTTCTTAGGATATATAAAGATGGGGCATATTGTTGAACACTGTCAGCAATGAAACAGCAAAAGAGGCTGGGCGTGGTGGCTCACGAGGTCAGGAGTTCCAAGACCAGCCTGGCCAAGATGGTGAAACCCCGTCTCTACTAAAAGCCAGACATGGTGGCGGGTGCCTATAATCCCAGCTACTCGGGAGGCTGAGGCAAATAATTGCTTGAACCCGGGAGGCGGAGGTTACAGTGAGCTGAGATCGCACCACTGCACTCCAGCCCGGGTGACAGAGCATGACTCTGTCTCAAAAAAACAAACAAACAAACAAAAAACAAAAAACAAAACAGCAAAAGAAAAAATGGGGGAAAGGGAGGAGCATAAGACCAATCGTTATCTGTTCACTGGGCAGGGGCTTCTGTAATTCTAATTTAAAGAAAGGTGAAACAAAGACAATCCCAGCTAGGAGGCTTCTAACCCTTTTCCAGCCCCACCTTCTCTGAAGGCAGTTCCTCCGCAGCAGTGGACACCATTCCTGCTTTCCCCAAAGTTTCCTGCCACCATTGTGGGAAAAGCTGCCTCTCTGGAGGACTTCCTGACCAGCAGATGGCTCACTTTTCTCCCAAGTAGGAGGTGCTGGGAGCTTCTGACATATGGGCCCCTCTAATCCAAGTTGCTAAAAGAATTCAAAACTGAGGCTGCAGGGCAAAAGTGTTCAAGAACAAAGGGAAAAACACTAAAGAAAAAAAAGAAAAAAAAAATCCATCGCTTCAGTCTAGTTTACTTCCCCCACCCACCCAAAAAAACTACAATAAAAATTAAAAGAAAAACCAAACACCTTTTGATCTTATCTTTCTCTGCTAGGTGCCTAGAAAGTTGAGTCAGAGTCTGCTGGACTGCCCCCTGCTGTGGCTTTCTACCCTTCTGTGCCTGCGGCAGACAAGCCAATGCGCTCATACGGTTGTTTTTTTTTTTTTTCCCTGCCTTTTTTTTGGTAAACCAAACCAATGATAAAACAACCATTTGGAATTTCACACTACTGCAGAGACTTAGCTGGTCCCCAAGATAAAAATATTCCTTTCTTCCAAAACAATCCTCAGTGGCAGTGGTGGGTCCTTCCCAGCTCACCAGAACGCTATCATGCAGTGCACTCTCGTTCCCCACACCTGGGCTAACTACTGCCGTGAATGCAAACCACAGCAAAAAAGGGAAAAAGAAAACAGTTTAGCAAAAATCTAAACATTCAACTGGAGTCGGTTCTGTTACATCCACTGGGTTCCTCTTTTCTTTTGTTCACGCATATGAACTTGGAATGTCCACACCTGGCTTGACAGAAACAGCACAGGGGCAGCTTGGACCCAACATAGGACTGAATTTGGCAGCTTTCCTGAGCCCAGCCCAGGAAACCAGGCTGGAACAAAGGTGTCCCAGGGATTTTCTGGAGAAGCAGCAGAAGCAGCAGCACCATGCTTGTCTCCGATCTCTTGGTCTCATCACTGAGCGGAGGCCTGGAGAAACGGCAGAGTCAGCAGAGGAGAGGGCCCCCATCACAGTGCAGTGGTGCCAGCTGGCATCTTCCTGTTGAAGACCTCTGGACAGAGGAGATGATCCCAATGTTTGGCAGTGATCCATAGAAAACCCTCTGTATGAAAGGGAACCAAAACGGAAACCCAGGACAGCTGGCTGGAGCCTTCAGCACCCTTCTTGGCAGATGCCTACTGGGGATTTTCAGAGACTAAAGGGATGGGAGTGTGCAGTAATGGGAGTGATGGGTCCTGCTGCTTCTGAAGCTCCATCTCAGCAGCCCTCTGTAGCGCCACCTCCACCAGCAGCTGGAAGCTGCTGAAGTCCTCTTTGTCCTGCTCTGGGGGTGTGGGTGGTGGCGTGTTGAAGAGTCCACCTGTGGGGCTTCCAGCCTCAGCCCTGGTCAGCAGAGTAAGTGTGCTACCAGGGGTCACCAGGGGCTTGGGAGACTCCAGCTCCCCACGTGGGAAAGGGGCTGCTGGCTTTTCCCCCTGGCCTGAGTGAAGCGGCATGGAGCACACAGACAGGGAGAGCACATTGGTGGGGGCTGGGACAGACACAGCCAGCACTGAGGGGCTGCTGCCACGGGGGAGGGCCACATCTGAGGCCTTACCCCCGCGGCGGGAAATGGTAAACTGATTAGGGTCTTTGCCATCCTTCCGAAGCATGTCTGGGAGAAGCCGCCGCCGGGCATTGATGAACCAGTTACATATCTGGAATGAATATACAAGACCGATCAATTTGCTTAATCTAAAACAGCTATGGGCTGGGCACAGTGGCTCACACCTGTAATCCCAACACTTTGGGTGGCCAAGGCGGGAGGATTGCTTAAGCCCAGGAGTTCAAGACCAGCCTGGGCAACACAGGGAGACCCTGTTTCTACAAAAGAAGTTAGCCAGGTGTAGTGGTGCACCCCTGTGGTCCCAACTACTTGGGAGCCTGAGATCGGAAGATAGCTGGAGCCCAAGAGGTGGAGCCTGCAATGAGCTATGATCGCACCACTGGATTCCAGTCTAGGCAATAGAACAAGATACTGTTTCAAAACAAACCAAAACAAACAGCTATGAAGCACTTACTATGTCTCAGGACCCCAGAACATGGAAGAAAACACAGAGGTTCATAGTGGGAAGACAGAGTTAAATAAGAACACACACCAACCTGGCCAACATAGTGAAACCCTGTCTCTACTAAAAATACAAAAATTAGCTGGGCATGGTGGCAGGCACCTACAATCCCAGCTACTTAGGAGGCTGAGGCAGGAAACTTGCTTGAACCTGGGAGGAGGAGGTTGCAAACTGCCATTTGTCTCCTACTGCCTACAGGATCAAGTCCAGACTCCAGAGCCCGGACATGAAGACCCTCCCCCGGCTGGGCACGGTGGCTCACACCTGTAATTCCAGCACTTTGGGAGGCCGAGGTGGGCAGATCACTTGAGCCCAGGGATTCGAGACCAGCCTGGGCAACATGGTGAAACCACATCTCTACAAAAATACAAAAAAATCAGCTGTTGTGATGGCATGTGCCCTATAGCCCCAGCTACCCAGGAGGCTGAGGTGGGAGGATCACCTGAGGCCAGGGAGGCAGAGACTGCAGTGAGCCGTGATAATGCCAGTGCACTCCAGCCTGGAGAGTCAGGCTGGGTGCTGCAGCTCACGCCTGCAGTCCCAGTACTTTAGGAGGCCAAGGTGGGCGGATGGCTTTCGCTCAGGAGTTCCAGACCAGCCTGGTCAACATGGCAAAACCCTGTGTCTACAAAAAGTACAAAAATTAGCTGGGTATGGTGGTGCGTGTCTGTAGTCTCGGCTACTTGCGAGGCTGAGGTGATAGGATCAATTGAGCCCAGGAGTTTGAGGCTGCAGTGAGCTGTGACTGTGCCACTGTACTCCAGCCTGGGTGACAGCGTGAGACCTTGTCTCAAAGAAAAAAAAAGTCGGTCGAGCGTGGTGGCTCACGCCTGTAATCCCAGCATTTTGGGAGGCCGAGGTGGGCAGATCACGAGGTCAGGAGTTTGAGACCAGCCTGGCCAACATAGTGAAACCCCGTCTCTACTAAAAATACAAAAATTAGCCGGGTGTGGTGGCACGCGCCTGTAGTCCCAGCTACTTGGGGGGCTGAGGCAGGAGAACTGCTTGAACCCGGGAGGCAGAGGTTGCAGTGAGCCATGACCACGCCATTGCACTCCAGCGTGGGTAACAGAGTGAGACTCCGTCTTAAAAAAAAAAAAAAAAGTCAAGTTAGAGCTTCTCACCTTCCTGCTGCTCTTCAAGGCTTCTTGCTCATTCAAATATTATTTGAGTGCCTGGTATATTGGGCCCAGTTCTCAGTGCTGGGATGCCTTTGTGAATTAAACAGACATGCACTCCACCCTGTGGAGCTTATAGTGCACCTAGTCATGGAGACTGACTATTAACCATTAGGTGAATAACCACCAACAAGCCCCCAACAGAAACAAGAATAAAGGGGGCATTATAAAGATAAGAGAAACTCCCATAGCTAAGGGTTCTGGAAGGCTGAGACATAAGGATTAGAAGAGCTAGCCATACAGAAAGCTAAGAATGTTCTAGACAATTCCAAGGAAAGGCCCTGGCCGTGGGGTTCTCATCTGCCCTCCTTCACCTCTATGGTCCTCCAATGCAACTGAACTGAGGCAGGAAAGGGTTGGCTTAAGGAACCGGTGAATGGTAGCTGATGAGCTCAGAGGTGGACAGGGCTGACAACCAGGCCAGAGCACCATGGAAAACCATTAAGTGGTCTAAACGGTGGCTTGACTGAAATTTCACACTCTAGGTCCTTCTTCTGGTCCTGTCTTTTCTCCTAACCTAGCTAACTGCAGCTGCATCTATTCCACAGGTGACTCAAAGACAGCACCAGGCTGTCGGGCTGGAAGGCTCATAGGCAGGGCAGAGCCAGAAGCTTCTGTGGCCCTTCTCTCCCATTCCATTCCAGCCAGGAGGGGCCCTGGCTCTGGGGTCCTTATTTGCCCCTCTTCACCACTATGGTGCTCCAATGCACACACATACCAACAGGCTTCAGTGGACGCTGGTTGAGCTGAATCCTGACTAGAGCTGTGGGAAAACCCTAAAGAGAGGAAGGGCTTAGCAGGGTGTGGTGGCATGTGCCTGTAGTCTCAGCTACTCAGGAGGCTGAGAGAACTGCTTGAACCCACAAGGCAGAGGTTGCGGTGAGTCAAAATTGCGCCACTGCACTCCAGCCTGCGCGACAAAGCAAGACTCCATCTCAAAAAAAAAAAAAAAAAAAAAAAAAAAAGAAGGAAGGGCTCAACAGCTAGGTGGGATGAAGGAAGGGAACAAACTTACTCAAACACCTTTGATAGCAGTATCATGCCAGCCACCTCACTTGCATTATGTTTAATCTGCATACAAGCCTGGAGGGTAGAGGGCAGTGTCCCCAAAGTACTAGAGAGAACTGAGCTCAATGAGAAGAAAGCTCTTGTCCAGTCACACATCTTCCCAGTGCAGAGCTGGGATTTAAAACCAGGCCTCCTGGCTTTAGGGCCTCCACTGCTTTGCTGTGCTTTTTTTTTTTTTTTTTAAAGACAGGGTCTCACTCTGTCACCCAGGCTGGAGTGCAGTGGTGGAATCACAGTTCACTGTAGCCTTGACCTCCTGGGTTTAGGTAATTCTCCCACCTCAGCCTCCCGAGTAGCTGGGACCACAGACATGTGCCACCATGCCCAGGTACTTTTTTTTTGGTATTTTTTGTAGAGATGGGGTTTCCCCATGTTGGCCAGGCTGGTGTCAAACTCCTGAACTCAAATGATCTGCTCACCTCAGCCTCCCAAAGTGTTGGGATTACAGGTGTGAGCCACCACGCCTGGCCTCAGGCACTATTCACATTTCATATCTAATTATTCATTCAATCTCAGCCTATCACACAGGTTATATGATGATCTCCCTTGAAGAAACAGATCGGAGAGGTTCAGAAACTTGTTGAAGGTCACAAGTGCAAAAGCTGGGTTTGATCCAGACAGCCTGGTTCTGGGCAGCCACCCCACTGCCAGCTGAAGAGTGAGAGGGAGTCTTCCTTGCACAGGAGCAGTGCCTGTGTCCTTCTCTCCCTCCCTCCCACAGCTGCCTCCTCCCATACCTGTGCTGCAGGAGTACACTGCCCCTCTCCACCTCAGCCCTGGATGCAGGGGAAAAATGGGCAGGTCACAGTGACCTGGGTCAAGCAAAGTAAGGAGTGTTGTTGAGCAGGCAGCCTCATGGAGGGCAGTCTGGGCATTTCTCAGCATCTGTGTGGGCACCTAGCCCCTAAAGGCACTTCCCACTTTGGCTGAGGGTTCAAGAACAGAAAAACACCCCTCCACACACTCCCCCACAAGACTGTCCTGTCCAGATCACTTGGCAGCCTAGCATCTGTCTGTTTTGTCTTCTTAGCCCAGAAAAATGCACAGCTGAGGGGCTGGGCAAGGCAACGCGGGGGGACTGAGTGGCTGCCAGTGCCCCTTCTGCAGCCCTTCCAGCTGCCCAGCCTGTGCCTAAGTCAGGAAAAGAACCTGTGACTTGTCTCCACTCAAGGTCCTTGGGGAGATGGTAGGAAGAAGGTCAAAGTGAACTCTGTGATGTATATGGCAAAACACAGGCTGGGAACCGGAAAGCCGGTCTCTACCATAAAACAGGGCTCTATCTGAGAGGCTGCTGAGGAACAAGGGAGGAATCACTGTGGCAAATGGGGGTGGGAGGAACACCAGGAGGCTGACAAAGGCTGTGATGCTGGGAGCAGCAGCTAATGAATGCAGGCAGAAACCCTCTCATTTTTGTGTCAAGGAAGCAAAGGCACTGAGGCGCCTTTCCCAAACATCATGGTACCACCATTCACACTGAGACTACCATATCCAGGTGCTCTTGAAGGCAGCTCTCTGTATTAGAATCACCTTAGGGGAGATTTTTTTTTTTGGGGGGGGGGAAATGGAGTCTCACTTCTTTGCCCAGGCTGGAGTGCAATGGTGCGATCTCAGTTCACTGCAACCTCCGCCTCTCGGGTTCAAGCAGTTCTCCTGCCTCAGCCTCCCAAGTACCTGGGATTACAGGCACACGACAACATGCCCAAGTAATTTTTGTATTTTTAATAGAGACAGGGTTTCACCGTGTTGGCCAGGCTGGTCTCAAACTCCTGACCTCAAGTGATCTGCCCGCTTTGGCCTCCCAAAGTGCTGGGATTACAGGCAGAGCAACCACACCCAGCCTGGGAGAGATTTTTAAAAACTGTTAGTGATTTCCCCCTCTGCTTTATTGATCTAGTGGGGGTGAGGGGTGGAGTTGGCAATGTGTTTTCAGACCAGCTACCCAGAAAGTCTGGCCGCCCAGGCTTAGGAACCAATGGTTTAGCCTACTGGTTACTTGTCCTTGCAGGCCAAGCCCTTTATTTAAGCCAAAAAGCTTACACAGAAGTTCAAAAAACATACACACAGATGAAAGGCCTTGAGATGGGGAAAAATAGAAGTTGCCTGTGGGAGGAATCAGAGGGCAGCTAGCTTTGGAGCCAGAGGAGAGCAGCTCCTACATCCCTGGCTGCCCTGGGGGCTAGGCCAGGACACTCCTCCCCCACAGCTGACCACTACAGCCTCTGCACCAGGTTCCTTTCTCACCCAACAGCCCTCGCCAGGGGGACTGCTGCCCCTGCCCCGGTATGGGCTTTGGGAAGGCTTCCCTCAGGAAACTGCATATGAAAGGAGTCCTGACAGCCAGGAAGTAATGGGAAGGTACCCATTCTACCACTGTATACCCAGCACAGAGTCCCGGGCCTGGCACGTGGTATATCCCCAACCATTGTTACAGTAAAGGATTGGGGCCCAGAACCCTGCCAGGTAGCCACAGATCTAGTCCAACCAATAAATTGGGCTTAGAGGATGTCGAAGGGACCTGTGAAAATCCTTTACAAACTACTTTTTTCCCTAACCCTCCCAACTGCCTAGCCCCAGGCAAGTACCAGCAAACCAGTTAGTTGAGTCATTGACTTGCTAATGAATCGCTCCTGGGAGGGTTAAAGGAGACAATCAAAAGAGATGTCCCCAGGGAGAGATAAAACAAGCTTGGCAAAATGTTGATACTTGTTCAAGCCGAGTGACTGGTGCTGGTGGTTGATTATTATATTCTCTTACTTTTGTGGAGTTTTTTTTTTTTTTTTTTTTTTTAAAGACAGAGTCCCGTTCTGTAGACCAGGCTGGAGTGCAGTGGCATGATCTTGGCTCCCTGCAACCTCCACCACCCCCGGGTTCAAGTGATTCTCCTGCTTCAGCCTCCCGAATAGCTGGGACTATTTTTAGTAGAGACGGGGTTTCACCACATTGGTCAGACTGGTCTACAACTCCTGGCCTCAAGTGATACACCCGCTTCAGCCTCCCAAAGTGTTGGGATTACAGGCGTGAGACACTGTGCCTAGCTTTTTTCTCTTTTTTTTTGAGATGGAGTTTCACTCTTGTTGCCCAGGCTGGAGTGCAATGGCAGGATCTCGCTCACGGCAATCTCCACCTCCTAGGTTCAAAAGTGATTCTCCTGCCTCAGCCTCCTGAGTAGCTGGGAGTACAAGCATGCGCCACCATGCCCAGCTAATTGTCTATTTTTTAGTAGAGATGGGGTTTCTCCGTGTTGGTCAGGCTGGTCCCAAACTTCCAACCCCAGGTGATCCGTTTGCCTCGGCCTCCCAAAGTGCTGGAATTATAGGTGTGAGCCACTGTGCCCAGCCTGCGTTCAGCTTTTATAGATATTCTTAAATGTCCTTAATGGAAAATGAAATTTAAAAAATTAAATACAGGAGGCCGGGAGCAGTGGCTCACGCCTGTAATCCCAGCACTTTGGGAGGCTGAAGTGAGACCACCTGAGGTCGGGAGTTCGAGACCAGCCTGGCCAAAATGGTGAAACCCTGTCTTTACTAAAACTACAAAAATTAGCTCAGCCTGGTGGCAGGTGCCTGTAATCCCAGCTACTCGGGAGGCTGGGGCAGGAGAATTGCTTGAACCTGGGCAGCAGAAGTTGCAGTGAACTGAGATTGCGCCACTGCACTCCAGCCTGGGCGACAGAGTGACTCCGTCTCAAAAAAAAAAAAAATTAATTAATAAATACAGGAAAAAATGATGCTCCCAGGCTTTAGGCTATTTTTCATGATTAGGAGCCATTACATTTCCTTACTTCTGAGGTCCTGCCTGTTGACCCTTCCACCACTTTATAGCCCTTTTCTGCCACTTCAACATTATTTACTGAGCACCTACCTACCAGATACCAAGCACTATGCTACACTAGGGCTGTAACTGTGAACACTAGGTCAGTGCTCTCCACACCTCTAGAATTTGGTGCAGTCTAAAAGCAATTACAGTTTAGTGTCCCAGTGCTGTGACCTCATCTATCTGCTGTGAGAGCATACAGCTCCTTTAGGGACTGGGAGCCTCCTGGTCAGGGGTGGGAGGAAAATGGTCTGGGGAGGTGGATCAATGTAGTGGGAATGTAGGGGACCAGGGTTGAGGTTCAAGATGTAGACACGGGCCGGTGATGTCATTAGGCTGGCAAAAGCCATTGAATTTTTTTTTCTTTTTTTTTGAGATGGACTCTTGCTCTGTTGCCCAGGCAGGAGTGCAATGGTGCAATCACAACTCACTACAACCTCTGCCTCCCGAGTTCAAGCAATTCTCTTGCCTCAGCCTCCTAAGTAGCTGGGATTACAGGTACCTGCAACCACGCCCAGCTAGTTTTTTTTTCTTTTCTTTTTTGAGACAGAGTCTCAGTCTGTTGCCCCGGCTGGAGTGCGGTGGCTCAGTCTCGGCTCATTCCAACTTCCGTTTCCCAGGTTCAAGCAATTATCCTGCCTCAGTCTCCCAAGTAGCTGGGATTACAGGCACACAGCACCACACCTGGTTAATTTTTGTATTTTTAGTAGAGACGGGGTTTCGCCATGTTGGCCAGGCTGGCCTCAAACTCCTGACCTCAGGTGACCCACCCGCCTCAACCTCCCAAAGTGCTGGGATTATAGGCATGAGCCACTGCGCCCAGCCTAATTTTTTTTATTTTTAGTAGGACAAGGTTTCACCAAGTTGGCCAGGTAGGTCTCCAACTCCTTACCTCAGGTAATCCACCCGCCTTGGCCTCCCAAAGTGCTGGGATTACAGGCATAAGCCACAGTGCCCAGCCTTTTTTTTTTTTTTCTTTTTAGAGATAGGGTCTTGCTCTGTCACCTAGGCTGGAGGGCAGTGGCATGATCATAGCTCACTGTAGCCTTGAACTCCTGGGCTCAAGAAAGTCTCCCATCCTAGCCTCCCAAAGTGCTGGGATTACAGGTATGAGTTACCCTGCCAGACCACTGAAGGTTTTTTTTGTTTGTTTGTTTGTTTTTTTTTTTTGAGACAGTTTTGCTGTTGCCCAGGCTGGAGTGCAGTGGTGCGATCTCACTGCAGTCTCGTCCTCCTGGTTCAAGTGACTCTTGTACCTTAGCCTCCTGAGTAGCAGGGGTTACAGGCATGTACCACCATGCCCGGCTATTTTTGTATTTTTAGTATTGAAGAAGTTAACCATGTTAACCAGGCTGGCCTCAAAACACCTGGCCTGGCCTCAAGCGAACTGCCTGCCTCAGCCTCCCAAAGTGCTGGAATTACAGGCACGAACCACCATGCCTGGCCTGAAGGGTTTTAAGTTGGGGAGTGATAAATGATTGTGATCAGATAATGATGGTTTAGATGAGGGTAGGAAAGAAGCCAAAACCCTGAAATATTTAAGGGGTATTTGTACAGGAGCTGGTAATTGACCAAATGAGCTGAGGGCAATGAACTAACTGGGAGGAGTTACCAGACAGGTGTGCAGCTGGGGCTGACATGGGATTCATGGTCAGTTTCCATCAAGGAGGGCTGGGTGGTCCCCACTGCTCTTAACTCTCGGCATGACTCTAGAGCAGGTGGCCACCACGGGTCCCCTCCCTCCAGGGGATGCCCAGTTTCCTTTCCTTACATTTACATTTCTCCAGGTGGGACCTGTGGATGTGTCACCTTGAGGGGTTCGCCAGTTCTCTAGAAGGATGTTTGGCTTTGGGTTTCCATTTTCATCACCAGTAGGAGCATCGGGGCCTAAGACCATCCAGATCTACTCTGCTGAGTCTGTGCCTTTGCCACACCACATCCTGCAGTGCAGTCAGCAAAGCACCACCCACCATTTTCAGTTAACACAGTCAGGTGGAATGTCACGGTTTTTACATTTATCTACTTTGGAAACAGTTTGATTTTAAGGTTAGGTATAAGAACAAAAGCAAAAAGAAGTGGTTTTTTTTTTATATATATACCCAGTTTTATGTTTTACCTAAGTGATATGATAAAAATGATTCAGGTTAACATCTTGCGGGGAGATGGGTCCATGAAAAATGTTTTCTTTATTTTTTTATTTTTTGAGACCGAGTTTCGCTCTTGTGGCCCAGGTGGAGTGTAATGGCATGATCTTGGCTCACCGCAACCTCCGCCTCCCGGGTTCAAAAGTGATTCTCCTGCCTCAGCCTCCTGAGTAGCTGAGAGTACAGGCATGAGCCACCACGTCTGGCTAACTTTGTATTTTTAGGAGAGATGGGGTTTCACCATGTTGGTCAGGCTGGTCTTGAACTCCTGACCTCAGGTGATCCGCCCGCATCGGCCTCGCAAAGTATTGGGATTACAGGCATGAGCCACCATTCCCGGCCGAAAAATGTTTTCTTTAAAAAGATGGGCCAGGCATGGTGGCTCACGCCTGTAATCCCAGCACTTTGGGAGGCTGAGGTGGACGGATTACTTGAGGCCAGGAGTACAAGACCAGCCTGGCTAGCATAGTGAAGCCCTGTCTCTACTTAAAATACAAAAATTAGCTGGGCGTAGGGGCATGCACCTGTAATCCCAGCTACTCAGGAGGCTGAGGCAGGAGAATCACTTGAACCCGGGAGGCAGAGGTTGCAGTGAGCTGACATCGCACCACTGCACTTCCAGCCTGGGTGACAGAGCAAGACTCCATCACACACACACACACAGATAAATAAATAAAAGGAGTTAGTATATTTCTCAGGTTTGAGAAAGTGTCCCTGACAAAAAGTAATTCCAATAGAGTGTGACAAGTGGTTTGACAGGACAGGGTGAGGTGCACTGGGAATATAAGCAGCAGCCCCAAACCTAGGCTGTAGATCAGTTTGGACTCTATCCTGAGGGCAGTAGAGTCCAGGAGTGCCTGGCCCTATCAGATTTGGGCTTTTGTGTTCAAAATAATGGATTAAATGAACAAGGCTGAAGGCTGAAGGCTGAAGGCAGGGAGACCCGCAAAGAGGCTGTCCAGACACTCCTCGAGGGTAAGAATGTGTCTGGAGCCTCTCTCAGATCCCAACTCTGCACAGCTCCATGCTGAGGAGGTACACTGTGAGATGCCACGCACTGCTGGGCACCCAGGATCAGCCAAAGACTTTGTGCCTTAGGCAGAGATGAAGCTGAAAACAGTAGAAACACCCACTGTATGCCAAACACTGACCAGTAGGTGTTTTTTTTGAGACCGAGTCTTGTTCTTGTTGCCCAGGCTGGAGTGCAATGCCACCATCTCGGCTCACCGCAACCTCCGCCTCCCAGGTTCAAGCAATTCTCCTGCCTCAGCCTCCCGAGTAGCTTGGATTACAGGCATGCACCACCACACCTGGCAATTTTTTTTGTATTTTTAGTAGAGATGGGGTTTCTCCATGTTGGCCAGGCTGGTCTTGAACTCCCGACCTCAGGTGATCCACCCGCCTTGGCCTCCCAAAGTGCTGGGATTACAAGTGTGAGCCACCGTGCCTGGCCTTGTTTTTTTTTTTTTTTTTTTTTTTTTTGAGACAATGTCTCACTCCTTCGCCCAGTCTGGAGTGCAGTGGTGCGATCACAGCTCACTGCAGCCTCCACCTCCAGGGCTCAAGTAATCCTTCCTCCCACTTCAGCCCCCCAAGTAGCTGAGACTACAGGTATGTACCACCATGCCCAGCTAATTTTTTTGTTTTGTACAGATGGGGTCTCCCTATGTTGCCCAGGCTGGTCTCAAACTCCTGGGCGCATGCGATCCTCCTACCTTGGTCTCCTAAAGTGCTGGGATTACAGGTGTGAGCCACTGTGAAGGGCCCCAGTGAGCCTTGAATTCTTCTTCTCGTCCCTTTCTCCCTACACTCATGAAAGTGCTACAATCACCTCCCTTTTTTCAGATGAGGGAATAATGAGGCTCACAGAGAAGGCAGTGACCTGGCCAAGGTCCAGGTTTCCTCTTGTGGAGAAGATGGAATCTGAGTCAGGATCTGTAACTTTAGAGCCTTTCTCATACAGAGACTTGGATTAACCATTGCCCAGAGTATAAAGTCAGGTGACAGGAGTTCTGAGGGCTAAAATACTTACCATGTCTCTACATGGAAGAAAGATAGGAGCTAGGAAGACGTGGGAGGTTCAGAGTGGGATAAGGGAAGGAGGGAGAGACAGCATCAAAGGTTGGAGTAATAAGCTATGAAAGGACAGAGGGGGAAAGAGAAACAGGAGAGCTTGTGGGAGAGGTTTGACTGGCTCAGGAAGGGAGCAGTGGGGGCCAGCAGGGCAGGGCTGGGCCTCTTGTATTAGGCTAAGGGCCTACTGTGTGTCTCCAGGAAGGGGAGAGGCAAACTGGAGGCAAAGCAATGGTGGTTCAGGGTCCCCCGCCTCTGCTCCAGGAAAGCAGAACAAAGACACCTGCGGGTCAGCAATAGGCGCGATTCAAAGGGGACAGTACTTTGCACTCTGACAAAAAGGGGATAAGGCTATCTTTTGAGTGTGTTCATGTGCATGGTTTGCAAAGCACTTTCACATCCAGTTCTGAATCTATTCGTCACAACAGATCCACCAGGCAGGGGAAGACTCTGTGTACCCCCTGCCCCTTTACAGATAAGGAAATCAAGACGTGAGGCAGAACTGGATTATGAACACAGAACCTCTGACTTCTGCCCTTTCCTGGACTGTGATCCTGCCCCATCTCTTAACCACACTGCAAATTACAGCTGCCCCTTTCAACCAAGTCGCCGTCCAATACTGCGTTGGGGCTGGGGGCTGAATCCTAGATGCTCGATGCCTTCTCATCTTCCCTTGGCCTCCAAAGTTAAGGATGACACCTAGACTTTGACAACATTAAATTCCTTGCCTCTTCAGAACTATCCAAAGTCTGGGCCAGGCGTGGTGGCTCACGCCTGTAATCCCAGCACTTTGGGAGGCTGAGGCGGGTGAATCACAAGGTCAGGAGTTCGAGACCAGCCTGGCCAACATGGTGAAACCCTGTCTCTACTAAAAATACAAAAAATTAGCTGGGCGTGGTGGCGGGCGCCTGTAATCCCAGCTAGTCGGGAGGCTGAGGGAGGAGAATCACTCGAACCCGGGAGGCGGAGGTTGCAGTGAGCCGAGATCGCATCACTGCACTCCAGCCCGGGTGACAGTGCAAGACTCCGTCTCAAAAAAAAAGGACTATCTAAAGTCTGAAATTGACTGCAGCGACCCTATTTCATTGTCTTCCCTTGAGACAGGGAGAGTGGGTGTTCTCCCCTAACCCAAGAAGAAACCGAAGCCCAGACAGTGAAAGTGAGTGGCCCAAGACCACAGTGACTCAGTGACACAGCTGGAATAGGACTAGAACCCAGGTCCTCCTGCCACCCCCTTATCCAGATCCCCTCCTTACTTGCAGCACTGACAGGTTGGTCTGTCCAGAAAGGCTCAGCTTCTCCTGCTCTGAGGGGTAGGCGTTGTAGCGGTGCAAGTACAGCCAGTCCCGGAGGATCTTCACCGACTCCTTGGGCAGGTTCCCCCTGCGCTTCCTTTTGCCCGCCAGGGAGAGGAGGCCTTCGTCCTCACCTAGATCACTGTCCGACATGGTGCCTAGGGGCTAGGCTGGACCTTGGGTAAACCTGGGACAAGGGACACAGGGGATGGGAACATCATTAGCACGTACCGCCTTTTCCTAGTCTCCAAACATGCTCAGCATTACTTGAGCCTGGGACACCAGAAATGGGGTAGTTGCAATTCAGAATCTCAGGCCGTAACACAGACCGAGCAAGCTAGAAGGGATGAGTCCAAAGTTCCTCCACTTCATGGAACAGGTAGGTGACTACCGAATGGCAGCTCATTCACAAGCAGGACTCAGGCTGGAAACAATTACAGCTTCTACTGAGGTCTACTGTTTTCCATGTTCGGTACTAAGCATTTGGTTTTTTCTTTTCTTTTTTTTTTTTTTTTGAGAGAGGCTCTCACTCTGTAGCCCATGCTAGAGTGCAGTGGCGCCATCTTGGCTCACTTCAACTTCTGTCTCCTGGGTTCAAGTGATTCTCCCACCTCAGCCTCTGAGTAGCTGGGATTACAGGCATGCACCACCATGCCTGGCTGACTTTCTGTATTTTTTGGTAGACACAGGGTTTCACCATATTGGCCAGGCTGGTCTTAACTGCTGGCCTCAAGAGATCTAGCAGCCTCAGCCTCCCAAAGTGCTGGGATTGCAAGCGTGAGCCACCATGCCTGGCCTGTACTGAGCATTTTACATGTTATCTCATTTAATCATTACAATTCCCCAATAAGGGAGAAGCTATTATTATCATCATTTTATAGATGAGGTAACAGAGATCAAGAAAGCTGCCCAAGGCCTGCGCAGTGGCTCACACACACACACACAAAATACAAAAATAAGCCAGGTGTCATGCTGTGCATTTGTAAGCCCACCTACTTGTGGGACTGAGGCAGAATTGCTTGAGCCCAGGAGGTCAAGGCTGTAGTGAACTGTGTTTGTGCCACTGCACTTCAGCCTGGGTGACAACAAAATAAAAAAGGTCTCAAAAAACAAAGGCCGGGCACAGTGGCTCATGCCTGTAATCCTAGCACTTTGGGAGGCCGAGGCAGGCAGATCACGAGGTCAAGAGATTGAGACCATCCTGGCCAACAGGGTGAAACCCTGTTTCTACTAAAAATACAAAAATTAGCTGGGCATGGTGGCGCGTGCCTGTAGTCCCAGCTACTCGGGAGGCTGAGGCAGAATTGCTTGAACCTGGGAGGTGGACGTTGCAGTGAGCCGAAATCGTGCCACCGCACTCCAGCCTAGTGACACAGCGAGACTCCATCTCAAAAAAAAAAAAACAAAAACAAACAAAGGCCGGACACGGTGGCTCACGCTCGTAATCCCAGCACTTTGGGAGGCCGAGGTGGGTGGCTCACCTGAGGTCAGGAGTTCGAGACCAGCCTGGCCAACATGGCAAAACCCCGTCTCTACTAAAAATACCAAAAAAAAAAAAAAATTAGCTAGGTGTGGTGGCACACACCTGTAATCCCAGCTACTTGGGAGGCTGAGGCAGGAGAACTGCTTGAACCTAGAAGGCAGAGGTTGCAGTGAGCTGAGATCATGGCATTGCACTCCAGCCTGGGTGACAGAGTGATTCCCTGTCTCAACAAAAGAAAAAAATAAAAAAATAAAATAAAATAAAAATTAGCCCAGTGTGATGGTGTGCCAGTAGTCCCAGCTATTCTGAGAGGCTGAGGTGAGAGGATCCCTTGAACCCAGGAGTTCAAGGCTGTAGTGAGCTATGATCGCACCAGTGCATGTCAACCTGGACGACATAATTAAAAACCTGTTTTCAAAAATAAAATAATAAAAAAAAAATGCCACGTGCTGTGGCTCACACCTATACTCCTGGCACTTTGGGAGGCCAAGGCAGGTGGATCGCTTGAGCTCAGTAGTTCAAGACCAGCCTGGGCAACACGGTGAAACCCCATCTCTACAAAAAATACAAAAATTAGTTGAGCACGGTAATGCATGTCTGTGGTCCCAGCTACTCTGGGGGCTGAGGTGGAAGAATCGCTTGAGCCCGGAGGCAGAGGTTGCAATGAGATGAGATCACACTACTGCCCTCCCATCTGAGAGGCAGAGCAAGACCCTGTCCCCCTATCCCCCCGCAAAAAAGTCCTAAAATTGACTATAGTGATGGTTGCAAACATACCAAACCTGCTGATGAGTATACTTTAATGGGTGAATTGCATGGTATGTGAGTTATATCTCAATAAAGCTGTAAAGGAAAAAAATCCCACCCCCAGGTTAGGATAGTGAAGTCGGATTTGGACCAGGCCTCTCCCCACCCCCTCTTGTGAGCTGTATACTGTCTTGCCTCCTAGGTCTCCCAAGGGCCAGTGAGAACTCTGGAAACTACAGATCACCATGATCCTGCAGCAGTCCAAGTAATATTTAAGGAGCACCTACTGTGTACCTTGCAGTGAGAGAGGTGAGTCATCTCTCTACTGGTTGCTTCTTGGACATTCTCCTTTGTCAGGCCCCTTTAGCCTGGTCCTAGACTCAACCAC
Source organism: Homo sapiens (assembly GCF_000001405.40). Lineage (NCBI taxonomy): Eukaryota > Metazoa > Chordata > Mammalia > Primates > Hominidae > Homo > Homo sapiens. The sequence goes on along the minus strand of NC_000020.11, from coordinate 36,576,309 downwards.
TCAAAATCCAGGTGAATGAGCAAGGCCCACCCTCCACTTGGCACTGTAACTTGGACAAGGATCCTCCCCTTTCTGGGCTTGAGTCCCCTCTTCACCTGTCAAATGAAGGAAGGATTTTCCCTAGATAACCCAACTCAGCTGCTCAGTCCCTGGACAAAGTTCTGTTTCACACGTGCAACAAAGATTTTCTTTCTTTCTTTCTTTCTTTTTTTTTTTTTGAGATGGAGTCTCGCTCTGTAGCCTAGGCTGGAGTGCAGTGGCGCAATCTTGGCTCACTGCAATCTCCATCTCCCAGGTTCAAGCAATTCTCCTGCCTCAGCCTCCCGAACAGCTGGGATTACAGGTGTGTGCCACCACATCTAGCTATTTTTTTTTTTTTAGTAGAGACAGGGTTTTGCCATGTTGGCCAGGCTAGTCTTGAACTCCTGACCTCAGGTGATCTGCCCGCCTCGGCCTCCCAAAGATCTGGGATTACAGGTGTGAGCCACCCCGCCCAGCCAGATTTTCATTTTAAAAGCAAAAGTTCTAGGCCAGGCTGATGCCAGGATCTCAAGGCTCCTCCCTTCTCAGCCTTTTAACAGCTCCCCAGCAGGCCGGCCAACAGACTCTGGCATCTCCCAGGTTTTGTTTCCTCTTCTTGGACCCGAGCCCAGATCTCTGGGCTGGCTAGGCCAGGCTTTCGAGGGAAGGGTCTACCCTTTCAGTCAGGCCACCTGGAGGTGAGACAGGCACTGGTTAGACGTGCCACTCCTCAGAGAGCACCACTGCAGGCTGCTTTCTGAGGTCAGACAGCCATTTCTAGGTGGCCAGGGCAGCTGGGATCTGGGCTCAGTGATGCAGCCCTGGCCGGCTGTGAGAAGTACTCAAGGTTATCTGTACAAATTCCACCCTGGCTGCCAGCCAAGTCTGTCTGCAGGGTTCCCCGGGTGGGCCCTGGGGAATGACCCCTCAGTCTACACAAACTTCTCCACCTCGGTGTTCCGCCACACAGGGCCATCTGTAGTCTGGGAGGCTTCCCACATATGCACCCCACACCGCACCCAGACACACTCACGCCAGGCAATTAACCAACAGCGCTAGGATAACTGGCCCGGACCCATCGCTCAAGCCTTACAAACCCTAGGGTTTTCACCGACGCATACAGCACGCACACGCACAGCTTACAGACCCCAGGCCTAGCACGAACAACTGTGACCCACACAACTAGCCCAACTTCTGTACCCGCCCACCCACGAACTCCAACCGACCCGGCCACCCCCGATCTCTCCGACAGGGAAAACTCCAGGCGTCATCACACTAACAATCAGTTCTACCCTCAGTGACCTGTGGCAGCAACCCCTCGACACAACATCCCGTACACCCTCCTACAGACTCCCACGACGCCACCTGCAGCCACTCCCGCACGAACTTTCTGACAACTCCCCTAGCTGGTCCCGACACTCCCCCGGGCCGCGCACTCACGCCCGCATTCCCAGCAGTTCAGACAAAGCGCGCAACCTCCCCCGCGGCCCAGACCGAGTCGGAGCACATGGCTCCTGGGTCGGCGAGGAATCGTCCGGCGCTCGGGGCGCTTGCACCCCACAGTCCCCACACCCCGGGCCGACTCCGCGCACCAGCTCCCGCGCGGGCCCGCCATCCCGGTGGGACGGGGGCTCTGGAAGAAAGAAAACTCACGTGTCTGTCCCGGGGCAGGAAAAAGTTTGGTTCCCACCCCTACTCCGGCAGTTCGGGGCTGGCCGACTCTTCGGGGCGCGGGGACGGCGGAGCGTGCGCGCTCGGCTTTGTGCTCCGAACTGGGCCCGGAGGGGGAGGGGAGGGGAAGGGAGGGGAGGGGGCTGGGCTCCCACCTCCGCGCCGCCCCCCCCCCCCCAGCCCTGCGCCCAGACTCCATGTTGGCCGCCCCCTGCCCCGGAGACTACGCGCTTCTCCCGCGGGAGGCTTGGATCACCTTCGGCCTGCCCGAGGGTCCCGGCGCGAACAAACTTTCTCCGGGGCGCCGGCCCCACGCGCCCCGCTTCCTTGGCCAGCCTGGGAGTGACAGATGCCTCGGAGACAGACTTTCCTTTGTTCCAAAGGAAAGGGGAACTCGCGCGGGCTCCCCAGGGCCCCCCCGCTCCGGGCCCTTCCCGCGGCCCCCACCCCCAGCTGTCACTCTCGGCCGCCCCCTGTCCGGCTCGGCGGCGGGGGGGCCCTGCTGGCGGTTAGCAACGTGCACTTTTGAAACCAAACAAATCCGTCCCCCCGCGCGCTCACTCAGGTCCGGTGCAGGATCGGCCCTCTCCTGGGGTGGGATCCTATGAAGCTGGGCCCCCCACCAGGGCCCCAAGCGGGCTTCCTCCCGGGGGCTGGAACAGTCCCCCACCGGCCCCCGGAGCGCAGCGCCGTCGGGACTCACAAACACCCCCCGGGGGCCGTCGGGACTCACAAACACCCCCGAGCTCACACACCCCCTACCGCACGCGCCAGGACGACGCCCCCTCCCCGTCCGGCCGAGAAAAAGAAACTTTCCAAGTTGTCCGCGCGCCCCCACCCCCATCTGGCCCTCTGCTGCTCCCTGCACTGACTTTTCCCAGCGGCTTTCGGGTCCACGCGGCCTCCGGCTCGGCGCGGGGCGTCCCGGCGGGGAGCGGGGGGCGCCGGGGGCGCGCGCCGCGTACCTGCCCGGCCTGACACTCGGCCTGACAGCTCGCGGCTGGAAAGCACCTCGCGGCCTGACGTCAGATCCCCTCTCCTCCCCCCGCGCCCTCTGCGCCCTCCCCCACCCGCCCGGAGGGAGAAAACAAACTTTGTGCGGAGCGCGACGAGCTGCGCCCACCCCCCGCGGGGCGGGCCGTCGGCGCCGAGGGGCTTCGCCCCGCCCAGCGCGCCCGGAGGGGGCGGGGCCGCGGGCACCTTCTTCCTGCGCCCACCCCGCCCTCAGGAATGCTGCATGGCCTACCCATAGCGGCGGTGGGAGCCTCCGCCGGGGAGAGCCCGCTCGGGGGCAGGAAGTGGCCCGGCCCTCCTCGTGGAGGGCGTTTCCGGAGCGCCTACTGTGCTCCTTGCCGGGGTGGGGGTCGTTACCGAGTGGGAACTTCTGCAAATCCTGACTTTTGTCACTTCGCGCCCCGCACAAGATGTCCTGCCGGCGGTGCGATTGGTCCCGTTGCTTCGAGGGGAAACTGAGGCCACTTAGTCCGGGCACTTACCCGCAGCTAGTTAAGGACTAGGCTCTGATGGAGACGCTTGTTACGACCTCAATGGCCTGTAGAATCTGGGAGGCCGCCTCCGACCTAAGCCCAAAAAGCACATGATCGGGCTCACAGGGGGCGGCCAGAGGTGAAAACAGCCAACGCTTTACAACGACGCTGTGCGGGGCACTTCGTGTGTGTCATCCCGTCTCATCCTCGGGTGATAGGGTATGTGTTGTCCTATGTAAGTCTCTGGCTTACTCATGAGCCGCAGAGAGGTTCTTGATTTGCTTTTGTCACACAGTCAACCGGTATCATTCAGCCCAGGTCGGTCGATAGTGAAGCCTGATCCCTTACCCCTTGTGCCCGGCCTTAAACGATCAGTCCAGGAGCTCCCGGAGTTCCTGTCTGGTTTCTTTTTCCTCTTCTGCCAGTTACACCCTACTCCAGAAGGTTTTCCTTGGCCTCCCCCACCCCAGTCAGTACATTCTTCCCTGCTCTCTGCTGTGGGTACCACATACTGTGATATTTCTGTTAACCAGCCTCTTAGGGCATCCCCCCACGCCCCCCAGCCCTGTACCCGGACACGGCTAGGTCCAGATATCTAGGGCCCTTGAGCTTGGAAATCGCTTTGAAAACAGCTTTTGGACTTAATTACCCTTTAGCAATGGAGAACTCTAGGAACAAAACTCTTAATTTTTTCCAAACAAGCCTTAAGCCAATCAGAATGCTGATTAAAGATTGTTAAGGTTTCACCTGGACACCCCATAGAAGCCAGACTTCCTGCAAATGTTAAAAACCTCCTCACGGCAGCGGGTGAAATGTCAGTGGCACTGCCTGTTGCTCTCCATTTCACAGACAGGGAAAATAAGGCCCAGAGTGTGGGTCAGAAACAATTTTTTTGGCCGGGGAAGTGGTGCTCCCCCCACGGCCCTGTGAAAGAAAAAGCCACGTCTGGGTTGCCTTAGGTAAGAAATGTAAAACCAATGGGCCTTGGCCTCTAGGAAATGTATGGGACAGGGACCTTCAGAAGAGGGGAGCCCCAGGGGGAAATGGGTGCGACCAGGTGAGCCTGGAGAGGGGGCTCTGGTAGTGGCTGCTGAGCTTGAACTCCGCACTAGGCGTTTTTCTCCTGTATGCGTAAGAGCCACATTCTGCCCTTTCTGGGGAAGCCACTGGGGGCCTGGGCTAGAGGAAGAGACCGCACCGTAAATTGTGCCTGCAGCAGCCCCTTAGACGAGTGTTTCCCAAGTCTGGTGCTAGATGTGGTTGGGAAAATGGAAGCGGGGGAGTGCTGCCTCCTCCTCCACCTGAGAGCTGCATAACAAAGACCTGGAGCCCCTCCTCTCTCCTGGAGGACGGGGTAGTGGTGGAGGGAGGCTGGTAGCCGGTCAGATTTTGCACGTAAGCAAGCTTCACAGATAAAGCCTAAGTGCAATTAGAGTTTGAGAATTACCGTGTCAAGTTTCTGAACTAGTAAGTATCAGAATTTAAAATGTGTAGATTCTCTAAGACAGTAATTCCACTTCTAGGAATCTGTCTTTTGAAGTAGCTGTACAACAAAGATAAATGCTTATAGAAGATTGTTCTTTGCAGAACTGTTCATTCGGGAAAATTGCAAACAACTAAATACCCCTCACCAGGAGCTGGCCCATTATAGCAACTCTGAGACCTCTCTACCGCAGGCTCTTAAAATGGGGTAAGTTGGTGCGCGCTAATGTAGGGGCATGACCAAGGTATATTTATTGACAGCTTACAGTGTCCCAACAAGGAGGGACTTTGGACATAGTTGGTGAGAACTTTAGTGGGAAAACTTTTTCCAAGTGATAAGTTATTGTCATTTTTCTCTCCCCTACTTTCTTTTTTCTTTTTTTTTTTTTTTTTGAGACAGAGTCTCGTTCTGTCGCCCAGGCTGGAGTGCAGTGATGCGATCTCAGCTCACTGCAACCTCCACCTCCCAGCTGCAAGCGATTCTCCTGCCTCAGCCTCCTGAGTAGCTGGGACTAAAGGCGCCCACGCCCACCACCGTGCCCAGCTAATTTTTGTGTTTTTAGTAGAGACTTGAGTTTTGCCATGTTGGCCAGGCTGATCTTGAACTCCTGACCTCAAGTGATCCACCGCCTCAACCTCCCAAAGTGTTAAGATTACAGGTGTGAGCCTAGCTTTCTCCTCCTCTTTCTAAATTAAAAAGAAATATTGTGATAAGAAGCTCCTCCTACCTTTTTTCCCCATGTTTGAAGAAACTGGGTTGCTAAGGGAAGAAAAGACTTGCCTAATAGGAGTTTGGGGTCCTGACCCCTGGAAGGGAGCTGGGGATAGACTAGGAGAGGAAGGAGAGGTGGAAAGGCATCCAAGCCCAGACCAGCCTGGCTGCCCAGGTCATCTAAGTCAGTTCCCTGCCTCCGTACCAGAAAAACCCAAACCGGAGGCTCTTGGATGTGAGGCTCCAGGTTCATCCTGCCAGTTTCTAGTGAACTTGGTGATCACATAGGTTTAAATGAATAAATCCACTTTTGTTAAAAAAAAAAAAAAGTGAGCCGCTTCCTTTTTTTTTTTGAGACAGAGTTTCGCTCTTGTTGCCCAGGCTAGAGTGCAGTGGCGAGATCTCGGCTCACTACAACCTCCGCCTGCCAGGTTCAAGTGATTCTCCTGCCTCAGCCTCCTGAGTATCTGGGATTACAGGCATGCACCACCACGCCCGGCTAATTTTGTATTTTCAGTAGAGACGGGGTTTCGCCATGTTGGCCAGGCTGGTTTTGAACTCCTGACCTCAGGTGATCTACCTGCCTTGGCCTCCCAAAGTACTGAGATTACAGGTGTGAGCCACCACACCTGGCCACCGCTCCCTTTTTGATGGAAGTGGGGAAAGGCACCAGCATTCACTGAGAATCCATATGAGCCAAGTTGCATCTCAGGATAAAGGAGAAGATGGGCTTCTGTGGGGTAGAGGGAAGAGTCCAACAAAGGCCAGGGAGGGTGAAAGTGTTCAGGAAACAACTGGATTGGTTGAGATGGAAGGGCTGTGAAGGCCAGGATGAAGAATTTGGATTTGGCAGTGTGGGCAGTAGAGAGCTCCAGCTGGTTCCTGCGGAGAGCTGGGGAGAGACTGGAGGGAGGATAGTTGGTGACTCAGCTCTGGATAATTGAGGCCGAGCGGATGGAGACCCGCCTCTGAGATCTAGGGAGATTTGTGGCTGTTATGTGAGGTTCTGCATTTTCATCTAATGTTGATAAGTGGAATTCCACATCTTCCTCCTGAAAAGTCTTGCAGTGTCTTGTTGGTCAACCACAATTTGCCTAGCTTTCTCCTAGTTGTTGGGTATTTACTCACGTAACTAATTTCTGAGTGCCCACCTGTGTCTGGCTGTGTGCCTATGGCTGGAAAACCTACAGCCAAGCTTACTCCTGAAGGCTTTGGGCGACAGTGCCTTGCGGTGGGAAGGCTGTGGCCCTGGGACTTGGTTACTAGCCAGGTGATTTAGGAAAATCATCCACACCTTCTGAACCTCCCTTTTCTCATGTTGTGGAAACACAAGGCTTCGGTGAGAGTCAAAGAAAACAGGCACACCCCTTGTTTCATTGTGCCTTGCTTTTTTGCGCTTTGCAGGTACTGCGTTTTTTTCAAATTGAGGGCTTTTGGCAACCCTGTGTCGAGCAAAGTCTACCAGCATTATTTTTCCAAAAGGATGCTCAGTATGTGTCTCTGTGCCACATTTTGGTAATTCTTGAAATATTTCAAAGTTTGTTATTATTATATCTAGTATGGTGATCTGCGATCAATAATCTTTGATGTTACTATTGTAATTGTTTTGGGGCATCATGAATGATGCTTGTGTAAGACGGTAAACTTACTCCATCAATATTGTATGTGTTCTGACCGCTCCACCAACCAGCTGTTTGCAATTAGTAATCGTACAGTGGCCTCTAAGTGTTCAAGTGTAAGGAAGAGTTGCAAATCTCTCACTTCACATCAAGAGCTAGAAATAATTAAGCTCAGTGAGAAAGGCATGTTGAAAGCCAAGATAGGCCTTTTTTTTGTTTTTTTAGTTTTTAGTAGAGACGAGGTCACGCTATGTTGTCCAGGCTGGCCTCCAACTCCTGGGCTCAAGTGATCCTCCTGCCTCAGCCGTCCCAAGTGTTGGGATTAAAGTTGTGAGCCACCATGCCCCGCCTCTGGAGTAGCACTTTTAATTTCACTCAAGAACAATTGGCTGGGCGCGGTGGCTCACACCTGTAATCCCAGCTACTGGGGAGGCTGAGGCGGGAGAATTGCTTGAATCTGGGAGGCAGAGGTTGCAGTGAACTGAGATCACGCCACTGCACTCCAGCCTGGGCGACAGAGCAAGACTCTGTCTCAAAACAAACAAACAAAAACTATCTGGCTAGGTCTGGTGGCTCATGCCTGTAATCCCAACACTTCGGGAGGCCGAGGCAGGGGAAGGTCTCTTGAACCCAGGAGTTTGAGGCCAGCCTGAGCAACATAGCAAGACCCCCTCTCAACAAAAAATAATCAGCTGGGCATGGTGGCGAATGCCTGTAGTCCCAGCTACTTGGGAGGCTGAGGTGGAGGAAGGCTTGAGCCCAGGAGGTTGAGGCTGTGGTGAGGTATAATTGTGCCACTGTACTCCAGCCTGCGTGAAAGAGTGAGACCCTGTCTCAAAAATTGGCCAGGCGCAGTGGCTCATGCCTGTAACCTGAGCACTTTGGGAGGCCAAGGCAGGTGGGATCACTTGAGGTCAGGAGTTCGAGACCACCCTGGCCAACATGGTGAAAGCCCATCTGTACTAAAAAGAAAAAAAAAATACAAAAATAAATAAAGAAAAAGGTGCTATTTCAGTGAACACAGTAATAAGAAAGGGAACAGCCTTATTGCTGATATGGAGAAAATTTGAGTGGTCTAGATAGATGATCAGACCAGCGACAACGTTCCCTTAAACCAAAGCCTAATCCAGAGCATAAGCCCTAACTGTCTTCAATTCTCTGAAGGCTGAGAGAGCTGAGGAAGCTGCTGAAGAAAAGTTGGAAGCTATCAGGCTTCAGTAGGCTTTTTTTTTTCTTTTTTTTTTTTTTTTTGAGACGGAGTCTTGCTCTGTCGCCCAGGCTGGAGTATAGAGGCATGATCTTGACTCACCACAACCTCTGCCTCCCGGTTTAGGCGATTCTCCTGCCTCAGCCTCCCGAGTAGCTGGGATTATAGGCGCAGGCTACCACGCCCAGCTAATTTTTCGTATTTTTAGTAGAGATGGGGTTTCACCATGTTAGCCAGGCTGGTCTCGAACTCCTGACCTCAAGTGATCTGCCCACCTCGGCCTCCCGAAGTGTTGGGATTACAGGCGTGAGCCACTGCACCCGGCCAATTTCTGTATTTTTAGTAGAGATGGCGTTCCACCATGTTGCCCAGCCTGGTTTCAAATTCCTGACCTCAGGTGATCCGCCTGCCTTGGCCTCCCAAAATGTTGGGATTACAGGTGTGAGCCACTGTGCCTGGCCTGGAATTTCTTTGATGAGAGCTATGCCTTGACAGTCTCATTTTTCCATTGTACTAGAAGGTCTGGGGCCCTGGGAGCTAGTGCGGCATGAAGGCCTGAGTGGGCTCTGTGCCTTGCTGACAGTGTTCCCAAGCTGAGTGGAGGAAGACTAAGGGTCTGGATATCCTCAACACTGAGTACATGAATTTCTGTGTAACCCTTCTGTTGTTGCTGTCTTCTCCTCTCCTGTGCCTGGTGTTCATCTGTCCAGGACCTTCTGTATTCTTTGGATAATAAATTTCTGATCTCTTGTCGGGTCTAGGTTGCAGCCTTCATAGGATCTAGGAGTCCACTGCTTTTTTTTCTTTTTTCTTTTTCTGAGACAGAGTCTCGCTGTGGTGCAATCTCTGCTCACTGCAACATCCGCCTCTCAGGTTCCCGTGATTCTCATGTCTCAGCCTCCCAAGTAGCTGAGATTACAGGCGCCCGCCACCACACCTAGCTAATTTTTGCATTTTTAGTAGAGACATGGTTTCGCTGTGTTGCCCAAGCTGGTCTTGAACTCCTGAGCTCAAGTGATCCACCTGCCTCGGCCTCCCAAAGTGTTGGGATTAAAGAATAGAGATAAGGGAGGCACAGAGGGGCTAAGTAACACCTGAGGTTATAAAACTGGTCATTGGAGGAGGTAGGATTTTATTCCTGAAAGGTTAATGGTAATATTATCGTCTCCATTTCTGACTCTAGTAATTTCAAGTCTTTTTTCTTTTTTTCTTGGTCAGTCTAGCTGAGGGTTTGTCAGTTGCTTTGACTTTTTTCAAAGAACCAACTTTTGGTTTTATCAATTTTCTCTATTGTTTTTCTGTTCTCTATTTCATTCATTTCTGCCCCAGCATTTATTGTTTCTTTCCTTTTGCTTACTCCTGCTTTTGCTCTTCTTTTCTAATTTTTCTGGTATCTTAAAGTGGAAGGTTAGATTATTGATTTACAATCTATATTTATTTATTTACTTTTTTCTTTTCTTTTGAGACAGAGTCTAGCTCTGTCCCCCAGGCTGGAGTGCAGTGGCGCAATCTAGGCTCACTGCAAGTTCCGCCGCCATGGTTCACGCCATTCTCCTGCCTCAGCCTCCCGAGTAGCTGGGACTACAGGCACCCGCCACCACACCTGGCTAATTTTTTGTATTTTTAGTAGAGACGGGGTTTCACCGTGTTAGCCAGGATGGTCTCAATCTCCTGACCTCGTGATCCGCCTGCCTCAGCCTCCCAAAGTGCTGGGATTACAGGCGTGAGCCACCGTGCCCGGCCTACAATCTTCATTTTTTTTTTAAATAGGCACATATGGGCCAGGTGTGGTGGCTCATGCCTGTAATCCCAGCATTTTGGGAGGCCGAGGTTGGGCGGATCACCTGAGGTCAGGAGTTCAAGACCAGCCTGGCCAACATAGTGAAACCTCGCCTCTAAAAATAGAAAATTAGCTGGGCATGGTAGCACATGCCTGTAATCCCAGCTACTCAGGAGGCTGAGGCAGGAGAATCGCTGAAACCTGAGAGGCAGAGGTTGCAGTGAGCCCAGCCTGCGCCATTGCACTCCAGCCTGGGTGACAGAGCAAGACTTTGTCTCAAAAAAAAATTAATAAATAAAAAATAATAAAAAAAATAGGCACATATGGCCAGGCATGGTGGCTCATACCAGCACTTTGGGAGGCTGAGACGCGGGTCGCTTGAGCTCAGGGGTTTGAGACCAGCCTGGGCAATGTAACAAGACCCCATCCCTACGAAAAATAAAAAATTAAGCCAGGTGTTGGTGGCTTTTGCCTGTAGTTTCAGCCATTCCAAAGGCTGAGGTGGGAGGATTGTTTGAGCCCAGGGGTGTGAGGCTGCAGTGAACCCTGATTGCATGACTGCACTCCAGTGTGGGCAATAAAGCGAGACACTGTCTCAAAGGAATAAAAAGGCATTGATAGCTATGAATTTTCCTTCAAGCACTGCTTTAGCTGCATTTCATAAGTTTTAAGCCTTTTTATTCATTTCATAATATTTTCTAATTCCCCTTTGGATTTCTTCTTCGAATCATTCATTATTTAGAGTATGTTGTTTAATTTCCACATATTTCACATATTTGTGAGTTTCCCATGTTTCCCAAATTTCTAATTTCATTATAGTGTCCTCAGAGAACACACTTTGTATTATTTGAGTCCTTTTAAATTAATTGAGGTTTGTTTTATGACCTAGCATATGGTCTTTCCTGGAGAATGTACCATGTCCACTTAAGAATAATGTGGCCCTGGCATGGTGGCTTATGCCTGTAATCCCGGCACTTTGGGTGGCTCAGGTGGGAGGATCCCTTTAGCCCAGGAGTTGGAGACCAACCTGGACAACGTAGTGAGACCCCATCTCTACAAAAAATAAAAAAATTAGCTTGGGTGGGGCATGCCTATACTCCAAGCTACTTGGGAGGCTGAAGTGGGAGATCACCTGAGCCTGGGAAGTTGAGGCTGCGGTGAGCTGTGATCACGCTTCTCCACTCCAGCCTGGTTGACAGAGCAAGATCCCATCTCAAAAAAATGAAAAAAGAAGAAAGAATGGTATTCTGTGGTTGTAGGGTGCCGTGTTCTGTAGATGGGTGTTAGGTCTACGTGGTTGGTAGTGTTCTGTGGTTGTGGGGTGCAGTGTTCTGTAGATGGGTGTTAGGTCTATGTGGTGGGTAGTGTTGTATTCTGTGGTTGTAGGGTGTGGTGTTCTGTAGACGGGTGTTAGGTCTAGGTGGTGGGTAGTGTTGTATTCTGTGGTTGTGGGGTGCAGTGTTCTGTAGACGGGCGTTAGGTCTAGGTGGTGGGTAGTGTTGTATTCTGTGGTTATGGGGTGCAGTGTTCTGTAGACGGGTGTTAGGTCTAGGTGGTGGGTAGTGTTGTATTCTGTGGTTGTAGGGTGCAGTGTTCTTTAGATGGGCGTTAGGTCTAGGTGGTGGGTAGTGTTGTATTCTGTGGTTGTAGGGTGCAGTGTTCTTTAGATGGGCGTTAGGTCTAGGTGGTGGGTAGTGTTGTATTCTGTGGTTGTGGGGTGCAGTGTTCTGTAGACGGGCGTTAGGTCTAGGTGGTGGGTAGTGTTGTATTCTGTGGTTATAGGGTGCAGTGTTCTGTAGACGGGTGTTAGGTCTAGGTGGTGGGTAGTGTTGTATTCTGTGGTTGTAGGGTGCAGTGTTTAGATGGGCGTTAGGTCTAGGTGGTGGGTAGTGTTGTATTCTGTGGTTGTAGGGTGCAGTGTTCTTTAGATGGGCGTTAGGTCTAGGTGGTGGGTAGTGTTGTATTCTGTGGTTGTGGGGTGCAGTGTTCTGTAGATGGGTGTTAGGTCTAGGTGGTGGGTAGTGTTGTATTCTGTGGTCGTGGGGTGCGGTGTTCTGTGGACGGGCGTTAGGTCTAGGTGGTGTAGGGTGCAGTGTTCTGTAGATCGGTGTTAGGTCTGGGTGGTTGGTAGTGTTGTCGTGTGTTCAAGTCTTCTGTTTCCCTATTGATCTTCTGCCTACTTGTTCTATCTGTTATTGAAAGTGGGAATTGAAGTCCAACTATGACTGTTGAGTTGTTTCCTCCCTTCATTTCTGTCAGCCTTTGTTTCCTGTATTTTGGTGCTCTGCTGTTTCCGTATATGTTTAAAACTTTACCTGTTTCTGATGGAATGACCTTTTTAAAATTATAAAATATCCTGCTTTAGTAGGAAATAGTATCTTAGACCCAGACAATCTTGACTCTTGAGCCTGTGCTCTTATGCCCATCCCAACTGCCCTGTCCCTGAAGGTGTGTCCTCTGGTATTTCTCCACCTCCTATATCCTCATTCATTTTGGATTCATCTAAGTGATCTTTGTCAACTTGGTCTTCCTGCTCTGGATCTTGATAAGACCAGTTGAAATTTTATTCCATACTCTGAGGAAGTCCTCAGCCCTTTGCCAGATGCCTGTAGATTCCTAGTAGTTCCCATTCTCCATCATCTTGGCCTCTGGGGCCTGCTTGCCTACAGCCTACCCTGGTGCTGTGTAGTTGCTATGGCTTGAATGTGCCCCATGAGCAAAGTTCATGCGTTGTAAACTTAATCCCCAATGCAATAGTGTTGAGAGATGGGACCTCTAAGAGGCTCTGCCCTCATGAATGGATTAATGCTCTTACCACAGGAGTGGATTCCTGATAAAATGTGAGTTCAGCACTCTCTTGCCTTCTGTCCTGTGTACTCTCTCACCATGTGAGGCCTTCCACCATGTGATGAGGCAGCAAGAAGGCCCTCACCAGATGCAGTTCCTTGATCTTGGACTTCCCACCCTCCAAAACTGTGAGCCAAATAAACTTCTGTTCATTATAAGTTACCAGTCTCAGGTATTCTGTCATAGAAGCACAAAATGGACTAAGTTGATAGTTTCCACAGTTCAGTCTTTCCCCTTCATCTCTGCCAGGCTCCCCTTAGACTCTGCAGTCACCAAACCTTGGTAACTCCGCAGTCACCAAACCTTGGTAACACAAGTGAATTGAGCCCTTTAGTGCTGGAGGGTGAGACGAAAGGCACACTTGACAGAAACACAGAGGTCAGTTTCCATGTTCTCCATCCTTGGGCATCCTCTGGGCCCTGGCTTTGCAGAGTTTGACTTGGCCCACCAGTACCCAGCCTCCTGTCACTATCCAGCTCCTGGCTCTGGTCTCCTCTTCAGTCCGTTTCCCAGCCCTCCTTCCCTCTCCCCTTTCCTCTCTGGAGCAAAAACACTTCTCTCCCTCTGCCTCCTGCAGAGCCATTTAATGGCTGCTTTCGTTGTCTTTGTTTCTTTGGCCCCCAAGTGTCAGGCTCTAACTGTCTTCCTTGGTTAAGCCCAGAGTAATTTAGTAAGAGGGATATGGAGGCAGTTAGATAGGAAAATTTCCCACCTGGCTTCCCATGCTGGCTTTTTTTTTTGAGACAGGGTCTCACTGTGTCACCCAGGCTGGAGTGCAGTGGTGTGATCTCAGCTCACAGCAACCTATATCTCCCAGGTTCAAGAGATTCTCACCTCAGCCTCCCGAGTAACTGGGATTACAGGTGTGTACCATCATGCCCGGCTAATTTCATGCTGGCTTTCTTGTTGCAACTTTCTACTGTGGTTGGGTGAAATATTTTATTTATTTATTAAAGACAGGGTCTGACTCTGTCACCCAGGCTGGAGTGCAGTGGCGTGATCAAGGCTCACTGCAACCTCCGCCACCTGGGCTCAAGCAATCCTCCTGCCTCAGCTGCAGGAGTAGCTGGGACTACTGTTGGCATTTCCTGGACATTGTGGTGATTGGTGGGAGAATATATATATATTTTTTGAGATGAGTCTTCCTATGTTGTCCAGGCTGGTCTTGAACTCCTGAGCTCAAGTGATTCTCGTGCCTCAGCCTCCTGAGGAGCTAGGATTACAGGCAGGAGCCATCACACCTGTCAGGAGCAGCATATTTGAAGTCAGGACTTTTCCAGAAGAATATCAGAGATTTGTGATTCTCAGGGAATTATCAAACTGAGGCCCAGGCAGAGCTCACAGCAAGTCAGTGGTGGAGCCAGTTCCTCAGGCCCCTGCCCTGGGATGTATCTTGACTTCGGTGAGCCCTGAGGTGGGTATACCTTGGGTCATCCCCCGCTTCCCCGAGCTTAACTTCCCATCTGGGAAGTGGGTGCAGCCCTGTCTCTTCCTGAGGCTGTCATGAGAGAGAAGCAACAAAATGCTCCTGCCCTGCCCTGCCAATGGCTTGGCAAGCAGTAGGGAAAGTTACAGAAAAAACACCTTCACTGGTCACATTCGATGACCTCCTATAATTACCTGATGTGTTTCTTTTTAAAAATTAGTTTATTTTTGGAGACAGGGTTTCACTCTGTTGCTTAGGCTGGAGCACAGTGGCTCAATCTCAGCTCACTGCAACTTCTGTCTCCCGCCTCAGCTTCCTGGGTAGCTGGGACGACAAGCGCATTGTACCATGCCTGGCTAATTTTTGTATTTTTTGTAGTGATGGGGTTTCACCATGTTGCCCAGGATTGTCTCAAACTCCTGAGCTCAAGCAACCTACCCACTTTAGCCTCCCAAAGTGCTGGGACTACAGGCATAAGCCACTGCGCCTGGCCAGTCTGATGTGTTTCACAAACCAGTGTGTATGTAGCTGGGCATGGTGGTGCGCACCTGTAATCCTAGCTACTCTGGAGGCTGAGGCAGGAGAATCGCTTGAGCCCGGGAAGTGGAAATTGCAGTGAGCCGAGATTGTGCCACTGCACTCCAGCCTGGATGGCAGAGTGAGACTTTGTCTCGAAAAAAAAAAAAAGTGTGTGTGTATTTCCTTTTTTTTTTTTTTCGAGACCGAGTTTCACTCATGGGTTGCCCAGGCTGGAGTGCAGTGGCGCAGTCTCGGCTCACTGCAACCTCCGCCTCCCGGGTTCAAGCAATTCTCCTGCCTCAGCCTCCCAAGTATGCTGGGATTACAGGCATGTGCCACCATACCCAGCTAATTTTGTATTTTTGGTAGAGACAGGGTTTCACCATGTTGGCCAGGCTGGTCTCGAACTCCTGACCTCAGGTGATCCACCCACCTTGGCTTCCCGAAGTGTTGGGATTACAGGTGTGAGCCACTGCGCCCGGCCGTGTGTGTGTATTTCATATGAGAAAGACTAGTTTCTGTAGTAAGTCAAATTAACAGAGAATATTTATGTTTTCCATGGAATGGCAGGAAGCACCAAAGAGAAATCTGTCCTTTTTGGTTGAGGACAAAGCATATGTCCATGCAAAATATTTGTATATGAATATTCATAGTAGCCTTATTCATAATGGCCCCAAACTATAAGCAACCCAAATGTTTATCAACTGGTAAAAGGGTAAATTGGTTGTATTCTGTCTATACAGTGGAATATTTCTCGGCAATCAGAGCTATAGTTGCACACAATAACATAGGCCAGTCTCACAAATATTATGCTAAGCGAAAGAAGCCAGACACAAAATAATAAATATTGTGTGACCCATTCATATAAAATTCTAGAAAAGCCAAAGAAATTTATAGAAAGTAAATCAGTGGTTTCCTGGGTTGAGGGATGGGAGAAGGGCTTGACTTAAAGAGGGGCATAAAGGAATATTTGCCAAAACTAATTTTATTAAGCCAATGGAGTGGGCACATTATATGGGTTTTCTTTTTTTTTTCTTTTCTTTTTTTGAGAAGGAATCTTACTCTGTCGTCAGAGCTGGAATGCAGTGGCGGGATCTGGGCTCACTGCAACCTCCTCCTCCCAGGCTCAAGTGATTCTCCTGCCTCAGCTTCCCGAGTAGCTGGGATTACAGGTGCATGCCACCACGCCTGGCTAATTTTTTGTATTTTTAGTAGACATGGGGTTTCACCATGTTGGCCAGGCTGGTCTCGAACTCCTGACCTTGTGATTCATCCGCCTCAGCCTCCCAGATTGCTGGGATTACAGGCATGAGCCACTGCGCCCAGCTCTTTTTTTTTTTTTTCCTATTATTTATTATTTTTATTTTTGAGACAGAGTCTCGCTCTGTCACCCAGGCTGGAGTGTAGTGGTGCAGTCTTGGCTCACTGCAGCCTCTGCCTCCTGGGTTCAAACAATTCTCATGCCTCAGCCTCCCAAGTAGCTGGGATTACAGGCACATGCCACCACACCCAGCTAATTTTTGTATTTTTAGTAGAGACAGGGTTTCACCATGTTGGCCAGGCTGGTCTCAAACCCCTGACCTCAGGTGATCTGCCTGCCTCAGCCTCCCAAAGTGCTGGGATTACAGGTGTAAGCCACTGTGGCCGGCCAGGTTTTCTTGTTTTTAAAAAATTATTTTTAGTTTTGACACAGAGTCTCTGTTGCCCAGGCTGGAGTTCAGTGGCGCGATCCCCGCTCACTATAGCCTCAACCTCCCAGGCTCAAGGAATTCTGCCTCAGCCTCCCAAGTAGCTGGGACTACAGGCATGCACTAACATGCCAGGCTTTTTTTTTTTTTTTTTTTTTTTTTTGAGACGGGGTCTTGCTCTGTCATCCAGGCTGGGGTGCAGTGGTGCGATTTTGGCTCATTGCCACCTCTGCCTCCCGGGTTCAAGTGATTGTCCTGTCTCAGCCTCCCGAGTAGCTGGGATTACAGACACGCGCCAGCATGCTCGGCTAATTTTTGTATTTTTAGTAGAGATGGGGTTTCACCATATTGGCTAGGCTGGTCTCCAACTCCTGACCCCAAATGATCTGCCCGCCTTGGCCTCCCAAGTGTGAGCCACCACGCCCAGCCTCATTTTTCGTTCTCAAAGGTGAGGAGTACTTATGATTCTGTTTCTGAGGGTCTCCATCCTTAGAGCAGGAGAAATATTGGAGGTTTTTGGCCGGGGTAGTGATGTGGTCAGACGGCCTTGGAACGCGCAACCCGAAATGGCCCTGTGGAGGGTGGAGGAGAGGGTCAGGAAGGCCAATTAAGAGGCCATTGCAGGTCATGTAGTTACATGCTTGAAATTTATGCATTTTTCCATACATGAATTATGCTTCAAGTTTTGTCTTTTTTTTTTTTTGAGACGGAGTCTTTCTCTGTTGCCCAGGCTGGAGTGCAGTGGCGTGATCTCGGCTCACTGCAAGCTCCACCTCCCAGGTTCATGCCATTCTCCTGCCTCAGCCTCCCGAGTAGCTGGGACTACAGGCGCTCGTCACCACGCCCGGCTAATTTTTTGTATTTTTAGTAGAGACAGGGTTTCACTGTGTTAGCCGGGATGGTCTTGATCTCCTGAGCTCATTATCCACCCGCCTCGGCCTCCCAAAGTGCTAGGATTACAGGCGTGAGCCACCGCGCCCAGCCTGTTATTGTTTTTTTTTGGAGAGTAGAGTTTTACCATGTTGCCCAGGCTTGTCTTGAACTCCTGAGCTTAAGGGATTGCCTGCCTTGGCCTACCAAAGTGCTGGGATTACAGGCGTGAGCCACCGCGCCCAGCCCATGCTTCAATTTTTTAAAAAAGACTATCACAGCTGAGCACGGTGGTGGCTGCCTGTAATCCCAGGAACTCAGGAGGCTGAGGTCGGAAGATCACTTGAGGCTAGGAGTTTGAGACCAGCCCCGGCAACGTGGCAAGACTCCATCTTTATTTAGAAAAAAAAAAAAGTGAAAATCACAGTGCTCCATGTAAATAAAGTTTAAAGCTCAGATCAAGGGGTTCTGGGCCCAGTGGGAACAGTATGACAAGTCTGGTGACTTGAGTAGGATTCTGGCTTAGAGCTTTCCAGAGTTTGAAGAGGGGTTGGGTGAAGGTAGGGGCCGACATGGGGAGAAAATCAAGTCACACTTGAGAACTGAAGGTAGAAATGTCTGAATGAGACTTAGAGCCCTTGCCGAATGAATAAACTGACTCCGTAGCTCTGGGGGTCCTGCTAGGAAGGGGAGCCAAGTGAAGGCCTGACACCCATCCTTAAGTGTTGTGGCTCGGAGAACTGGGACGGCCCTCGTGGACCACTTGGGGAAGGCATGAAGGGTCTCTGCGGGAGGAAGTCATTTCTTTATATTCCCTCCCTCCCTCAGATACTCTCCTTATCTGTTTGTCTCTTCTCACAGATATGACTGGGGCTGGGGGTACAGTGTCCCAGTGACAACGATCTGACCCACCTGTCTTTGAATCTGGTTCTGATGTTCCCTAGCGGTATGATTGAGCCTGGATAGGTTGCATTGCCTCTTTGAGCCTCTATTTCCTCATCTGTTAAGTGGGGATGATATCCAGTTTGCTGGCATAAGACTCACTTACCCTTTTCCCCCTTTCTAAAAAATGCCTTCTGCAATTTAATTTTAATTTTAATTTTTGTTTTTGTTGTTTTTTGGAGACACAGTCTCGCTCTGTCACCCAGGTTGGACTGCAGTGGCACAATCTCAGCTCACTGCAGCCTGGACCTCCCAGACTCAGATGATCCTCCCACTTTAGCCTCCTTAGTAGCTGGGACTACAGGCATGCACCTTCATGTCAGATTAATTTTTGTATTTTTTGTAGAGATGGGGTGTTGCCATGTTGCCCAGACTGGTCTTGAACTCCTGTGCTCAAGTGATCCGCCTACCTTGGTCTCCCAAACTGCTGGCATTGCAGCTGTGAGCCGCCTTGCCTGGCCTATTCTGCAGCTTCCCTGCCGTCTTTTTTTTTTTGAGACGGAGTTTTGCTTTTGTTGTCCAGTGCAATGGCGTGGTCTCGGCTCACTGCAACCTCCACCTCCCGGGTTCAAGCGATTCTCCTGCCTCAGCATCCCAATTAGCTGGGATTACAGGCATAGGCCACCACACCTGGCTAATTTTTTGTATTTAGTAGAGATGGGGTTTCACCATGTTAGTCAGGCTGACCTTGAACTCCTGACCTTAGGTGATCCACCCGCCTCAGCCTCCCAAAGTGCTGGGATTACAGACATGCACCACCGCGCCTGGCCTTTTTTTTTGAGACTGAGTCTTGCTCTGTTGCCCGGGCACTCCACTCACTGCAACCTCTGCCTCCCAGGTTCAAGTGATTCTCTTGTCTCAGCCTCCCTAGTAGCTGGGATTACAGGAGCCTGCCACCATGCCCAGCTAATTTTTGTATTTTTAGTAGAGACGGGATTTCACCATGTTGGCCAAGTTGGTCTGGAACTCATGACCTCAAGTGATCCGCCCACCCCAGCTTCCCAAAGTGCTGGGATTACAGGTGTGAGCCACCATGGCCAGCCTTCCTTACCATCTTATAACATGCCCATATTGTGGATGGAAGAGAATGGTGCAAAGTGGGGCCCTTGGGCACCCCAATATAACATGCCCATATTGTGGATGGAAGAGAACGAGTTAGGCTCTTGAGGGCTTCATAGGCCTGGGGCTGCTGGTCCCTTGAGATTGCTTTCTAGCATCTTGCAGTTTGGGGGACCTTACAGGTGCCAAAGAGGCCATCCGTTGTCTGGGAAAGCAGACGGGGCCAGGAATTCTGAGCATCGCGGCCCAAATTCGCTGGGTGACCTTCGTCGTCCCCTAGTGGTGAAGTGTGGCAACATCATATCCGGCAGGAATGGGTTTTGTGGCTTTGTGCCAGATTTTGTTGACTTTTGCTGCAGGTGCTGGGTAGGAATTCCCTCAGTATATTTTTTGCACTGTGGCTTGCTTTTTAGTTGCTGTTATTTGCTTGGGTGCAGTTCTCGTATTTGCTTTTACACCATTATATTTATTGAATGGGGCTTCAGTTGCCAGCAAATCCTGTGTGTTTTGTTACTATATACATGTTGAGCATCCCTGATCTGAAAATCCAAAGTCTGAAATTCTCCAAAATTTGAAACGTTTTGAGCACCAACATGACGCCACGAGTGGAATATTCCATAATTCACCATGTGTGACGGGTCACAGTCAAAACTTTGTATTGTGCACAGAATGATTAAAAATATTGTATGCCAGCCTGGGCAACATGATGAAACCCCGTGTCTACAAAAAATACAAGAATTAGCCAGGTGTGGTGGCGCACACATGTAGTCACAGTTACTTGTGGGGGCTGAGGCAGGAGGATTGCTTGAGCCCAGGGTGTCAAGGCTGCAGTGAGCCATGATCGCACCATTGTACTCCATTCTGGGTGACAAAGATAGACCCTGTCTCAAAAAAAAGATCTCTGGGTATTTGCGGCGCGTCCCATCTGGCTCCACATCCTTCTCCTTACCTTGCCCCATTCTCTAGCCCAGAGACCACGGGCAAAGTTCCTCCTTCAGTTTGGCTTTGTTCTTTTTTTAAGATAGAGTTTCGCTCTGTTGCCCAGGCTGGAGTGCAGTGGCGCGATCTCTGCTCACTGCAACCTTTGCCTTCCAGGATCAAGTGATTCTCCTGCCTCAGCCTCCCCAGTAGCTGGGATTACAGGCATGCACCACCACGCCCGGCTAATTTTGTATTTTTAGTAGAGACAGGGTTTCTCCATGTTGGTCAGGCTGGTCTCGAACTCCCGACCTTAGGTGATCTGCCCACCTCGGCCTCCCAAAGTGCTGGGAGTACAGGCATGAGCCCCTGCGCCTGGGCGATTGGCTTTGTTTTTTCATCAGTTAAAGGTAATGACCAGGGTTCCTCCTGAATTCCAGATAGACCTCAATCAGTTCTTGTGTCCTTTCTCCATCCATGCTTGTCCTTATTGAGGTTTATTCATCAGGTAGGACCCTGTTAATTTCAGGTACTATCTTATATAAGCTTCACTCTTTCTCTCTTCCCAGTCAGCGTGGCCCCATCTCTTCCTTGTCCTCCTCACTTGCATATGACACACTGCATTCAGGACACAAGGCCATCAATATGTCCCCAGGCACTACCTCTAAGCCCCACCTCACCCTAGGAATCCACTCTTGAGGGTTTTGAATGGGTCCTTGGCTATGTATGAAGAGTCCCCTGGGCAATTCTGCAGTGGTTAAGTCTGCATGTTTTAAAATTACACTGAAGTTCTTGGGCGATACTCTCATCCCATGTCTTTTCTCCCTCATATTGCTTTTGATATGCAGCCCTGTTGAGGTATGGACATTGAGTCCTGCATGGTATCCACAGTATGCATTCATCACGTTTCACTTACTGATTTTCCTCTTGATAGATAAGTAGGTCCCCTCCAGTTCCCTGTTACTGTCAGTGCTGCCTCAGTGAACTGTTCCTGCCCCTTCTGGGCCTATGCACAATTCCTCTGGTATACGTTTCCAAGTGTGGAGTTGCTGCATCAGAAGGGATTTGCTTGCTCACAGGTGCTGCGTGGTTGCTGTCCTGCACTGGTGCGCCAGTCTGTCCTCTCATCGCCTTAGGATTCTCTGCATCTTTTCCAATGGTATCATCCCTCTCTCCAAATTTTGACAATCTGATGGGCATAAAGTGGCTTCTTATTTTTAATTTGCTTTTCTTTCTGACTGCAGTTGTCCCTTCATATCTGCAGGTTCTGCATCCATGGATTCAACCAACTTCAGATAGAAAATATCATGAGGCAGGAGGATCACTTGAGCCCAGGAATTTGAGACTAGTCTGGGCAACATAGGGAGACTGCCTCTACAGAAAAAAAAAAAAATGAGCGGCGCAGTGGCTCATGCCTGTAATCCCAGCACTTTGGGAGACCGAGGCAGGCAGATCACCTGAGGTTGGGAGTTTGAGACCAGTCTGATCAACATGGTAAAACCCCGTCTCTACTTAAAATACAAAATTAGCCAGGCATGGTGGTGCATGCCTGTAATCCCAGCTACTCAGGAGGCTGAGGCAGGAGAATCGCTTAAACCCAGGAGGCGGAGGTTGTAGTGAGCCGAGATTTCGCCATTGCACTCCTGCCTGGGCAGCAAGAGCGAAACTCCATCACAAAAAAAGAAAAAACCAATAAAAATAACAATACCACCAAAAAACAATACAGTAAGGCCAGGTGTGGTGGCTCACACCTGTAATCTCAGCACTTTGGGAGGACGAGGTGGGTAGATCACCTGAGGTCAGAAGTTCGAGACCAGCCTGGCCAACATGGTGAAACCCAGTCTCTACTAAAAATATAAAAGTTAGGTGGGTGTGGTGGTGTGTGCCTATAATCCCAGCTAGTCTGGAGGCTGAGGCAGGAGAATCGTTTGAACCCAGGAGGTGGACATTGCAGTGAGCCGAGATCGCACCACTGCACTCCAGCCTGGGTGACAGAGCGAGACTTTGTCTCAAAAAAGAACAACAACAACAACAACAACAAAATACTTTCACGGACTCTGGTGTTTTCCCCCATCTGTCTATCTTTCCTTTTTTGTTTATTTATTTATTTATATACTTTTAGAGACAGAGTCTCCCTCTGTCACCCAGGCTGGTGTGCAGTGGTGCAATCATAGCTCAGTGTAGCCTTGAACTTCTGGTTTCCAGCGATCCTCCCGCCCCAGCCTCTTTTCTTTTTTTGAGACGGCATCTCACTCTGTTGCCCAGGCTGGAGTGCAGTGGCACGATCTCAGCTCACTGTAGTCTCCACCTCCCGGGTTCAAGTGATTCTCCTGCCTCAGCCTCCTGAGTAGCTGGGACTACAGGTGTGCCCCACCACACCTGGCTAATTTTTGTATGTTTAGTGGAGATGAGGTTTCACCATGTTGGCCAGGCTAGCCTCGAACTCCTGACCTCGTGTGATCTGCCTGCCTCGGCCTCCCAAAGTGCTGGGATTACAGGCGTGGGCCACTGAGGCTGGCCTGATTCTCTGTTTTGTTTCTGGCTCTTGACCAAGCTGTTTCTCATAGCTGGCAACAATGATTTTATGATCTCTTAGTTTATCTCCATCAGGACGGTGGGGGTCTGTTTTTTATCTAGAGAGAGATGACAGGAAACCTGATTTGTTAGGTTTTTTTGGTCGTTATTTTGCATGTTTGTGATCTCAAGTCACTTAAGGAAACACTGAAAGGAGAAAGCCCATTGAGATGTGGATCAGTGAGTTTTTGTGTTTTTTGGTTTAACTTGATGTATGAAAGACTGTAGAACTGAAGCTTCCAAGTTTCTGTATCTATATGAGTTTGAAATGTTTTTCTACCACCATAGTATATCAAATTAAATTATAATGTCTCTTAAATTTTAAGATCTAGGCCGGTTGCTGTGGCTCACGCCTGTAATCCCAAGCACTTTGGGAGGCAGAGGTGGGTAGATCACCTGAGGTCAGGAGTTCAAGGCCAGCCTGACCAACATGGTGAAACCCCAGCTCTACTAAAAATACAAAATTAGCTGAACATGGTGGTGCGTGCCTGTAATCCCAGCTACTTGGGGAGCTGAGGCAGGAGAATCACTTGAACTTGGGAGGCGGAGGTTGCAGTGAACTGAGATCACACCACTGTACTCCATTCTGGGTGACAGAGTGAAACTGAGTCTCAAAAAAAAAAGTTTAAGATTCATTTTGATTCTATTATAAGGTCTAATGAGGCTGCCAGAAAGATAAGGAAACACAAAAATTTTCAGAAAATAAATGGAATTTCTAATGTTTTAAAAGTGCTAGCCTTTGGAGGAATTTAAAAAAAGGACTCTGTCAGGTGTGGTGGTATGTGTTTGTAGTCTTAGCTACTTGGGAGGCTGAGGCAGAAGGATCACTTGAGGCCAAGAGTTTGAGGCCAGCCCAGGCAACAAAGCGAGACCCCATCTCTACCAAAAATTTAAAAATTGGCTAGGTGCAGTGGCACATGCCTGTAATCCTAGCACTTTGGGAGGCCAAGGCAGGTGGATCACCTGATGTCAGGAGTTCGAGACCAGCCTGGCCAACATAGTGAAACCCCCTCTCTACTAAAAATACAAAAAGTTATCCAGGCGTGGTGGCGGCTGCCTGTGATCCCAGCTACTCGGGAGGCTGAGGCAGGAGAATCGCTTGAACCTGGGAGGTTGCCGTGAGCTGAGATCGTGCCATTGCACTCCAGCATGGGCAACAAGAGTGAAACTCTGTCTCAAAAGAGAAAAACCACAAAAATTAAAAAATTAAGGCCAGGTGTGGTGGTTCACACTTGTAATCTCACCACTTTGAGAGGCCAAGGTGGGAGGATTGCTTGAGCCCAGGAGTTTGACACCAGCCTGGGCAACATAGCAAGATCCTCTCTCTACAAAAAATAAAAAATTAGTCAGGCGTGGTGGCACAGGTCTGTAGTAGCAGCTGCTCAGGAGGCTGAGGTGGGAGAATTGCTTGAGCCCAGGAGTTCTAGGCTGCAGGGACCTATGATCACACCACTGCACTCCAGCCTGAGCAACAGAAAGACCCAGTCTGAAAAAGCTAGACAAATACTAGGAAAAAATAGAAAATTTTACAGTTTTACAATGATGTTGAGCACTTAAAAATGTATTTGGTGAGTATTTAAAATGTTCTTATTAAGTGTATGTATTTTGGCCGGGCGTGGTGGCCCACCCCTGTAATCCCAGCACTTTGGGAGGCTAAGGTGGGTGGATCACAAGGTCAAGAGATGGAGACCATCTGGCGAACATGGTGAAACCCTGTCTCTACTAAATATACAAAAATTAGCTGGGCGTGGTGGCGCACACCTGTAGTCCCAGCTACTTGGGAGGTTGAGGCAGGAGAATCACTTGAACCCGGGAGGCGGAGGTTGCAGTGAGCCGAGATCACGCCACTGCACTCCAGCCTGGGAGAAAGAGCGAGACTCTGTCTCAAAAAAAAAAGAAAAAAATAAGTATATGCATTTCTTCTGAGATTCCTTTTCATGTTACCATTTTTTTCCTACGGCGTTGTCTTTTTCTGATTCAATTACTGAAGCTTTATATAGATTAGTGTTAACTCTTGTTTTGTTAAATATGCTGCAGGTATTTCCTCCCAGAATGCATTTGGCTTTTAATTTTGCTTATGGTTTCTTTAGCTCTACAAAAAGAATGTTGACTTCATGCATTTAAATCTGCCAGTATTTTCCTTTGTGGCTTCTGGGTTTTGTGCTAGACTTGGAAAGTTCCGGGGGTCCTTTACTGCTGGTCTGTGGGTGCTGCAGGTCCTGCCTTGCCCTGCCCAGAGCACGTTCCTCTTCCCTTCCTGTGGGTCAAGGTAGCCCCCAGGCCAGTTCTGAAGCCAGTGAGGCTGGACTGGTCCTGACCTCTTCCCGCCTGTGTGCGAAGCTCTTCCGTCTTCCGTCTCGGGGTGAAGGTGGGGTGAACTGTGACAGAATCGCACGCTGGGGCTTGACATCTAGATGACGCGTCCTTGCCTCCTTCCAGAAATGCCTTTGGTGCTGCAGTGGCTCTGCTGAGAGGACCTTATGACCCTGGTGTCGGGCATGTGTGGCCAGTACCCTGGGACACTCTGAGACCCCCCTCCCACACCCTTGGGGCTGGCAGCATCGAATGGGTGGCCAGACTGAGAGTTGCCCAGGGCCGTGTGTGTAGCTGGAGGCCTGCAGCCTGCTGCCGGGGGTGAGAATGTGTTTGGGACTGAGTTTGGGATACTATTTGGGCCTGGTTTGGAACTTGTTCGGGTCTCGCCCCTTCTGGAGTTGATACCAGGGACTTTTGGGCCTCTGTTTGGAGCCAGGATGAGGAGTTTCAGCCGAGCTCTGAGCAGGGCCTGGCGTTGAGGCCTGCAGGAGGTTAGGGCCTCCTGGTCAGGCACAGGGTCCCCTGGTGCTCAGCTCCCCCTTGGCCCTGATCTGGGACCTTTGCTGAGTGCTGCGGCTGCCTGCGCTGGGTGACCTCTGGAGAAGGCCTCAGGACCAAGCTGGGTCCACTCGCTGGGGTCAGGTGGGGTGGGTCCGGCCCTCACTCTTCCCTAGGCCTATTGGGTGACCCAGGCAGTCCATGCCCCTCTGGACTCTCTGCTCAGTCATTCAGCGCTCTTTCTGCCCCTCTTAGGCCCCAGGCACTGCCATCAGTGTCCCCATCATCCACCAGTAGCAGGGGTCCCGGCCCTGCCTGCCCTGCGTACACAGGGACATGGAAAGCTGTGGCCCCCATGCTGTTGGTCCTGGGGCTGAACTCGCCCTCCACCTGCCTGGGGCTGGGAAACCCCTCATTCCCACCTCCAACCCTGAGCTGCTGGGACGCCTGCCTCATCACTGTTGGAGCCTCCCTGTTCTTCTGGAACCCGGAGCTTTAGTCCTGAGGGCTGTGTGGCCTGACCTCTGCCCCCCAAGAGGCCTGGAACCCTCCACGGGATTGGCTGTGGTGATTCCCATGGTCCTCCCTTTCCCACAAGCCCTGAGAAGGCCATGAGGCCCATTCCCTCCGTCCCCTGTCCCCTGCTGGTCTCAGCTGAGCACAGAGCCCACTTACTAGGGACTCTGGTCCCTAGAGGCTTCAGGGACCATATGGCCGGAGGACACCCAGTCCTTCCCTGGGCCAGGGTGGGAGGAGCAGGGCAGTAACTGGAGATGGCAGGAGAAGGTGGGAGAGGGTTTCAGGCCCGGGGTCCCCTTACTTCACCCCAGCCACAGACACACAGACCAGAAGCAGTGCTCAGTCCTCTATTGGAGATTCTGCCCCCTCTGGGACAGATGTCCACGCTGCCCGCGACTCCTGAGCACACTCCCATGGCGGGTGGCGTGCTCTGGGTGGGTGTGCGGCAGTGGCCGGTCAGGGTGTAGGGAAGGGGACTGAGAGGGGACCTTGGTGAGCTTGCATTTGTGTGGGGATACACGTGAAGGGGTGTCTGATCCCAGGACTCAGGGCCTCTTCCTCCTGGGGGGCACACAGAGCCCCTTCCCTTCCTCCTCGGGGAACAGCCCCGGAATGGGGCCTTCCCTTGGTGCCTCTAGGTCCTGCCCTCCAGCCCATGTCCCCAGAAGGTGGTCTTTCCTTGGAGGGGTCAGAGACTATAGCCCAGGGCTCTGGGGTCACTGTGGGAACATCTGCCTCAGCTCGGCACGCACTTCTCCTGGCCTGTTTCTTCCACTGGGAACTGGGACCCTAACCCCTCAAAGGGGGATCCCTGAGCGAGGGTCATGGGCAGGGAGCTGGTATGGACGGGTGTGTGCGGGGAGGGGTGACTGGCGGGGGCTGGGGTGTCAGGGGGCTGGGGTGGCCTAGTCGTCTTTATCCTTGGCGCCATGTTTGAGGATGCGGGTGAACTCCACGTAGTTGAAGTTGCCTTTCTTATCAATGGGTGCCTCCCGGTACATCTCGTCCACTTCCTCATCTGTGAAGCGGTCACCCATGGTGGTGAGCAGCTCCCGGAGGTGGTCCTCATGGATGAAACCTGCGGGCAGGGGCAGGGTGGGTGAGAGCAGGAACTTGGGCTGAGACATACACAGCAGCCCCATCCCTCAGCCCCCTGGCAGCTCTTGCAGACCTAGAGGGGCTGGGAAGATACAATCTTAGTCTCTGGTCAGTCTGAGGAATGAGGACGTGGCAGGAGGGGTGTGGGGGTGCACGTGAAGGGGTGTCGGATCCCACGTGAAGGGGTGCCAGGGTCCTGAGGGGAGGAGTTGTGCAGTGGGACTGTCTCCGAGGTGTCACTTGGGGAACTTGAGGCTGTGCACACAGATGGTGTTGGGTGTGCCCTGTTTTAAGCGTGAGCTCTGGAGTTCCACTGCCTGAGTTGCAGTGCTGATTCCCATTCTCCCTAGCTATGTGACTTTGGGCAAGGTCCTTAACCTCCGTGTGCCTGTTTAATCTAGAAAACAGGGATGAACGTATGCCATTGCAGTGAGGGACCGTGAAGGTAGTCAGGCCCGTGCGGGCCCATGGCCATGTTACCATGGCCATCATCACCCTGACATGTCCCTGGGAAAAATGAGCTGAGGGATGGAATATCCGTTAGGAGATCCGAGGAGGGGGGCCAGTTTCTATACCTTCTTGGCAAGAAAGGCATGAAATGGTTTGATTTCTGGAAAGGTCTAAAACAGATGGAGAATGTGCATTGGGCCAGCGGGGGAGATCACGAAGGCAGGAGTCTTGGGGCATGGGCTGTTCTGGCCTAGCCTTTGCGGCGACAATAAGGAGGTGGCCTGGCTTTTATAGTTCTGGTGACAGAACCTGGGAGATGGGTGATGTCTGTTCTGGCCCTTAGGGGCAGAGGCACTGAATGCCTGGGCCCTGTTCCACTTGCATGCAGAGTGGTGGTAGGGGGCGCCACGGACCTGAGGCTTCCTCGTCGAAGCAGGCAAAGGCGTTGCGAATCACATCCTCGGGGTCCGTGCCGTTCAGCTTCTCCCCAAACATGGTGAGGAACATGGTGAAGTTGATGGGCCCCGGGGCCTCGCTCATCATGCCCTCCAGGTATTCGTCTGTGGGGTTCTTCCCTGTGGCAGGTGGGGTGTTCCAGCCTGTGGTCCTGGGCCCTCTGTCCCCAGCTGGGACAACTTGCACCCCCGTCCCCCACCCCTGCCCTTCACCGCTCCGTGTGAGACGGGAGGTAGTGGGTTTTGTGAACTGGAAAGCATGGCTCTAGCGCAGCCACAGCAGTGGGCGCCCGGAGTCCCTGGCTGCTCCCACCAGTTTCCTCCTGTGGCCTGGATGTCAGCAGCCGGCAGTGCTCACTAAAGTGTAATAAGAACAACCCTCTGCAGACTGCTCGCTGTGGCTGGTCGACCACGTGCCTTATTGCATTTAACTTTCACCACCCTGTGAAGTCAGCATTCTTACCCACTTCACAGGTATGGAAGCTGAGGCACAGAGAGGCCAGGTGACTTGTCCAGGGTCAGACAGCAAGTAAGGAGGAGACTTGAGTAGACCTGGCATTTGAACCCAGGCAGCCTAACTCCAAAGTCCAGACACAGTGCTTTGCTGTCAGACAGGCCTGGGTTTGGATCCCAGCTGTGCACCTTGGTTTTCCCCATCTCTTAGGGGAATTGTGAAGACAGTAGTTGCAAAAGGCTCATAACAATGACTGGCACAGGCCTATGGACTGGAATCAACTGCTGGGTTTCTATTGCAGCCCCACTACTTGGTAGCTGTGTGACCTTGGGTAAATTACTTAACCTCTCTGAGCCTCAGTTTCCTTGTTTGTAAAGTGGGAATAATTGTATCTGTTCAATAGGATTGCTTTGAGATTTAAGATAATACCTGCAGGGCTTCTTCTTATTATTATATTTGCTGCTCTTGTTTTTAACTTGAAGATAAGGGTGTGACTCACCTGCAGACCCACGGATATGAGCTACAAACACAGTGCATGTTTTTCTGGGTGGACACCCAGGGCTGTCATGAAGTCTCAGGGGTTCAGGGGCCTGGGTGCAGGGTGTGGCCTTGGAAATAGGAAGTTTTCATGTCCCTGAGCCTCACATACCCTGCTGTGTCCCCCTGGGATGGCCATGGAAGCTGAGGCCCAAGAGGAGCTGTGACGCCAGGACACTGGGGTACTTAAGGCCAGCCCCTTCTCTCACCAGGCCTCAGTCCTTCCACGAAGCTGGGAAAGCCCCAGATAAGAACCCTGGAGTTGGCCAGGCGTGGTAGCTCACACCTGTAATCCCAGTACTTTGGGAGGCCAAGATGGGCTCTGGAGTTTGAGACCAGCCTGGCCAACATGGCGAAACCCTGTCTCTACTAAAAATACAAAAATTAGCCGGGCATGGTGGCGCACGTCTGTAATCCCAGCTACTGGGGAGGCTGAGGCAGGAGAATCTCTTGAACCTGGGAGACGGAGGTTGCAGTGAGCCGAGATGGTGCCACTCCAGCCTGGGCAACAGAGTGAGATTTTGTCTCGGGGGGAAAAAAAAAGAACCCTGGAGTTTACTTCCTGCCAGGTGACCTCCTGGGGGAGGGAGCCTTCAAGCGAGCCTGGCCAGAAGCGGGGAGAGGTTTGGTGCTCAGGGCCGGGGGCAGCGTGCTGTCAGTTCTCCCACTCAGGTTTGCCTGGTTCTCCTGCTCAGTGCCTCGTGGGGAAATGTCAGGGTCATGGCCCCATTTCACAGGAAGAGGAAAGTGCACAGGGCCCTACCAGGGACTGACTCTCTGGCCTCAAAGCTCGAGGCTTGACTGTCACGGGGCTGTGTCCTCTGGTCCTGGACTCTCCCTCCCCCAGGCAGTGTCTGGTCTGGATGCTGTCACTCGGCATGAGGGGTACGCGGGAACTGGGCTGAGAGTGGCTGGCTGTGGCCAGCACTTTGGGAGGGATGTTGGGGCAGGCCCGTGGGTTGGGGCATGGTCTGTGGAGGCCTTGCCTCTGGGCCTGTGTTTCCCCATCTGCAGTAGAGAATTGGACTTGATTTTTGTACCCTGTTAGTTCTAAGGTCCTGATCCTGAGGAAGTCACTGGGACCAGAGAGGCTATGAGAGCCTGAGATGGGTGACCTCTGAAGGAGGGGAGCTGGTCTGGCCGCCCCTCTAGGCCTCAGTTTCCCCATCTGTGCAGTGGGCAGCCTGCAGTTCACACTTTCATTTAGATGCTGACCTCTTTCTTTCCTTTCTTTCTGTTTTGAGACGGAGTCTTGCTCTGTCGCCCAGGCTGGAGTGCAGTGGCGTGATCTTGGCTCACTGCAAACTCCGCCTCCCAGGTTCACACCATTCTCCTGCCTCAGCCTCCCGAGTAGCTGGCGCCCGCCACCACGCCCAGCTAATTTTTGTATTTTTAGTAGAGACGGGGTTTCACCATGTTAGCCAGGATGATCTCGATCTTCTGACCTCGTGATCCGCCCGCCTTGGCCTCCCAAAATGCTGGGATTACAGGCGTGAGCCACAGCGCCTGGCCAGCTGACCCCTTTCTTTAAATGAAATGATACCTGGCAGCCCAGTGCACAAATCTGCCTAAGACAGGCCCACTGTGGAGTCAGCCTGTCTACGTTCAGACCCTGTGGTGGACCTGCTTTGTGCTTCAGTTTCCCTGTTTTTTTTTTTTTTTTTGAGATGGAGTCTCGCTCTGTTGCCCAGGCTGGAGTGCAGTGGGGCGATCTCGGCTCACTGCAACCTCCGCTTTCCGGGTTCACGCCATTCTCCTGCCTCAGCCTCCCAAGTAGCTGGGACTACAGGCGCCCGCCACCACGCTCGGCTAATTTTTGGTATTTTTAGTAGAGTCAGGGTTTCACCGTGTTAGCCAGGATGGTCTCGATCTCCTGACCTATTGATCCGCCCGCCTTGGCCTCCCAAAGTGCTGGGATTACAGGCGTGAGCCACCGCGCCCGGCCCAGTTTCCCTGTTGAATGGACTAAGTTAATGGCAACTATTCTCTAAGGTGGACACCACGCGTCTCACTACACAGGAGGTGCCCTGTAAATGATTGGCAGAGCCTGCCTGGCCTCATCCATCTCACCCCTGTCCCTGTCCCAGCTCACCCAGCGAGGCCAGCATGTCGTGCAGGTCCTCCTTGTCAATGAAGCCATCACGGTTCTGGTCAATCATGTTGAAAGCCTCCTTAAACTCCTGGATCTGGGACTGGTCAAACATTGCGAAGACATTGGATGTGGCCCGCTGTGGCCGCTTCTTGGTGGTCTTGGCTTTGGCCCGCTTGCTGGACATCTTGGCTTCTGGTGGGTGGGGCTTCCCTGCAGGAAGGGGTGGGGGTTGGGTGGCCCTGTGACTCTGGGCCAGGGAATCTTCCTGCCTCCCCCAGACTGGCTTTTAGCACTTCGGCCTGGCATTCAAGGCTGCCCACGGATTTGGGGCTCCCACCACCCAGTTCTTCACAAAAGCAGACAAGTGTGGCTGTGTGATTCTGAACAACTTCCTCTACCTCTCTGAGCCCGAGAGTCTTCATCTGGGACTGGAGACATGAGGAGTGCCCAGCAGTAGGGATTAACTGACTCAGTGCCCGAGAGCTCCTGGAACAGTGCCGGGCATGGAATCAGCTATTTTGGCTGTGACTGTTTGGGTAAAACACTTAGGATTGGGCTTGGTGCCAACCATTACCATGCTTTATCTCCTTTAATCCTTAATAGCATTTACACTGTCCCTCTCTCTTTCCAAGTGACAAGGTGGGTCCACTCGTGGGAGTCAGTGAGGGCTCTCCTGGGCTGCCATCCAGGCTCCCTGGCCCTGCAGGAAGGAGCTGGATCAGCATTCCTGCATTCCTGCCGTTCCTCACTCTCCCACTCCATCCCTCTGCTGCCCGCCTGAGGTTCTAGGAGGCTCTGGGCAGTCAAACCCCCGCCTGTCCACCTCAGGGAGCTTGACCAGCCCCCCAGTGGTGAGTGGTCACAGACTGATCCTGGGTCCCACTCCTTGTTCTCACTCCCCACTGCTTATCGGGGTGTGAGGCTTGCTTGGGCTGAGAACCCCAGCTTCTTCACCCTTGCTTAGACCTGGCTTCTTAGCCTCCAGCCGGCCTCTTCTGTCCCATACAGACCCTGACCTACACCTATCATTGTGAAGCCCTTGAAGGTTCCTGCCGCCCCTCAGAGCAAGTCTGGGTCCCTCATCCTGGCATTCAAGGCCCTGTGTGAGTCCCTCCTGGCCTCTCTGACAGCCCTCGTGGTGTCCCTCTTGTGACCCACAATCCTACCCTTCTGACCTCTGCAGTTCCCTGGACACTCCCAGGCTTTCCTCTGTGGTCCCCTCCTCCCCTGTGCTCTTTCTTCTCCAGCCCAGTTCTTGAGACCGCCCCCCTCTCCTAGGGAGCTGTTCCCTGTACCCTTGCTTCCACAGTAAACACTTAAAGATCTCTCTCCCTTGTGGGCCAGCATAGATCCCCCAGTTTACACCAATCCCAGGCCATAGTTGGGCTAACAGATGCTTGTTTGATGAATGACTATATGAAGGCAACTACGGCCAGTCTGCTGCTTCTACTGTACAGATGGGGAAACTGAGACCAGGCCTGGGACTGTTTCCCTGAATGCTTGCCACAGCTTGTGGGGATATGCGCCTGAAGACCCAGTGCCTCCTTCCCTCGGCTGGGGCAGTGGGCCTGGCTGAGGTTCCAGGACTGCGGCCCCTCTTCCCTCTGCCCAAACCCCCGGGCCCAGGGCCTCCAGGAAGCCTCCTCTGCCTGTTGTTCACCCCAAGCTGTGTGGTTGCAACTTGAGCTGTTTCCAGGCCTTCCTCCCATGACTCTGTTGAAGTCATT
Organism: Homo sapiens; assembly: GCF_000001405.40. Lineage (NCBI taxonomy): Eukaryota > Metazoa > Chordata > Mammalia > Primates > Hominidae > Homo > Homo sapiens. The sequence continues at coordinate 36,543,341 of NC_000020.11, read as the reverse complement.
CTCGGTCCTTGGCCTTTGAGATCATCAACCCTGGACTGGGATCCCGGCCAGCCCCAGCTGGTCCCCAGGGCCATCACTGCCTGTAGTCATGAGACAGTGGTTGCCCGTGTCCCACGGACCGACACACCCAGCCCTCAGTGTTTCTTGCATGGTTCAGGAAGGTAGACAGAATTCCTTCTCACCCATGACCTAGTTGGGAGTGCCATTGTCCCCAGATGCCGGCCCCCTCCTCTCCCGTGCTTTAGAGGGGCCTAGTCCTTCCCTGAGTCCAGTGTTCTCGGGAACTTTGACTCCTGGTGCCCACAGAAGGCTGCATGCAGAGAGGCAGTGCACTGTGCCCAACAGAGGCTGTGATGGCCATCACTGTCCCCACCACACTCTATGAAGCTCTAGGGCAGGCATGGCCAGGCCACCCACAGCTGGGTCTGAGCCCAGCTGGGCCCCTCTGCCTTCATGGCCACCCGGTCTGCACTCTCTGCTGTGGTGTGGCTGGGAGCACTGTACTTAAGGGCTTGCACAAGGCCGCCATGTCCACCCCAGCAATTGTGGGAAGTGGTGAGCGGAGGCAGGGGTGCCCCCATGGTGCAGCTAGGAAAAGAGGCCCCAGAAGGGGAGTGGAGTGCCCATGAGAGGGGGAGGGGCCACCTGGAAGACAGGATTCCTGGGCTAGGTTTGGGTCAGTGGAGAGCAAACTTGGCTGCTGGTGCCCTCGAGGCTTGAACAAAACAGGGAGCCCCAGTCCTCAGGCGGGCCTGTGGCAGTGGAGTGGGAAAGGGCTCTGTGTATCCAGAGGCGCCTTCTAGAACTGGTGGAGGGGCGAGGGGCAGGCATGGGTGGGGCCTTTAGTTCTGAGGCCATCGCTTCCCCCTTCAGGTGCCCTAGACACCAGGGGTCAGCACTGATACTTGGCCTGGATGTGACTGGATGCCATGTCCCCCATCCTGGTGTCCAGATTCCCACCATAACAGAAAAGGCTGGGCTGAAGCCAGCACAGGGCAGTGCCCCCATGACCTCCAGCCCCTGGAGCTGGGCAGGCCAGATGCCTCCTTCTCAGTGCACCTCATCTGAGTCTCCTCCTTAGAGCAGCTGGAGGGCTGGGAAGAGCAGGGATCAGGTTCTCCCAGCCACTAGTCCTCGTCCTGCCCCCTAGGGGTGAGTCCATCAGGGCCCTCCGCAGACCTTCCCCACCCACAGGCGAGATGACCCAGAGAGGGGAAGGCCCGGGTCCCTGCATACAGCACTGGCTGTGTCGGAAGGGCCCCCTGGTCTCGGTCCCTTTCCCCTGGCCCAGGGTGTAGGGATGGGAGATGGGGAGGGGACACAGATGCTGTGGGGGCGTGGAGTCCCACAGGGCTGTTTCTCCATCTGTGACACACATGCCTTTACTGGGCCAGGGGGAACTGACGACTGCAACCCTCTCCCCAGCACCCTTGTACCCGGGCTCCCCAGCCCCCCCCGGAGCTCTGGGCTTGGCATCTCCAGCTCCTCAGCAAAGGGGCAGGGCCTGGACGATGGCCTTCCCTTGCCGCAGGACCACTGCTTCTCAGAGGCCAGAACAGCCTTCCTGCTGCCCGGCCCCTGGCCAGAGTCCCTGTCGGCCCCCAGCAAACTCGCTGCCCCAGCTCACCCCTCAGTCCGTGCCCAACAGACCCTACCACGTCCCAGTCCGTGGGGCCCGCCTTTGCCCCCCGTGACAGCCGGGTCGGGCCCGGGCCACCTCTCATCTCCAGCCCTGGGCCGTTAGGCCTGTCCTCAAGACCCCCGGGGCCCCGGATCCCACCTGGTGCGGAGAAGGCGCTTGGGCTCGCTGGGTGCGTGGAACTGGGCCGGCCGTCGGGTCTGGACTCCAGGCGGGGGCGGGGCGTGGCGGCCGGGCCTTACAAGGCAGAAGAATGTGCGCGGGGCGGGGCCGCGGGCGGGGTGCGGGGGCCCTCGGCTGCCGTCCGGCCTTATTTGGCCTCGACCCACGGGCTGGCAGGCGGGGGCGCTCTGGGGTGAGCCCCCCTTCCTTGCTGTGCCAGCCCGGGCTGCACAGAGGGCCTTGTAGGGAGGGGAGGTGATGGGGTGAGCAGGCAATGGGAGAGGGGGTGTGGGGGTTCGCTCTGGGCCACCCCTTCCCCTCCAGAGAGGCAAACGGAATGTCCAGGGCCGCTTCCCCAGAGGCCTCCCACTTGTATGGGCCGTGGGAGTGCAGCTTCCCCTGACGGGCAACGGCTCTCGACGTGGGGAGGGCAGAGGCGGTGGGTGGGGGGGCTCCCAGGGACCCCTACGCCCGGTGACTCGCTCTGTCCACATCAGCGGTCGCCCGCCAGAGCGGGGTTGAAGGAACCACTCGGGAAGCACTGGTTTCGTGGAGGGAAACACGATGAACAAGTAGCTCCGCGGCCTGGGGCCTCAAAGGAGAAGGGGACCTGGGGGGAGCGTGGGCTGTTCCGCAGGGTGCTCTGGGCAGTGACATTGGGCAGACAGGAGGTGCAGGGGTGCGCCCCGCCGTGAGGGCTCCCGGGCTTGGGGTCGCCGGCAGCAGGAGGTCAGGAGGATGGGGGCGGGAGCCGGAGGGGCTGAGAAGCAGCAGGGACCCCTCTGTGGCTCCCTGTAGGCCATGTGGGGTGTCGGAGGGTTCCGAGCAGGGGGTGACGACCTGGCTTGGGTTTTGACGGAATCCTTCTGGGTGATGTGTTGAAAATAGCGCAGAGGGGGCCGAGTCCACGAGCAGGGGACCTGTGAGGAGCGACCCAGCAAGGATCAGGCTGATCCGGACTAGCGGGGAGGCCGAGGGACAAGTGCTAAAACTATTTCCGAGGTGCAGCCGGTAGGATCTGCTGGGGCATGGGAATGGGTGTGAAAGAAAAGAGTTAGGGTGGACTCTCAGAGTTTTGATGTGAGCAACGAGAAAGAGCTGCCATTTTCTATGATGGGTTTGCTGTGTGGAGCAGTTTGGGGATAAGAAACTCTATTTTGGACAGATTAATTTTTAAAAACTTTATTTTGAAATGATTTCAGACTTAGGATAAAGTTAGAAGAACTGTGCAAAGAACCCTGTATAGCTTCATCTAGATTCTCCATTTGTTACCATTGGGTTTTATTATATTTTCTTCTTGCTTTCCATATACATATACATATATATAATACATGTACATACATTTATATTTATTTATTCCTACCCCCAACCATTTGAGAGTTTCTTGCATACGTATGTCCTGTTATCTCTACATGTTTCAGTGAGTACCTCCTAAAAAGGAGATTCTCTTAAATATGCATAGTACAATGATAAAAGTCAGGACAATTTTCACATTGATTTAATTACCTAATTTACAGTCCATATTCAGGTTGTGCCAGTTATCCCAATAATGTCCTTTAGAGGAATTTTTTCTGGTCTAGGAGCCAAAGTAAGATCATTTGTCATCACATTTCTTCAGTGTCCCAGTTTTACATTTTATTTTTTGATTGTGGTAAAATATACATAACATAAAATTACCATTTTCAGCGTGTTTTTTTTTTTTTTTTTTTTTTTGAGATGGAGTCTCCCTCTGTCGCCCAGGCTGGAGTGCAGTGGCGCCATCTCAGCTGACTGCAAGCTCCGCCTCCCAGGTTCATGCCATTTTCAGCATTTTTAAGTGTATAGTTTGGTGGCATTAAGTATATTCACTTTGTTTTGCAACCATCACCACCATCCATCTCCAGAGCACTTTCATCTTCCTCAGCCGAAACTCCCTGCCAGTTAAACACTAACTCCACCTTGCCCCCTTCTCCCCGCCCCTGGCAGTCATCATTCATCTTTCTGTTTTCTGTGAGTTTATCTACTTATTGGGGCCTCATGTAAGTGGAATCATATAGCATTCGACCTTTTGTCACTGGCTTATTTCACCCAGCATAATGTCCTCAAGCCCCAGGTTCATCCATGTTTAGTGTATATCAGAATTTCTTTTTGGGGGTGGGGGGTTGAGATAGGGTCTCACTCTGTCGCCGTGGGTGGCATGCAGTGGCACAATTATAGCTCACTGCAGCCTTGACCTCCTGGGCTCAAGCAATCCCCCTGCTTTGACCCCCTCAAGTAGCTAGGGCTGCAAGCATGCACCAGCACACCCGGCTAAGTTTTCTTTTTTTTTTTTGAAACGGAGTCTCGCTCTGTCACCCAGGCTGGAGTCCAGTGGCGCGATCTCGGCTCACTGCAAGCTCTGCCTCCCGGGTTCATGCCATTCTCCTGCCTCAGCCTTCCGAGTAGCTGGGACTACAGGCGCCCGCCACCATGCCCGGCTAATTTTTTTTTTTTGTATGTTTAGTAGAGACGGGGTTTCACCGTGTTAGTCAGGATGGTCTCGATCTCCTGACCTCATTATCTGCCCGCCTCAGCCTCCCAAAGTGCTGGGATTACAGATGTGAGCCACTGCGCCCGGCCCACACCTGGCTAAGTTTTCTACTTTTGTAGAAACAGGGTCTCCCTGTGTTGCCCAGCCTGGTCTCAAACTTCTAGCCTCAAGCAGTCGTCCTGCCTGGACCTCCCAAAGTGCTGGGATTATAGGCCTGAGCCACTGTGCTTGGCCCCGGCTAATTTTTTAAAAAATTCTTTTTGTAGAAGTGGGATTTTGCCATGTTGCCCAGGCTCTCGTCCTTTTTAAGGCTGAATAATATTCCATTGTTTGCATAGTTTGTTTATCTACTCATCATGGATGGACACTTGGGTTGCTTCCACTTTTTGGCTATTCTGAATAATGCTTCAGTGAACATGGGTCTCTTCAAGTTCCTGCTATTGTTTTTTTAACCTGACATTGTGAACATATAAGTCTCTGTTTTCAATTCTTTTGGGTATGTGCCCAGAAATGGAATTGCTGGATCAAATGGTTATTCTATTTTTAACATTCCGAGGAACTGCAATAACTGTTTTCTGTAGTGGCTGTACCATTTTAAATTCCCATCAACAGTGTACAAGGGGCCTGGTGTGGTTGCTCTTGCCTGTAATCCTAGCACTTTGGGAGGCCTAGACAGGTGGATCACTTGATGCCAGGAATTTGAGACAAGCCTGGCCAGCATGGTGAAATCTTGTTCTCTACGAAAAATACAAAAATTAGCCAGGTGTGGTTGTACACGCCTGTAATCCCAACTACTCGGGAGGCTGAGGCAGGAGACTCACTTGAATCCGGGAGGCTGAGGTTACAGTGAGCCGAGATCGCGCCGCTGCACTCCAGCCTGGTGGACAGAGTGAGACTCGGTCTCAAAAAAAAAAAAAAAAAATTCTTGGCCCATTTAAAAGAGCAGGGTTGTTTTTTTTTTGATTCTAGGCGTTTTAAAAATATGTTTTGGATATTAATCCCTTGATATGATTTGTAAATATTTTTCTTATTCTACAGGTTTTCTGTATTTTAAAGAAAAGCTTAAATTGTTATCTTTTATAAACCATAAAATTCACCTATGAAATGTACAATTCATTGGTTTTAGTGTATCTACAAAGCTATGTAATTATCGGCACTACTATGTAATTCCATAACATTTTAGTAAGTAATCCCCCAAAGAAACCCTGTACCTGTCAGCAGTCATTTCCCATTCTCCTCTCATCCCAGCCCCTGGAGACTATGGATCTACTTTCCCTCTCTATCAGTTTGTTTACTGTAGAAATTTGTTTTTGTGTTTTGAGATGGAGTTTCACCCTGTCACCCAGACGGGAGTGCAGTGGGGCTCACTGCAACCTCTGCCTCTTGAATTCAAGTGATTATCCTGCCTCAGCCTCCCTAGTAGCTGGGATTACAGGCACCTGCTACCACCCCAGCTAATTTTTGTATTTTTAGTAGAGATGGGGTTTTACCATGTTGTCTAGGCCGGTCTCGAAATCCTGACCTCAAGTGATTCACCTGCCTCAGCCTCCCAGAGTGCTGGGATTACAGGTGTGAGCCACACGCCTAGCCAGCTTGTTTACTCTAGAAACTTCAAACAAATGCAGTCATACAATGTCTGGCTTCTTTCGCTTAGCATAATATTTTCAGGGATCATCCATATTGCAGAATGTCCCGGGACCTCAGTCTTTTTCATTGCCAAGTAGTATTCTGTTGTATGGCTATATGCTACATTTTGTTTTTGCATTTGTCAGCTGATAGACATTTGGGTTGTTTCTACTTTTTGTCCATTATGAATATGGTGCCGTGAACATTAATCTGCAGGTTTACGTGTGGATATACGTTTTCACTTTCTCAGGTATATAAGAGTGGAACCGCTGGGTCATATGGTAACGCCTCTATGTTTAACCTTTTAAGGAACTTCCAAACAATTTTGCACAATGTTGTCCCATTTTGAATTCCCACCGGCAGTGGATGGTTCCAGTTTCTCTACTTCTTCACTAATACTTGTCTGTCTGTGTTTGTATTAGAGCCAGGGTCTCACTATGTTACCCCAGGCTGGACTTGAACTCCTGGGCTTAGCAGTCCTTCCACCTCAGCCTCCCGAGTAGCTGGGACTACAGCTACCTGGCCCTGCTTGTCTTTTTAATTCTAGTCATGCTATTAGGTGTGAAGTGGCATCTCATTGTGGTTTTGATTTGCATTTATCTAGTGACTGAAGATGTTGAGCATTTTTCACATGCTTATTATTGGACATTTGTGTATCTTCTTCAGAGAATTATCTATTTAGGCTGGCCGCGGTGGTGGCTCACGCCTGTAATCCCAGCACTTTGGGAGGCCAAGGCAGGCAGATCACCCGAGGTCAGGAGTTTGAGACCAGCCTGGCAAAAATGGCGAAACTCCGTCTCTACTAAAAATACAAAAATTAGCTGGGGGTGGTGGTGGGTGCCTGTAGTCTCAGCTACTCGGGAGGCTGAAGCACAAGAATCACTTGAACTCGGAAGGTGGAGTTTGCAGTGAGCTGAGGTCATGCCCCTGCACTCCAGCCTGGGCAACAGAGAGTGAGACTCTGTCTCAAAAAAAAAAAAAGAAAAAAAAAAAAAAGTGTCTATTTAGATCCTTTTACCTATTTAAAAATTTGTCTTTTGGTTTTGAGCTGTAGAAGTTCTTTACATATTCCGGCTATTGCACCCTTATCAGATAAATGAGTTGCAAATATTTTCTCTTATTATGTGAGTTATCCTTTCACTTTCTTGATAAACATGTGTTCTTTGAAACACAAGTTTATTTTTTATTTTTTATTTTTTTTTTGTTTTTTGAGATGGAGTTTTGCTTTGTCGCTCAGGCTAGAAGTGCAGTGGTGCGATCTCGGCTCACTGCAATCTCTGACCCCTGGGTTCAAGTGATTCTCCTGCGTCAGCCTCCCGAGTAGCTGGGATTACAGGCACCCACCACCACACCTGGCTAATTTTTGTATTTTTAGTAGAGACAAGGTTTCACTATCTTGGTCAGGCTGGTCTTGAACTCCTGACCTCATGATCCACTGGCCTCGGCCTCCCAAAGTGCTGGGATTACAGGCATGAGCCACCGCGCCCGGCCGAAGCACAAGTGTTTTTAACTTTTAAGTTTAGTTTATCTGTGTTTTCTTTGGTTGCTTGTGCTTTGGTGTCATACCCAAGAAGTCATTGCCTGATCCAAGGTTATGAATGTTTACACTTGTGTTTTCTTTTCTTTTCTTTTTTTTTTTTTTTTTTTTGAGATGGAGTCTCGCTCTGTCGCCCAGGCTGGAGTGCAGTGGTGTGATCTGGGCTCACTGCAAGCTCCGCCTCCCAGGTTCACGCCATTGTCCTGCCTCAGCCTTCCCAGTAGCTGGGACTACAGGTGCCCACCACCACGTCCGGCTAATTTTTTGTATTTTTAATAGAGACGGGGTTTCACCGTGTTAGCCAGGATGGTCTCGATCTCCTGACCTCATGATCCACCCACCTTGGCCTCCCAAAGTGCTGGGATTACAGGCATGAGCCACCGTGCCCGGCCCACTTCTGTTTTCTTGTAAGAGTTTGCTAGTTTTAGCTTTCATGGTTTTTTTTGTTTGTTTTTTTTTTTTTGTTTGTTTGTTTGTTTTTGAGACGGAGTCTTGCTTTGTCGCCCAGGCTGGAGTGCAGTGACGCGATCTCGGCTCACTGCAAGCTCTGCCTCCTGGGTTCACGCCATTCTCCTGCCTCAGCCTCCTGAGTAGCTGGGACTACAGGTGCCCACCACCACACTCAGCTAATTTTTTGTACTTTTAGTAGAGACGGGGTTTCACCGTGTTAGCCAGGATGGAGTTTTCAGGTCTTTAATCCATACTGAGTTAATTTTGTATATGTTGCAAGGTAAGGGTCCAGCTTCCTTTTTTTTGCATTTGGATATCCAGTTACATTAGCACCATTTGTTGATACTTCTTTCCCCATTGAATACCTTGGCACTGTTGTCTAAAGTCAGTTGTCCATTAATGTATGGGTTTATTTTGGACTCTTAATTCTGTTTCATTGATATATATGTCTACCCTTTTGCCAGTACTACACAATCTTGATTATTTGTTAATTAATTATTTATTTTTTGAGACAGGGTCTTGCTCTGTCACCCAGTCTGGACTACAGTGGTATGATCACAGCTCACTGCAGTCTCAACCTCCTGGGCTCAAGCGATCCTTGTGTTTCAGCCTCCTGAGTAGCTGGAACTATAGGCGTGTGCCACCATACCTGGTTAATTTTTGTATTTTTTGTACAGATGGAATCTCACTGTGTTGCCAAAGCTGGTCTCAAACTCTTGGGCTGAAGTGACCCTCCTGTCCCAGCCTCCCAAAGTGTTGGGATTATAGGCATGAGCCACTGTGCCCAGCCTTGATTACATTAGTTTTGTAGTAAATTTTACATTTCCATATGAATTTTAGGGTCAGTGTCTCAATTTCTGCAGAAAAGGGAGCTGGGATTTTGATAAGGGTTGTGTCAAACCTGTAGATTAATTTGGGGGAGTATTGCCATCTTACCAAAACTAAGTCTTCCAATCCGTGAACAGTGGAAAATAAGTAATATGTGGTGTGCTACTTTGGGATTGTGAATATTCTGTTCCTAATAAAAATTTCAACCAATAGTTTTTTTTTTGAGACAGAGTCTTGCTCTGTCACCCAGTTGGAGTACAGTTCATTGGCGATCCTGGCACAACCCTTCTGCCTCAGCCTCCCATGTAGCTGGGATTACAGGTGCGTGCCACCACGCCCAGCTAATTTTTGTACTTTTAGTGGAGACGGGGTTTCACCATGCTGGCCAGGCTGGTCTTGAACTCTTGACCTCAGGTGATCTACCTGCCTTGGCCTCCCTAAGTGCTGGGATTACACGCATGAGCCACCGCACCCAGCCACCAGTACTTTTAACATGCATGGATGCTTCCATTATTACAATATGATGGTTGCCAAATGGTTCTTTTCTTTTGAGACCTAGTTTCACTCTGTTGCCCAGGCTGGAGTGCAGTGGTGGGATCTCGGCTCGCTGCAACCTCCGCCTCCTGGGTTCAAGTGATTCTCCTGCCTCTGCCTCCCAAGTAGCTGGGATTACAGGCATGAGCCACCACGCCTGGCTAATTTTTGTATTTTTAGTAGAGACGGAGCTTCACCATGTTGGCCAGGCTGGTCTCGAACTGCTAACCTCAAGTGATCCACCCGCCTTGGCCTCCCAAAGTGCTGGGATTATAGGCATGAGCCACTGTGCCCGGCCCAAATTATGATTTTCTAATTCCTGAATTCCCTCTACTGTTAGGAGTTGATGGATGTGTGAGTTGCTTGTTATGCATCCAGGTGGAGATGTCGAGTGGGAAGGGTGGAGTTCAGGGAAAAATACAGGCTGGAGATTTAGATGCGGGAGTTGTCAGTCTACAGAAAGTTAAAGCCATAAAGGCAGCAGAGGGGCCCCAAAGGCCCATGTCCTGTGTTGGCCACGGGGGCTTCACTGGGTCTGGGCTAGGGTGACATTTTGGAGACAAAGTATGGACTCACTGGGTCCAGAGAGTACCATGGGTCTATCGAGGCTGGTACCGGGGGACCCTGTTTTATGGGAAGTGGGGTTCTGTGGCAAGAAATGTCCCTGCTCCATTTAAAACTGCCCCCGAAAGCGTTACTTCTTTTTTTTTTAGACTGAGCCTCGCTCTGTTGCCCAGGCTGGAGTACAGTGGTGTGATCTCGGCTCACTGCAACCTCCGCTTCTCAGGCTCAAGTGATTCTCCTGCTTCAGCCTCCTGAGTAGCTGGGATTACAGGCATGCATCACCACACCTGGCTAATTTTTTATTTTTTTAAGTAGAGATGGGGTTTTTCCATGTTGGCCAGGATGGTCTTGAACTCCTGGCCTCAAGTGATTCACCCACCTCGGTCTCCCAAAGTTCTGGGATTACAGGCATGAGCCACCGTGTCTGGCCTGAAAGCCTTACTTGTTAACCTGGCATTCAAGGCCAGTCTGGCCCCAGCCCCGCCTGGAGCAGCAGCACAGCCTTACACCTCTGCCACTGTGCTCACTGTGTCTTTTACTGCCATAGCTTGGTTCAAATATTGCCCATTCTGAAAGCCCAGCAAATATTGCCTTCTCTGCCAAGGTTCTTCATTTAGGAAATCATTCTTGAGGCTCTACTCTCTGCCAGGCACTGAGACCTGGTGAAAAAACTCTCTTCCTACCCTTGGGAGCCCACCATCTTCTGCGTAGAGACAGATATTCACAAGTCATCACATAGATATTAATAAAAGCATCATCACATCAGTGACAACAGCAAAGGGAAGCGACTCTTGTGCTCCAGGTGTAGAGCAGGGCGTTGGCACCGACCTGGCCTGGCCCAGGTGCTTGGCGAGATTTCCCTGGGGAAAGGCCACCTGCCCTGAGAGTGGAGGCAAGAGCTGATGTCAGCTGCATCGGTGGAGGCCCGGGACACCCTGTGGGAGGCCCTGAGGCGGCCAAGGGCAGCTCTCACTTGGAGGTGTGGCTATAGAGGTGGGTGGCAGCCTCCAAGGCCAAGGTGAGGAGACTGGGTTTAGGGTTCGGTTTTTATTTTTATTTTTATTTTTTGAGACAGAGTCTCGCTCTGTCACCCAGGCTGGAGTGCAGTGGCACGATCTTGGCTCACTGCAAGCTCCGCCTCCCAGGTTCATGCCATTCTCCTGCCTCAGCCTCCCGAGTAGCTGGGACTACAGGTGCCCACTACCATGCCCTGCTAATTTTTTTGTATTTTTAGTAGAGACGGGGTTTCACCGTGTTAGCCAGGATGGTCTCGACCTCCTGACCTTGTGATCCACCCGCCTTGGCCTCCCAAAGTGCTGGGATTACAGGCGTGAGCCAGCCACCGTGCCCGGCCTGGGTTTAGGGGTCTTAAGCAGAGGGTGATGCAGCCCAGTTAGCATTTTGAAAATTCCCCTGGCCGCCATATGGTAGGACCAGGGTCGGCAGCAGAAACCACACCAGCTTTCAGATCAGCCACAGATTCAGATGGGCAGGAGACTGTTTAGAATTGCTGTTGTAAAGCCCATTCCACTGCTGGTGCTAGAAACCTCATCTCAGTGGGTCTGTCCTCCACAGCATTTGCCCACGCAGCCTCCGCTTGGTACTTGGCCCTCAGGCTCCTGGTGGCAGTGGCTTTGTCCTGCTGTCCTGTCTATAAGGTCTGGGGGCCCAGTGCTGTTCCTGGCGGTAGCTGAGCCTTCTCTGCTGACTCCGGAAACATGTAAACCTAGGGAGCTTGGAGTTCTAGAAGGGAAACCTGGGCCATGTAGGGTTCTCAGGGACCCACAGGTGGCTGACAGTCTCCTGTCCCCTCTGCTGCCTCTGTGGTCATATCCTGCAGCCTTTAGGAGGGCACTTCCTGTCTGTCCCTGTCCTGGTTCCCTCAAGGACTAGGCTTTGGAAACACAGAAGCTGAGGACTCATTCCCAGCTTCTCTGGGAAGCTGCTGTCAGCCTTTCTCTGAAGTGACAAATGCATCCTTGATGGAACAAGATACAAGGACATGGGACATCATCTAAGTCATATTTTTGTGAAAACCATTTAATCTGAATCCGGCCATGAGAAAACGTAAACCCAAATAGTGCACCATTCTGTAGAGTGCGCTTGGATACTTTAAAAACACCAACATCTCAGCTGGGCGCGGTGGCTCATGCCTGTAATCCCAGCACTTTGGGAGGCCAAGGTGGGAGGATCACGTGAGGTCAGGAGTTCAAAACCAGCCTGGCCAATATGGTGAAACCCCATCTCTACTAAAAATACAAAAATTAGCCAGGTGTGGTGGCGGGCGCCTATAGTCCCCAGCTACTTGGGAGGCTGAGGCAGGAGAATCTCTTGAAGCCAGGAGGCGGAGGTTGCTGTGAGCCAAGATCGCGCCACTGCACTCCAGCCTGGGTGTTGCAGTGAGACTCCGTCTCAAAACAAACAAAATAAACTAAAACAAACAAAACAAAAAACAAAACGCCATCAACATCTCGAAAAACAAAACCCAAAAAGTAGGGAAATTTTGATTTTTAAAGAGACTAGAAGGACGTGGTGGCCTGGCATGGTGGCTCACACCTGTGATCCCAGCACTTTGGGAGGCCAAGGCGGGAGAATCACTTGAGCCCACGAGTTTGAGACCAGCCTGGGCAACAAAGTGAGACTCCATCTCTACAAAAAATTTTAAAATTAGCTGGGCATGGTGGCATGTACCTGTGGTCCCAGCTACTTGGGAGGCTGAGGCAGGAGGATTGATTGAGCCCAGTTGGTTGAGGCTGCAGTGAGCCGTGATCACACCATTCTTTGCACTTCAGCCTGGGCAGCAGAGTGACACCCTGTCTAAAAAAGAAAAGAAAAAACAAAACAAAACAAAACCAGACAGACATGGTAACTGAAAGCAGTGACTGATCCTTAATGGGACCCTGGATGGATAAAAGGGAGAAGGTATAAGGGACAAGGTTGTGAGGGCACCTGGCGTATGGGCTGTGCTTTAGGCCATATTCATATAAAAGGAGGTGCTCCCTGGAACATTCCTTTCTTAAGTTTGAGGGTGGTGATGGTATTGTGGTTGTGCAGGAACGTCCTCGTGCCTGGGAATTGCATGATGTGTTTTGGGGTGAAGTATCAGTGTATGCCACTGACTCTCAGATGGCTCGCGGGGAAAACGATGTGTATGTATCCGAGAGGGATAATGCTCATATGGGTGAAATATCAGTAATCGGTGACTCTGGCCGCGAGATATGTGTTCATTATTATACTGTCCCTTCAATGGAGGTGGCGTCTTCTCCACTGCTGTGCCAGGAGGGCTGGGCGTGGGGGTCCAGATTCTGTACATCAGACACCCCTACCCCATCTTGTGCTTAATAGAGTGCAGGATCCCTCCTGAGACCCTAATCTAACCCTCAAGTCCCTTCCCCTGCCACAGCAGAAGCAGGAAGGCTAAGGGTCCATCCCCAATCCCCATGGCCCATCCGGGAGAGCCGGCTGCTAGCTGCACCCCTGAACGTCTGCTTCAATGCCTGATGCAACTGGAAACCTCTTCACTTACCCTTCAAGTCACCCCCAGCTGGGTCTCAGGGTAGGGGTAGGTCTGGGAAGGTGCCAGCCCTGGAGTTAATCCAAGCCACCTGTGGTCACCAGATGCTCTGTCACCACTAACAGGTGTGTTGGGATCCGGGGTCAAGGGCTGCTCCAAGCACAGGGGTCTGGCCACAGTTCGGATGGGCTCCCAGGGGGCTCGCTGGGGTGGGCGAGGTAGCCTGAACAAAGCTGCTGGGAAGGCAGGGTCCGTGCATCCCCTGGGCCTGAGATCACGAGCTTCTTGGCTGGCTTGGGCCAAGGGAGGAGACCAGGAGTCTGTGGCTCCAGAGCCTGGCCAGAGAACTTTCTAAAAGGCATGTTCCGGCCGGGTGCGGTGGCTCACGCCTGTAATCCCAGCACTTTGGGAGGCCAATGGGGGCTGATCCTGAGGTCAGGAGTTCAAGACCAGCCTGGCCAACGTGGTGAAACCCCCATCTCTACTAAAAATACAAAAATTAGCCGGGCATAATGGCAGCCTCGGGAGGCTGAGGCAGGAGAATTGCTAGAACCCAGGAGGCGTAGGTTGCAGTGAGCCAAGATCGCGCCACTGCACTCCAGTCTGGGTGACAGAGCAAGACTGTCTCAAAAAAAAAAAAAAAAAAAAAAAAGGAAAAGGTATGTTCCTACCACTGGGGCTTGGCACCTCCTGCTTCTGCCAGGACTGCGTGCCGCTCCCTCCCTGAAAGCTGGCTACCCACTCATCCTTCTGGTCTCTACCAGAACACTCCTGCCCAGGCTGGGTTTGGTGGTCGCGCTGCGGGGTCCTGCAGCCTCATTCTGCTGCGTCTTGTTTTTTACCACCTGTCATTGACTTGACCTTATCTGTCACGTTCAATATCTGTCTCCCTCACCAGAGCGAGCTCTGCCCCAGCACTGGGCCTGTAGAGGAGGTGCTCTGGAGATGCACTCAGGGCTCGCACCTGACAGAGTGGAAGCAGCTGCCAGGCAGGGGGATACCGAGTACCCCACCCTGGAGAATGTGCAGACTGTGGATCTGTGGGGGGTGTAAACTGTCCTCTAGGGTCGTCTTTATCAGCCTATCCTGGCTCCTGTGATAGCATCTATCTTTCAAGGGTTTATTTCAAACAGGAAGCTGGTAAGTGCTGCACACTGATTTTCGGGAGAGGGGACGGTCAGCTCCATCTTCCCGCCCCAGATCACAGAGCTGGCATGTGACAGCTGGCATCCCGGCTGGCACTCCCATCAGGCTGTCTCCACAGAGCTGCCTTTTGGGAGGGGTCTGGTTCAGTTTCCTGGGCCCACTCTGCTCATCCCCCTGCAATAATGCCACAAGCCCTTGGTACACGTTACCTCATTTATTCTCACAACATGCCTGTGAGGTAGGGAGGGGCAGGGACTGTCCCCGTTTTACAGAGGAGGAAGTTGAGGCACACAGAGGTCAAGTGACTTGCCCAAGGTCACAGACGGCGGCCAAGCTGGAAATGGGCCCCGGAGCAGACCCTTGGTTCACCTGGGGACGGGGGGGGGTCCCCCCCTGCAGCAAGCGCCAGCCAAGAGGATGTCTCGGATGCCAGAGAGGCGCATACACAGCATAGAGCAGCCCCTCAGGTACTGAGCTGGCTTCGGGGCTCAGCCCCTGCCCTCCCCTACCCCGCCCTGCAGGCCCGGGCCATTGCAGCTCAGGGCTCGTGACACCCTGGGAGTGGGATGCGGGGGCAGGAGAGAGAGAAGGATAATTGGGGTTAAAAAAAAAATAGAACAGAAAACTCAGAGGCTGGGCAGATGGGCCCTTAGGAGTGCGGGGCGGGGGGAGGGGGGTGGAGACCAAAAAAAAAAAGGGCTGCTTACACACAAGGTATATATTTTTACACACACTTGTACACACACCTAGATATAGTACATGTAAAAATATATGCTATTCACACACCCGCCTCCTGCCAGGTGCCCCGAGAGCCAGCGGCGGCGGCGCTGGGTGGGCATGGGTGAGCAGATGGGCGTTTGTTAACTATACACTCTAAGGTCTATGTGCATATGTACACATACATACAGACACCGCCGCCCGCCCCTCGGGCACCGGACACAGGCGCGGCTGAGGACTGACGGCCCCCTGGAAGCCACTCGGGAGTCCTAGATTTTGCTGAAGGAAGAAGGGGCTGGAGAAAATAAAAGGGCAGGAGTCTGGAGTGTGATAACTGTGGCTTCGTCTCATTTCCACCCGCCAAGACTAAAACTTCCCTCATCTGCTCAGCGGTGAGTGAGTCCTGCCTGACACTGCCCAGGGCTGGCGGGGCACCTCCCAGTGAGGCGCCTCCATCTGCGTGTGTGTGTGTGCGCGTGAGGTTGTGTGTGAGCACTTGGCGGGGGGAGGGAGGGGACGCATGTCCATCTCTCTGTCCTCTGGGCCCTCAACCGCAGAGAGGGCTGAGACCCAGAAAGCCGCTTGCCACAATGGTGACCACTGTGTGAGCTCTGAAGGGAAAAGAGAAAAACATAAGAATGAAAATCAAGGTCAGAGCGGGGATAGCTGGGGAAAGGAGGGACATGGCAGGTGCCCAAGGCTGCCCTTGGACTGTCGTCATCTTGTAAACAAGCTAGTGTGAGTTCTCATCAGATAGAACGAGTAAAAAGACCGCAGTATGGAGGCTGGGCCGGGAGTTGCCGACGTCCATCTATCTAGTCCACCACGGCCAGCAAGAGGAAAAAAAAAGTTTTCTAGTTTCGTGATTTTTGTTGATTTTTTTTGTGAGTAAAATCTTCATAACCTAAAGCTGGGAGGGACCCAAAAAAGCCAAATTGTGAGCCCTTGTATGCGTCAATTTGAAAGTTGGCTCAGGGTCTCTAGACAGAATAACCATAGCAAAGGTTGAGAAAACTCTGTTCCGTTCGCACTTAGTTTTTGTGTTTTTAATGATTTAAAATCGTTTCTTTCCTCCTGCATGGTCTCAGAGCCTGGTCTGGGCCTCCGGGACATAAATCTCGATGCTGTCTGCGCTCTCGGTGGCTGAGTTCTGCCGCACAGAAGCTGCCCGCTTGGCCGCCAGGAGTCTCTTGCGGGCCTCCTGGCGCTGCTTGTCGCTGGCGTCTGAGGCCTTGTCGCGGCTCACTGCCGGCTTGGATTTGGCTGGCTTCTTTGGGACCGGAGGGGGTGGTTTCTTCTCTTCCTTTAGTGAGACAGTGAGGAGAGAACAAAAATAAAATAAAGGTGCCACGTTTTGTGTGGCACTACCCCCACCATATGCCGGCAGCTGGAGTCTCCACCCCAGCCTCCCCGCATCGGGCACAAGCAACACACACTTGGAATCAGGAAGCCACGAGAAGCGATGACTGACAGTGGGAAGAGCTCAAGGCACTGGAGCAGAAAGCAAGCCTAGACTCCGAGAGCGCTCGAGCAGCGGGGACGGGCAGATCCCATTGTCCACCCTCATGTTGAATCACCGGGAGCCCGAGACTCGGGCAGGAACTAGCCCGAGTCACAGTCAGAGACAAATTTAGGGCTTCAGGTCCCATTTTACAGGCTATTCTAGGGGATTAGACAGGGCCACGGTTCAACAGGGGTCACTGGTTCTGGTTTGCAGAAGGAAGCCTCAGGGAAGAGGCTGGCTACCACAAGGTCACAGAGCTGGCTCCAGACCCCAGGACTCCTGGCAGCAGGGCCCCAGGAGAAGGGACCATTTTTGCTGCCTCCTCTGTTATAACGTGATTGAGGCTGTGGGCGTGCCTCTCCCAGGATCCCCTTTTCTGGACATGCAGGGCAGGACACATGCTTCAGGGGCAGCCTCAACTACACGGAGCAAGCGGCATGCCAGACAAGTGCCAAGCATGGACCCCACGCAGTGATGGATGTGAGACCCCAGCTCAAAGACGACACACGGAGAAGGGAGCCAAGCAGCACTGACCGATGTGGGCAGCGTTATTGCCGACCAGGAATTTGTCCCTGGACTTCCCCTCCGCACTGCTCCATGCTCACCTTCCTCTTCTCGGGGGTCTCCACCAGCTGCCAGCTGTTGGCCTTGAGGTGGTAGAGTTCATCGAACTTCATGCTGATATCCTCGATGGACAGCTGTAGCAGGTCCCAGAACCCTGCCAGGTCCTGGGCTGTGGGGCGTGGGTTGGCATCAGGGTTCTGTGGGCCAGATGGGGATCAGTGGGGCCAGCTCAGCAGAGGCTTGTCCTGCTCCCCCCAACCCCCCAACAAGCAGGGTTCCTCTGGGCCCTGCCAGCACCCGCGGGGGCTCTTGAGGCCTAGTGTCTGGGTAAGTATCTGTATGAATGAATCTAAGCCAGTTCTGGTCAGCACCAGCCCTAGTGGTGGGGATCTTTGGGGGATAGTCTAAGGGCTGTGGCAAGGAAGGCACTCCTGTCCCTAATGTATGTGTATGCTAGCAGACAGGTATTCTCGTTTTGCAGGGAAGAAACAGAAGTTCTTGGCCATGGTGTGACAGTGACACCGAGAGAAGCCCGATTCACTCCCAGGTGGGAAAGGTCACAGAATCTGTGTTGTTTCCCTCGTGTCACTCTGTTCCATGACAACGCAACCCCCAAGTCTCTGTAGGTCTTGGAGACAAACACTCACTCCACTGCCTCCCGCTGGGAGTACACACATTCCCACAGGCAGAACAGCCCAGGACTTTGCTTTTGACCCTGGCAGGGCCAGCCCTCCTAACAGGTAAGAGGGAGGGAGAAAGCCAAGCCACCAATCCCAGCAGTGGGATTTCTTTGTTTTTTTTTTTTTTTTTTTTTTTTTTTTTTTTTTTTTTGAGACGGAGTCTCGCTCTGTCACCCAGGCTGGATGCAGTGACGCGATCTCGGCTCACTGCAAGTTCCACCTCCCGGGTTCACACCATTCTCCTGCCTCAGCCTCCCGAGTAGCTGGGACTACAGGCACCCGCCACTACGCCTGGCTAATTTTTTGTCTTTTTAGTACAGAAGGGGTTTCACCGTGTTAGCCAGGAGGGTCTCCATCTCCTGACCTCATGATCTGCCTGCCTCGGCCTCCCAAAGTGCTGGGATTACAGGCGTGAGCCACTGCGCCTGGCCAAAAAATATATATGTATATAATTTTTGAGACAGAGTTTCGCTGTCATTGCCCAGGCTGGAGTGCTGGAGTGCAGTGGCACGATCTCGGCTCACCACAACCTCTGTCTCCCGGGTTCAGGCGATTCTCCTGCCTCAGCCTCCCGAGTAGCTGGGATTACAGGTGTGCACCACCACGCCCAGCTAATTTTGTATTTTTAGTAGAGACAGGGTTTCTCCATGTTGGTCAGGCTGGTCTCGAACTCCGGACCTCAGGTGATCCACCCGCCTCAGCCTCCCAAGTGTTGGAATTACAGGCATGAGCCACTGTGCCCGGCCGATACAGAATATATTTTATATAAATAAACCAGTGCTAATTGACTTTACCATCCATGTGGCTGTTTCAACATGGAAAGATATTAGAGATCTGATAGGGCCACTTTTGCCCCCTTTCTTGTGCTAGACACTGACACACATTGCCACTGTCCTTCCAGCACCATGAGGAAGCCGCGCTGTGTGTGTTACAGAGGAGGGCACAGAGGCTTCGAGGGGCTGGCAGAGTATAGTGGGCAGCCAAAGGCTGGAAGCCCTGCTGTGGAGGAAGGAGAATCACACTCACCAAGTTTTGCTCACAGAGGCCCCGGAACTGCTGGAATTTCTGGGACATCAGTAGCTGGGCACTGCCCACAGCACTGAGGACTTTTCCTAAGACTGAGAAACAGAGGGTGGAAAAAGACTGATTTAGCACAGCACAGGGTTTGGTGGGATGGCATCATGCTTTTAATCTCCTCCCACACTCCCTTAGGGTAGAACTCATTATTTCATGATGGCGGTGGTCTTCATTTTATCTACACATTAATCCATTCTCATTGAGAAAAACACAAACAATATAAAGCCAACCCCATCCCATTTCCTGAGGATATGTTATGGCAACAAATATGAAAACTGAGTGTAAATGTAAAACATTTTCCAGAAAAACATAAATCATGGTCTTAAGAGAGGCTGCGTACAGTGGCTCACGCCTGTAATCCCAGCACTTTTTGGGAGGCTGAGGCAGATCACCTGAGGTCAGGAGTTAAAGACCAGCCTGGGCAGCATGATGAAATCCCGTCTCTACAAATATATGAAAATTAGCCGGACATAATGGCAGATGCCTGTAATCCCAGCTACTCAGGAGGCTGAGGCAGGAGAATCATTTGAACCCAGCGGGTGGAGGTTACAGTGAGCCAAGATGGCGCCACTGCACTCCAGCTTGGGTGACAGAGGGAGACTCAGTCTCAAAATAAAAAATCTGATTAGACTCATAAATATTTTTAAGAAACTGAAGCAGAACTCTTCTCAGAAAAAGGAACTAGGTGTAAGTAGTTTTACAGCTGAGGTATTAAAAACTTTCAAAGAACAGGAAATCCCTTTTTTATATATTCCGTTCCAGAGATTAAATAAACATGGAAAATGATGCAACTGGTTTTAAGAACTCTGAGAGCAGATAGGACATGCCAAGAATGGACCACTTTCACTAACATAAATGTAGAAGTCTTAAAGTATAAGCAAATAGGATCTATCAGAAGAATTGTAAAAAATAAATATCCTAATCGAGAAGTCTCTTTAACCCAGGAATACAAGGTTGATCTTGTATTATGACTTCTAGTTTTAAAGTGCTGGCATCAGCCGGGCATAGTGGCTCATGCCTGTAATCCCAGCACTTAGGGAGGCAGGAGGTCTCCACCAAAAATACAAAAAATTAGCTGGGTGTGCTAGTGCGCATCTGTGGTCCCAGCTACCTGGGAGGCAGAGGCTGTGGTGAGCTTAGACCATGCCACTGCACTCCAGCCTGGGGGACAGAGTGAGACCCCCTGCCTCAAAAAAATCATAAAGTACTGGCACAGCTGAGCACTTTGAGAGGCCTAGGCCACGGGGTATAAAAGTCCATCTCTACAGAAAATACAAAAATAAGCCAGGCATGGTAGCATGTGCCTGTAGCCCCAGCTACTTGGGAGGATCACTTGAACTAGGTAGGTTGAGGCTGCAGTGAGCTGTGATGACAGCATTGCACTCCAGCCTGAGTGACAAAGTGAGACCTTGCCCCCACCCCCACCACACACAAAAGGTGCTGGCATAAAGACAGTGCCACCCATCCCCAACCCCCTTAGAAATCACTGAAAAGCAAACAAAGTAAACAAGATGGGGGAGGCTGAGGCGGGTGGATCACAAGGTCAGGAATTCGAGACCAGTCTGGCCAACCTGGTAAAACCCTGTCTCTACTAAAAATACAAAATTAGCCAGGCGTGGTGGCCCATGCCTGTAATCCCAGCTATTTGGGAGGCTGAGATAGGAGAATCTGAACCTGGGAGGCGGAGGTTGCAGTGAGCCAAGATCACGCCCACTACGCTCCAGCGTGGGTGGCAGAGTAAGACTCCATCTCAAAAACCAAACAAACAAAAGGAGCATACCCAATAATCTCTTATTTGAAATAATCTCTTATTTGAAATTAAAAAAGGAGGCTTGGGCATAGTGGCTCAGACCTATAATCCCAGTACTTTAGGAGGCTTGAGGCAGGAGGATCACTTGAGCCCAGGAGTTCAAGACCAGCCTGGGCAACAAAGTGAAACCCTCTCTCTATGAAAAAATTCAAAAATTAGCTGGGTGTGGTAGTGGATGCCCATAGTCCCAGCTATCCAGGAGGCAAGGCGGGGCGGGAGGATTGTTTGAACCCAGGGTTTCAAGGCTGCAGTGAACTATGATGGCACCACTGCATTCCTCCAACCTGGGTGACAGAGCAAGACCCTGTCTCAAAAACAAAAAAGAAAGAGTGTGGACTGCAGCAAGAGCTTTCCTGAACCTAGCCGGCAACAAGGAGAATGACAGAGGTGGGGAGGTCCTGCACTGTGAGGAGCCCTGTAGTTGCCTGTGGAGAAGAAAATCCTGATAGAACTCTTCCAGGCACCCATCCCACGTACAGATTCCTGCCAGCCTGGGACACAGTCCTGGCCCGTCTCTCACAATGATCTACTTACAAGAGCTCATCAAGAAAGAATTCACCTCATTAAGAAATTAGTAATTAAAAGGGAACTGACACAGGAGTTAAAGATATTACAGGAACAGCAAATGGCACATGAATACTTACCAGAAATTGTTGCCAGGGAATAGATGAAAATTGTAACATTTATCCAAGAATATGTAAAAGAGCTCAAAGCAGAGATAGTAAGACAATGGAAAGAGATAAAACAGGGGCTCTGGAACTAGAGCAGGAGGAAAATCAGGCCATCATAGAAACAAGGCCACCCTGGAGATCGTACAGAGATTCAACCCTGCTGAGGACTTGTCCTGAGTAGCAGAGCCCTACAGGGAGAGGAGGGCTGAAAGGCTTCAGGTACAAAATGCTTCAGCTGCCCCATGAATAGAATAAAACTTTAATTTTAAATGAATAGTTAAGCTGGGGGGAATAAAATGAGCTCCCCAGGGTAGACAGTGGGGACCTGTGTCTGGCTTAGTTTAAAGAAGAGTGGGAATAAAAGGGAGTCTTAATTATTATATAAGACTGCACCTGGGTACTTTATCTTTTTAGAAACAGAAGTAGGGACTAAGTAATAAAAAAGAAAAACTACTAAAAAGAGATTCAGAGGCATGGAAGAGAAAGAACATGCATCTATCAGAGTTCTAAAAGGGGACAGAGGGATGGGAGAAATCAGAGGGATCATGGTTATGAACGTGGAGGCTCACGCCTGTAATCCCAGCACTTTGAAAGGCAAAGGCCAAGGCAGGCAGATCACTCGAGGCCAGGAGTTCGAGAGCAACCTGGGCAACATGGCAAAACTCCGTCTCTACTAAAAATACAAAAAATAGCCAGATGTGGTGGCACATGCCTGTAATCCCAGCACTTTGGGAGGCCAAGGTGAGGTCGGCAGTTCAAGACCAGCCTGGTCAACATGGCAAAACCCCATCTCTACTAAAAATACTAAAATTAGCCGGGCTTGGTGGTGGACACCTGTAATCCCAGCTACTCAGGAGGCTGAGGCAGGAGAATCACTTGAACCCGGGAGGCAGAGGTTGCAGTGAGCCAAGATCACGCTACTGCACTCCGGCCTGGGTAACAGAGGGAGACTCTGTCTCAAACAAACAAAACTCTCAGATGAAAACATAAGACCAAATCTCCATGACCTTGGATTTTGCAATGGTTTCTTAAGACACCAAAAGCATAAGCAATGAAAGAAGGGGAAAAAAAAAAAGCAGATAAAGAAGGGAAAAAAAAGCAGATAAACTAGACGTCATTAAATGGAAAACTTTTTATGCATCGAAGGACACTATGAAGAAAAAAGCTGGGTGTGGTGGCTTATGCCTATAATCCTAGCCCTTTGAGAGGCTGAGGTGGGTGTATCACTTGAGGTCAGGAGTTTGAGACCAGTCTGCCCAACATGGTGAAACCCTGTCTCTACTAAGAATACAAAAATTAGCTAGGCTGGTGACGCATGCCTATTAATCGCAGCTACTCGGGGGTGCTGAGGCAGGAGAATCACTTGAACCTGGGAGGTGGAGGGTGCAGTGAGCTGAGATTGTG
Organism: Homo sapiens; assembly: GCF_000001405.40. NCBI lineage: Eukaryota > Metazoa > Chordata > Mammalia > Primates > Hominidae > Homo > Homo sapiens. The sequence continues at coordinate 36,520,405 of NC_000020.11, read as the reverse complement.
CCACTGCACTCCAGCCTGGGCAACAGAGTGAGACTCTGTCTCATAGAAAAAAAGACACTATGAAGAAATGAAGCCAACGCACAGAATGGGAGAAAATCTCTGCAAATCATGTATCTGATAAGGGTTTAATGCCAAGAATATATATATATAAGAATTCCCTACAACTGAACAACAAAAAGATAAACCCAGTTTTAAAATGTACAAGGATAGTTCTCCAAAGATAGATGTTCAGTAAATATGCTCAACATCTCAACAGCATTAGTCATCAGGGAACTGCACATCAAAACCATAATGATACTTCATACCCATTAAGATAGCTATCAAGGCTCCTGCCTGTAATCCCAGAACTTTAGGAGGCCGAGGTGGAGTACCACTTGAGCCTGGGAGTTCAGGACCAGCCTGGGCAACACAGTGAGACCTCTTCTCTACCAAAAGAAAAAAAAAAAAACAAACTGGGCATGGTGGTGCACACCTGTAGTCCCAGCTACACAGGAGGCTGAGGTGGGAGGATTGCTTGAGCCCAGAAGGTCAAGGCTGCAGTGAGCTATGATGGCACTATTGTTAATTTCAGCCTGGGCAGCAGAGTGAAACCCTGTCTCCAGAACAAACAAACAAACAAACAAACCCCAAAAGCTATCAAGAAAAGTGGAAGCAAGTGTTGCAAAGATGTGGAGAGATTGGAACCCTGTGCATTACTGGTAGGAATATAAAATGATGCAGCTGCTGTGGAAAATAGTTGGGTGGTTCCTCAGAAAGCGAGACATAGATCTGCCACATGATCAACCAATTCCACTTCTGGGTATAAACCCAAAAGAATTGAAAACAGACTTAAACAGATACTTGTACGCCAATATTTATAGCAGTTTGACTCACAGTAGCCAAAAGGTAGAAACAACCCAAGTGTCTGTCAATAGATGAATAGACTCTGACTAAAAAGAAAATCTGTGTGTACATGCACGCACGCACACGCACGCACACAGACAGAAAACTCTAAACCTCATATAAAATATACTTCTCACACATGGAACATTTGCTAAAAATGACCACATTCTTGGCCATAAAATATACAATAAATTAAATTACAAAGAACTGACTGGGTATCATACAGATCATGTGTTTTGTTTTTGAGATAGGGTCTCTGTCTTGTCACCCAGGCTGGAGTGCAGTGGTGCCATCACGGCTCACTGCAGCCTTGACCTTCTGTGCGTGCGCAATCCTCCTGCCTTAGCTTCCTGTGTAGCTAGGACTACAGGAGTGCACCACCACGCCCAGCTAATTTTTTTTTTTTTGAGATGGAGTCTCGCACTGTTGCCCGGGCTGGTGTGCAGTGGTACGATCTCGGCTCGCTGCAACCTCTGCCTCCCGGGTTCAAGCGATTCTCCTGCCTCAGTCTCCCAAGTAGCTGGGACTACAGGCGCGCACCACCACACCTGGCTAATTTTTGTATTTTTAGTAGAGATGGGGGTTTCACGATGTTGACCAGGCTAGTCTCGAACTCCTGACCTCGTGATCCGCCTGCCTCAGCCTCCCAAAGTGCTGGGATTACAGGCATGAACCACTGCGCCCGGCCTAATTTTTTATTTATTTATTTATTTTTTAAATAGAGAAGAGGTCCTGCTATGTTTCCCAGGCTGGTCTTAAACTTCTAGGCTGAACTGATCCTCCTGCCTCAGCCTTTCAAAGTGCTAGGATTGTAGGCATGAGCCACCAGATCATGTTTTTTGACATTAATATAAATAGGTTAGAAACCAGTAATGAAAACATAACTAATAAACTCCCATATAAAAACAAAGATTTACACATCTAAATAACCCAGTCGTCAAAGAAATCACAGTGGAAGTTGCAGATCTTGTCAGATACAGCTAAAGTAGTAGTTAAAGAGAAATGCATCGGCTTCAAAGCTTATATAAAAGGACAGGCTGAAAAAAATGAATTAGCTTCCAATTTAAGACATTAGTAAGGGAATAATACAATTAACCCAAAGAGAAGAGAAATTAATAAAAATAAGAGGATTAATAAAATTAACAAACCCTGTCAGACTGATCAAGATCAAAAGAAGACAGATGCAAATAAAGATTAGGAATGAGTAAAGGATAATGTGATATAGCTATACTAGAAAAGATACTCAAAACTAGAGTTATACACAACCATGAAATAAAATCCTGGTTTTTTTTTTTTTGAGACCGAGTCTTGTCTTGTTTTGTTGCCCAGGCTGGAGTAAAGTGGTGGGATCTCAGCTCACTGCAACCTCTGCCTCCCGAGTTCAAGCAATTCTCCTGCCTCAGCATCCTGAGTGTAGCTCGGATTACAGGCACCCGCCATCATGCCCAGCTAATTTTTGTATTTTTGTAGAAATGGGGTTTCACCATGTTGGCCAGGCTGGTCTTGAACTCCTGACCGTGAGCTGTCCACCTTGGCCTCCCAAAGTGCAGGATTACAGGTGTGGGCCACTGCACCTGGCAAAATCCTGTTGTTAAATTCCTTCAGAGACTATGAGAAGAGGAAACGTCCCACACTGATTTTTGAAGCTAGAGAACCTTAAAACTACAACAGGACAAGGATAGAAAGGAAAGATTACAAGCCAATGTCTCATGAACAAAGACAAAATTATTAAATCACATATTAAACCCGGCAGTGTACTAAAATAATATATCATAAATTTAGCTGGGTTTATTCTGAGAATGCAAGACTGATTCAACATTGACAATTGTAATCACTTCTGATTCTGGCTAAGACAAACCAGTGAGTGTCAGACAAGCTGACTTCTCCCAACCACCAACAAATTAAAAAAAAAAAATCAGTAACAACAACTCATTTTCAAAACATTAAGAAACTACTAGGCCGGGCACGGTGGCTCACACCTGTAATCCCAGCACTTTGGGAGGCTGAGGTGGGCGGATCACCTGAGGTCAGGAGTTTGAGGTCAACCTGGCCAACACGTTGAAACCTCATCTCTACTAAAAATACAAAAAATAACCGGGTGTGGTGGCACATGCCTGTAGTCCAAGCTACTCGGGAGGTTGAGGCAGGAGAATCGCTTTGCTCTGTTGTCCAGACTGGAGTGCAGTGGCGCAATCTCAGCTCACTGCAACCTCCACCTCCCAGGTTCATGCAATTCTCATGCCTCAGCCTCCCCAGTAGCTGGGATTACAGGCGCCCGCACCACGCCTGGCTGATTTTTATATTTTAAGTAGAGACGGGATTTCATCATGTTGGCCAGGCTAGTCTCAAACTCCTGGCCTCAAGTGATCTGCCCACCTCGGCCTCCGAAAGTGCTGGGATTACAGGCGTGAGGCACTGCGTCCAGCCTTTTCTTTCTTTTTTTTTAAGACACAGGTTCGGCCAGGCGCAGTGGCTCATGCCTGTAATCCCAGCACTCTGGGAGGCCGAGGCGGGCGGATCACGAGGTCAGGCGTGAGCCACCGCACCCGGCTGTATTTTTTATAGAGATACAAAATATAAAATTAGCCAGGCATGGTGTTTCGTGGGGTTTCATTATGTTGCCCAGGCTAGTCTTGAACTTTTGGGATCAAGTGATCCACCTGCCTCAGCCTCCCAAAGTGTTGGGACTACAGGCATAAGCCACTACGCCCAGCCATACACAGAACTTTTGATTTTTTTTCCTTCATATCTAACAGCAACTTTATTCAGAGGAAATGAAACACAGCAAGCCTTTAGGCATAGTGTGAATTTCCCAGGACAAAGTACTGTCAATTTTTTTTTTTTTTTTTTTTTTTCCTGAGACGGAGTCTAGCTCTGTTGCCCAGACTGGAATGCAATGGCGCAATCTGGGCTCACTGCAACCTCTGCCTCCCGGGTTCAAGTGATTCTCCGGTCTCAGCCTTCCAAGTAGCTGGGATTACAGGTGCACGCCACCACGCCCCGCTAACTTTTTGTATTTTAGTAAAGATGGAGTTTCACCATGTTGCCCAGGCTGGTCTCGAACTCCTGAGTTCAGGCAATCCACCCACCTCGGCTCCCAAAGTGCTGGGATTACAGGCATGAGCCACCGTGCCCAGCCAGTACTGTCACATTAAAACTCTGAGGCATGGCATGCGAAGTACTAGAATCCTACAACAAGTTATACTAGGATCAGGATTAGAATAAGGATTCTGTTGTTAGCATTATGCCAACTCTCTATAATGTGCACACTGTCTACTAAGCACAGCATAGGCTTCTGAAAACAAGTGATCTGTGTGGACCTTTTATTTTTAACTGGGCACATAGCCTGGAATCAAGCATTTCCTAGACTCCCCTGCAGCAAGATATGCATAGTTGTATGTCTAAATTCTGGCCAAAGCAGTGGAAGCAGAAGCAGTGCGTGGGCCAGCTGTTCTCCTTTGCTGTTGGTTCCTTTGCTGGCTGGAATGCACTTAGGATGCTGGGATCCAGCAGCACTCTGACAGTTGAGAAGATCTTATCAATGAAAGCCAATTAATGGCATCAAACTGCAAGGAAACAAAAAAGCCTGTGGCTCCACCATCACTATCTGAGACATTCTTGAGAATGAAATAAACAGTCTTGTTTAAATCACTTTTTAGAAATGTTTTAGTGTTATTTGTAGGCAAATGTAATCCCAATTAATATAGCCTCAAAACTAGTAGGGTTTGTAAAAGGAGTGAGGAGAGGAGTTAATCCAAAAGAAGGGAAGAAAGAGGAAAAAAGGCACCTCAGAAAAGGAGGCTGGGCTCAGTGGCTCACGCCTGTAATTCCAACACTTTGGGAGGCCCAGGTAGGAGGACTGCTTAAGGCTAGAAGTTTGAGACCAGCCTGGGCAACATAGTGAGAGACCATCTCTATTTAAATAAATAAATTAAAATACATTTAAAAAGCACAAATCCCCCAAAATAACATGGTAAGAATGAACCTAAATATATAGAAGTCACCTCGTAAAAATGGACTACACTACCTATTTCTAAAATAAAAATCAGGAAACTGGATAAAACATAAAATCCAGGTATATGCTGATTACAAGAGACATGATTAATAAGGACAGTGAAAGGTAAAAAGTAAATGGATGGAAAGAGATATACCAGACAAACACTAATCAAAGGAAGTCTGCTACTGTAATAGTCATAATACATATAACTCTTAGGCAAACACAAACAGAGATTCTGAAAAACAGAATGGATCAGTGAACATCTGCCAGGAATATTACAATTCTAAACTTGATCCATCCAATATCTTCAAAATATATAAAACAAAAGTTTTTTAAGGAGAAATGGACAAACCATTTTATAGAAAGTGGTGTGATACAGACATGCAATGAATGGAAAACAGTAAACTCAAGCTCATCTTTTGGATGGACGCATCCCTCCCACATTCCAGTTCTGCCTTCACACCTAATCTCAGTGGTCCTTGGAGTGACTGGTGGGCCTCCTCTCTCCTGGATGCCAGTTTCAAATCTGCTCTCCAGAGACGTCCTACGCGTCCTCTCCACCTCCTTACCCTGAGGTGATGACTCTGCTCCCATCTGCCTCACCTCACCTCTCCTCAGACATGGCCTTTCTCCTGTCACTGTGGAGAAGCTATCTGTTCTCTACTTGGGCACTAATTCGATTCCTTCTCACCTAAGGATAACCCCAACAGTTGCCTGTTTTCTCTCCAGCATAATAAGCTCCCTTTCTCTAACAAGGTCATTCTCAGCAACATATAAACATGCTTATATTGCTCCATTAAAAAAACAAAACAAGGACAGGCGCGGTGGCTCATGCCTGTAATCCTAACACTGTGGGAGGCTGAGATGGGGGGATTGTTTAAACCCAGGAGTTTGAGACCAGCCTAGGCAACAAAGCGAGATTGCATCTCTATAAAAAAGAAATTTTTAATTAGGCAGGTGTGGTGGTGCACCCCTGTGTTCCCAGCTACTTGGGAGGCTGGGGTGGGAGGATCAGTGGAGCCCAGGAGTTCAAGGCTGCATTGAGCTGAGATCACACCACTGCACTTCAGCCTGGGTGACAAAGTGAGACCCTATCTCAAAACAACAGCAACAACAACGAAACAGCTGTCTCCTTTGACCCTACATCCCTCCATTTCTCTGCTTCCTTGTACAGGAAAATCCATGCATGTGGTCTCCAATTACTCTCCTGTTTTCTCTTCTCTTAATCCTCCTCCTCTCAGGCTACCTTACCCATGCTTCTGCCATCACAATTCCACCAAAATGGCCCTTTATGTATCTAATGACCTCTGCCTTTCTAGATCTGGCTTGGTGAGCCCTTCAGCTGCCTTTGACACTGGATTCTCCCTTGAGAACGTTGTTCAGGTGGCTTCCAATTGCTCTTCCTTTGATCTTGCTGTTTATTCCTCCCTTTCCACCGCTAAGTGTTCATGTCTCTGGGATCAGTCTTTAGACAGCTTGTCTTCTCTACTTATTAGGCATTCTCATCTTATTCATCTTAATCTATACTCTGGTGACTCCCAGATAGAATCTTCAAACTGGACCTATCCCCAGACTCATATATCCAACTGCCTGCTTGACTTCTCTATTCTGATGTCTAACAAAGCATATCAAATTTAACATGTTCCAAACCAAACTCCTGACTTTCCCCCAGATCGACATTTCCTATAGTTTTCCCCATTTCAGTGGCAATGCCATCCTCTTCTTCACTCAGACTCCAAGCCATGTTTGGCTCCCTTACTCTTACCCATATCTAATCTGTCGAGAAATCCTGTTCTATCTTCAAGATATATCCACAGTCTGATTCCTCCATTAAAGTCTCTCTTACACAGATTGTTAAATCCTCCTAACTCATCTCCCAGCTTCCATTTGTGTGCCAATGGAAGGTACACAGAGGTTCTCATTTGGATAGAGAAGCCAGATTAATTCTTTTTTTTTTTTTTTTTTTTTTTTTGAGACGGAGTCTCGCTCTGTCGCCCAGGCCGGATTGCGGACTGCAGTGGCGCAATCTCGGCTCACTGCAAGCTCCGCTTCCCGGGTTCACGCCATTCTCCTGCCTCAGCCTCCCGAGTAGCTGGGACTACAGGCGCCCGCCACCGCGCCCGGCTAATTTTTTGTATTTTTAGTAGAGACGGGGTTTCACCTTGTTAGCCAGGATGGTCTCGATCTCCTGACCTCATGATCCACCCGCCTCGGCCTCCCAAAGTGCTGGGATTACAGGCGTGAGCCACCGCGCCCGGCCCAGATTAATTCTTTAAAAAAGTATGTCAAGTTGCAGCACTCAGAACTGATGAGCTCTTCTTGGAGTAAAACCAAGCCTTTAATAATGGCCTCTGATGGGCAGATGACTTGAGTTCAGGAGTTCAAGACCAGCCTGGGCAACTTGGTAAAACTCCCAGCCAGGTGCGGCGGGCCTGTGGTCCGAGCTACTTGGGAGGCTGAGGTGGGAGGATTGCTTGAGCCTGGCAGGTGGAGGTTACAGTCAGCCAAAATTGCGCCGCTGCACTCCAGCCTGGGTGAAAGAGTGAGACCCCATCTCAAAAAAAAAAAAAAAAAAAAAAAAAAAAAAAAAAAAAAGGGCCTCTGAGACCCCTGTGATCTGAGATGCCCCCAGTCTGACTTCATCTCCCATCCCTCTCCTCTGGCTCATGGCTGCAGCCCACTGGTGGCTTCCCTCAGCCTTGCGCATGTCAAGCACTTGCCCATCAGTCAGGTGCTGCTCCCTCTGCCTGAAAAGTTCTTCTCCCCAGATCTCTACAGACTTCCTCTCTCCCTCTCTTCAGGTTTCTGCTCACAGGTCACCTGGCCAGGGATGCCCTCCCTGACCACCCTGAATGCAACAGCAACACCGACCCTGCCTGTGCAGTGGACACTATACTGCTCTTACCCTTCCTGGTTATTTGTTACTGCTCACCTGGTTACTGCTTACCACATTTGGTTATTTGGTATCCCTTCCCATGAGGGGAGGGATTTTGTTTTGTTCACTGCGACATCCCCAGAAGCTACAACAGTACCTGGCATAAGGTAGGTACTCAATAAATATTCACTGAGTGAATGACGGTCAGGACAAGGTAGAGATATGGACCTATTATTCCACACTGTCCTGAAGCACCTTGCCATACAGTTGGACAAGATATCAATAAGATCAGAGAGACAAGGGGCCAGGCATGGTGGCTCACGCCTGTAATCCCAGCACTTTGGGAGGCTGCGGTGGGCGGATCACGAGGTCAGGAGATCAAGACCATCCTGGCTAACACGGTGAAACTCCATCTCTATTAAAATTACAAAAAATTAGCTGGGCGAGGTGGTGGGCACCTGTAGTCCCAGCTACTTGGGAGGCTGAGGCAGGAGAATGGCATGAATCCGGGAGGTGGAGCTTGCAGTGAGCCGAGATCACGCCACTGCACTCTAGCCTGGGCAACAGAGCAAGACTCTCTCTCAAAAAAAAAAAAAAAAAAAAATCAGAGAGACAAAATTGGCATTCTTAGCAAACAATATAATCATTTATGATGCAAATCCAAGAGAACCATGTTGGATTCTCTTGGTTGCCGGACACAAGATCAACATACAAGGATTAAACATTTCTACCTACTAGCTGTGACTAATTAGACTATGCATTTTTTTTTTTTTTTTTGAGACAGGGTCTCCCTCTGTCGCCCAGGCTGGAGCGCGGTGGCATGATCTCGGCTCACCGCAACCTCCACCTCCCGGGTTCAAGTGATTCTCCTGCCTCAGCCTCAGAAGTAGCCGAGATTACAGGTGCCCACGATGACACCCAGCTGATTTTTGTATTTTTAGTAGAGATGGGGTTTCACCATGTTGGCCAGGCTGGTCTCGAGCTCCTGACCTCAAATGATCTGCCTACCTCGGCCTTCCAAAGTGCTGGGATTATAGGAGTGAGCCACTGCACCCGGCCGCAAATATTTTTTAAATGATCAATTTCACAAAACTCAACAAAAACTACTAGAAAGTACTAAGGAATAAATCTAATAAAAATATGCAGGAGGCCAGGTGCAGTGGCTCATGGGTGTAATCCCAGCACTTTGGGAGGCTAAAGCAGGAGGACTGCTTGAGCCCAGGAGTTCAAGACCAGCCTGGACAACATAGTGAGACCCCATCTCTACAAAAAAATCTCAAAGTTAGCTGAGCATGGTGGTACACACCTGTAGCCTCAGCTACTTGGAAAGCTGAGGCAGGAGGATCACCTGAGCCCAGGAGGCTGAGGCTGTAATGAGCCAAGATCATGCCATTGTGCTCCAGCCTCAGTGACAGAGTGAGACCTTTTCTCAAAAAATTAAATTAAATGAAAATTAAAATATGAAAGACCTTCATAGAGAAATTACTCAAACTTGGATAGAAGGATATAATAGGATTCTTGAATAAATGGAGTGATAAAGTTGACTTATAGTTGAGAAGATTCAATATTTTAGTTATCAGTTCTTCCCCAATTAATCTATAAGCTTACTCTACTTCCAGTTTTCATCCCAACAGAATTTTTCTGAGGAACTTGATATACAAATTCTATAATTTATATTGGAAGAATGAAGATACAAGAATAGTTTTTCTTTCTGCACAAAAAGGATAAAGAAGGAGCACTCACCAGATACCAAGGCGTGCTACAAAGCCATGGTAATTGAAAGTTATATTAATACAGCTGGGCACGGTGGCTCACTCCTGTAATCCCAGCACTTTGGGAGGCCGAGGTGGGTGGATCACTTGAGGTCAGGAATTCCAAACCAGCCTGGCCAACATGGTGAAACCCCATCTCTACTAGAAATACAAAAATTAGCCAGGTGTCAGCTGGGCGCAGTGGCTCACACCTGTAATCCTAGGACTTTGGGAGGCCGAGGCAGGCGGATCACTTGAGGTCAGGAATTCCAAACCAGCCTGGCCAACACGGTGAAACCCCATCTCTAGTAGAAATACAAAAATTAGCCAGGAGTCAGCCAGGCTCAGTGGCTCTCACCTGTAATCCCAGCACTTTGGGAGGCCGAGGCAGGTGGGTCAGCTGAGGTCAGGAGTTTGAGACCAGCTTGGCCAACATGGCGAAACCTCATTTCTACTAAAAATACAAAAAATTAGCCAGGTGTGGTTGCATGCACCTGTAGTCCCAGCTACTCAGGAGGCTGAGGCAGGAGAATCGCTTGAACCCGGGAAGCAGAGGTTGCAGTGAGCTGAGATCATGCCACTGCACTTCAGATGGGGTGCCAGAGTGAGACTCGCCAAAAAAATAAAATTAAATAACAAATAAATGAAAATAGTTGTATTAACATAGAAGCAGCCAAAAGAGGAACAGAACAGAGCCCAGAAACATACCCCTGCGTAAGTATGGAATCTGCATCACTAAACACTGAAGAAAGAAAGAGACTTCAGGCCAGGCGCGGTGGCTCATGCCTGTAATCCCAGCACTTTGGGAGGCTGAGGCAGGCGGATCACTTGAGGTCAGGAGTTCGAGACCAGCCTGACCAACACTAAAAATACAAAATTAGTGGGGCGTGGTGGCGCATGCCTGTAATCCCAGCTGCTCAGGAGGCTGGGACAAGAGAATCGCTTGAACCCGGGAGGCAGAGGTTGCAGTGATCTGAGATCACGCTATTGCACTCCAGCCTGGGCAACAAGAGCAAAACTCTGTCTCAAAAAAAAAAAAAGACAAGCAATAATGTGGCAGAAAATATTCGTCATATTATAATAGGCACAGTGTAACTATCCATATATATAAAGAACTACAAATTGATTTTTAAAGTACTTTTTGTTTTTTTGAGACAGGGTCTCACTCTGTTGTCCAGGCTGCAGTGCAGTGGCACAATCATACCTCACTATAGCCTTACTCTCCCACACTCGAGCAATCCTCTCACCTTAGTCTCCTGAGTAACTGGGACTACAGGTGTACACCACAATGCTCAGCTAATTTATTATTATTATTATTTATTTATTTTTTGAGATGGAGTCTAGCTCTGTCACCCAGGCTGGAGTACAGTGGTGTGATCTCGGCTCAGTGCAACCTCTGCCTCCTGGGTTCAAGCGATTCTCCTGCCTCAGCCTCCCGAGTAGCTGGGATTACAGGCGCCTGCCACCACGCCCGGCTAATTTTTGTATTTTCAGTAGAGACGGGGTTTCACTGTGTTGGCCAGGCTGGTCTCAAACTCCTGATCTCAGGTGATCCTCCCGCCTCGGCCTCCCAAAGTGCTGGGATTATAAGCATGAGCCACTGCGCCTGGCCAATTGTTTATTTTTAAATTTTCATTTGTAGTAGACATGAGGTCTCACTACGTTGTCCAGGCTAGTTTTGAACTCCTGAACTCAAGCAATCTTCCCACGTCAGCCTCCCAAAGTGCTGGGATTAAAGGCATGAGCCACCATGCCCAGACAATTTGAAAAATACTGAGAATCCAATAGAAGAATGAATAGAGTATACAAGTAATTCACAGAAGTTTAAATGGCCAATATAAATAAAATTAAAATATGCACAGCTTCTCTAGTAACCAAGTAAATGTGAAATAAATCAACTGGTTTTAATTTTTCACTTACCAAGTAAGTGATTTAAAGTCCAACAAGATCAAGTATCAGTAAGTATACTAGGGAAATGGCAACTTTCAAACACTTGGTGTAAGGATAAACTGATATAACCTCTTTGGAGAGCAATCAGACAGCATTTATTAAAATATGTGTTTCCTCCCATCCAGTGATTCTGTCCAAGGTAAGTACTCCAGAGAAGTTCTCCCACCTCATGGCAGAGAGACATGCACCAGAGTGTTGATGAAACGCTGAAAACACCAAAATGGCCCCAGTGCAGTGGCTCACGCCTATAATCCCAGCACTTTGGGAGGCCAAGGCAGGCGGATCACCTGAGGTCGGGAGTTCAAGACCAGCCTGACCAATATGGAGAAACCTCATCTCTACTAAAAATACAAAAAATTAGCTGGGCGTGGTGGCACATGCCTGTAATCCCAGCTACTTGGGAGGCTGAGGCAGGAGAATTGCTTGAACCCGGGAGGTGGAGGTTGCGGTGAGCCGAGATCGCGCCATTGCACTCCAGACTAGGTAACGAGAGAAACTCCATCTCAAAAAAAAAAAAAAAAAAAAAAAGAACCCTGAAACATCAGTAGGAAAATGGTCAAAGGGAATGTAGTATATGTGTATGAATTTAACAGAAATGAACTAGATCTCTATGTATCAAAGTAGACAGAGTGTTCAAGACATAGCGTTCAATATAAAATTGTTCTTTTTACTGCAGCTTAACAGTGGATGTAACTGCTTCTTTGCTGTGGCAGATTGTATTTTCTGAAGGCCCCAACAGTCTCTCCTGTCCCTCCTCCTCTTCTGAAACCTTGATACTTCCCTATGAAGAGGTAGGGTCTAATACTTCCCTCCTTCAACCTGAAGCCCCGCCTTGGGCTTGTGACTTGCTTGTAACCAGTCAAATACAGTGGAAGAGTTACTACGTGACTTCCAGGGCTAGGTCAGAAAAGGATGCAGCCTCAGGGTTCAACACACACTTGGGCCTGGAGCCACCATGCAAGAAGGCTGCCATGCTGCGAGGGAGCAAAGGCACGTGGAGGGACATACACAGGGGCTGTGGCTGGCAGTCCTGGCCTTTGAGTCATCCTTGTTTAAGTGCCAGGCACACACGTTAACTACCTTTAGGTAATTCCATACCTCAGGTGTCATGTCACCCCAAGCCCTTGAGCCTTCCCATCTGAAGCCCCAGGCTGTATGGAGAAGAAACAAGATGTTCCTGCCACGCTCTTTCTGAACTGCTGACATACAGAATCTGTGACCATAATAAAATGGTTGTTTTGTGCCATTAGGTTTGGCGTGACTTGTTATGCCCTTCCTGCTTCTGTGTCTTTGCTCCCTCCATCTGGAATGCCTTTCCTCTCCCCCAGCCTGTAGATATTCTCTGAGGCCCAGCTACGAATGGTATCTCCTTGGTGGAGTTCCTCACAGATTTAAGAGGGGTGACCTTAAAACTTGTGGCCACGGCTGGGTGTGGTGGCTCACACCTGTAATCCCAGCATTTTGGGAGGGCGAGGTGGGCAGATCACTTGAGGTCAGGAGTTCAAGACCAGCCTGGCCAACATGGTGAAACCCTGTCTCTACTAAAAATACAAAAATTAGCTGGACGTGGTGGCATGTGCCTGTAATCCCAGCTACTCAGGAGGCTGAGGCACGAGAATCACTTGCACCCAGGAGGCGGAGGTTGTGGTGAGCCGAAATTGTACCACTGCACTCCAGCCTGGGCAACAGAGTGCGACTCTGTCTCACAAAAACAAAACAAAACAAAACAAAAAAAAAACAACTTTTGTGCCCACAAGTCAGGGCCTTGAGTGGATGTACAGAATTTAATCAGAGAGCCTTGCAATTTCAATGAAGAGTATCATTCTTAAGAGACAGGAAACATTATTCACAACGGCCAAAAGGTAGATGCAATCCACCTATCCATTGGCAAATGAATAGATACATAAAATGTAGTCTCTACATACAATAGAATATTACTCAGCCTTAACAAGGGAGGGAATTGTGACACATGCTATGGATGAACCTTGAAGACATTATGCAAAGTGAAATACGCCAGTCACAGAAGAACAAATGCTGCATGGTTCCACTTACATGAAGTAGCTAGAATAGTCAAACTCATAGAGACAAAGTAGAGTGGTGGCTGCCAGTGGCTGGGGGTAGGAGGGAATGGGGAGTTAGTGTTTAATGGGTACAGAATTTCAGCTGGGGAAGACAAAACAAGTTCTAGAGATGGACGGTGGTGATGGTTATACAACAGTGTGAATTTAATGCCACAGACTGTAAACTTGGTTGAAATGGTAATTTTCATGTTATATATATTTAACCACAATTCAGAAAAATAAATTATCTGAAAAGAACATTGTCAAGTTTAAAGTTCTTCAGGTTTAGACAAGAGGGCAATGCAAAATTCAGTCAATACAGGCAGCCACCTGGGTGGGTGGGCACTGCTGAGTTCCCTGACCTATGTATTTTGGATAAGGGACATGAGCTATGTGACTCCATCTGTCTGTAAGTTACAGTAACTGATACAGGGCTATGAAAAGGGCCCCCTCTAGAGTTCATGTTCAACTGCAGGAGTTCTGGTGTGGTTATCCAGAAACATCATAAAAGACCTCTTCCCTCCCAGGTAGACAGGAAGGTAATACCAATATCGTTTGGTATGACATAATTTCCTTTGCAGGTAAACATCTTCTTGCTCTAGAAATAACTAGAATTAAGTATAGTAAAGGAAAGTTAAAGGGAATCAAATCCACAGAATCACCCTATTGGCATGAAGCAATCTGTGCACCCTGCCCCAGGCTTACTGTCTCAATCTGTGCTCAATACAGCAGCTACTAGCCACATGTCGTTAGTAAGCACCTGAAATGTTGCTTGTCTGAATTAAGATGTGCTGTAAGAGTAAAATATACACTAAGTTTTAAAGACTTACTATGAAAAGGAATATAAGATATTGCAATAGTTTTATATTGAATATATGGTGAAATACAGCTGACCCTTGAACAACACAGGTTTGCACTGCAAAGATCTACTTATGTATCAATTTTCTTCCCATCTGCCACCCCTGAGACAGCAGGACCAACATTCCTCCTCTTCCCCATTCCTCTTCCTCAGTGTACTCAATGTGGAGACAAGGAGGAAGACCTTTATGACGATCCACTTCTGCTTAATGAACAGTAAGTATATTTTCTCTTCCTTATGATTTTTTCCTTTTGAGACAGGGTCTCACTCTGTCACCCAGGCTGGAGTGCAGTGGCCCAATCTTGGCTCACTGCAGCCTCGACCTCCTGGGCTCAAGTGATCCTCCCCGCTTGTCAGCCTCCCGAATAGCTGGAATGACAGGCACATGCCATCATGCCTGGCTAATTTTTATATTTTCGATAGAGATGGGGGTCTCGCTATGTTGACCAGGCTGGTCTTGAACTCCTGGGCTCAAGAGATCCTCTCGCCTTGGCCTCGAAAAGTGCTGGGATTACAGGCATGAGCCACCACACCCAGCCTAAAACCACTATTCTAAGAAGGGGTCCATAGAAAGCCTACTTAAAACAAGCCCTACCCACACAAAACTGCCAGTCAGCTTCTCAGTGCCTCAACTGTTTATCTTAAATTTTTATTAATATATGCTCATAATTTAAAAAAATAAGTGGAGACACAAGCAACAAAAGGAAAAAATGGACTTCATCAAAACTAAGAACCTTTGTGCGTCAGCCAGGCGTGGTGGCTCATGCTTGTAATCCCAGCACTTTGGGAGGCCAAGGCAGGCAGATCATGAGGTCAGGAGTTCGAGACTACCCTGGCTAGCATGGTGAAACCCCGTCTCTACTAAAAATACAAAAAATTAGCCAGGCATGGTGGCACGCACATGTAATTCCAGCTACTCAGGAGGCTGAGGCAGGAGAATTGCCTGAACCCAGCAGGCGGAGGTTGCAGTGAGCCAAGATCACGTCACGGCACTCCAGTCTGGGCAACAGAGCGAGACTCCGTCTCAAAAAAAAAAAAAAAGAACCTGTGTGCATCAAAAGTCACCAGGAAGAAAGTGAAAAGACAGTCTCCAGAATGGGAGAAAGTATCTGCAAATCATATATATGATGAGGGTCTAGCACCCATAATATATAAAGGACTTACAACTCAGTAACAAAAAGACAAACCACCCAATTAAAAAATGGGCGAAGGCCTTAGCCATTTCTTCCAAGAAGACATAAAAATGACCAACAGACACATGAAAAGATGCTCAATATCATAAGGGAAATACAAATCAAAATGACAATGAGATATTACTTCATCTACTTCATGGCCGTTAGGATGGCTAGAATTTTTTTAAAAGACAGAAGATAACAGGTGTTGGTGAAGATGTGGAGAAACTGGAACCTTCGTGCTTTGCTGGTAGGAATGTAAAATGGTATAGCTTCTATGGAAAGCAGTTCAGCCATTCCTCAAAAAGTTAAACATAGCGTTACCAGATAACTTAGCAATTTCACTCCCCAAAGAATTAAAAACAGGTACTCAAACACGCCAGTCTTCATAGCTGCATTACTCACAATAGCCAAAAGGTGGAAACAACCCAAGTGCCCAGCAACAGATGAACAAAATGTGGTATATATTGTACACATAATGGAATACTAGTCAGCCATAAAAATGAAAATGCTGTAACATGGATGAACCTTCAAAACATGCCAAACACAAAAGGACGAGGAAAATTCGCAGACACAGCAAGTAGAGGATACCAGCGGCTAGGCAGAGGGGATAATGGGGAATTACTGTTTAATAGGTAGATTCTATGTTTTAGATGAAAGTTTTGGAAATAGATGGTTGTGATGGTAGTGCAATATTGTGAATATAATTAATGCCACTGAATTGCACACTTAAAAACAGTTAAAAGGTAAACTTTATGTTATATATATTTTACAACAAAAAAAGGAAAACAAAAATCGAAGTTTGACCTAGCATTTCTACTCCAAAAGAAATGAATATACATCCATAAAAAACTTGTACATGAATATTCTAGCAGTATTATTCATAATAGCCAAAAAGTACAAACAACCCAAATGTCCATCAACAGAAGAATGGATAAATAAAATGTAGTGTGAAATGAAATATTATTCAGCAACAAAACGGAATGAAATACTGGCATATGCTACAACATGGATGAACCTCAAAAACATGCCAAGTGAAAGCCAGACACAAAAGGCCAAATATGGGGCCGGGTGCAGTGGCTCACGCCTGTAATCCCAGCACTTTGCACTTTGGGAGGCTGAGGTGGGCGGATCATGAGGTCAGGAGATTGAGACCATCCAGGCTAATATGGTGAAACCCCGTCTCTACCAAAAATACAAAAAATTACCCGGGCGTGGTTGGCAGGCGCCTGTAGTTCCAGCTACTGGGGAGGCTGAGGCAGGAGAATGGCGTGAACCTAGGAGGCGGAGCTTGCAGTGAGCCAAGATCGCGCCACTGCACTCCAGCCTGGAAGACAGAGCGAGACTCCGTCTCAAAAAAAAAAAAAAAAAAAAAAAAAAGGCCATATATGGTATGATTCTGTTTATATGAAATGTCCAGAATAGGCAAATCCAGAGACAGAAAGATTAGAGGTTGCCTAAGGCTGTGGGAGCGGCTCCTAATGAGCAGAGAGCATCTTTTTGGGGCAATGAACATGTTCTTAAAATAAACAGTAGTGATGGTTGCACCACACTGTGAATACACTAAGTGCCATTGTGAGTTTACTAAATGTGTACTTTAAAAGGGTGAATTTTGTGGTATGTGAATTATATCTCAGTAAAGCCATCACAGGGCAGAAGAAAAAGAGAAAAGAAAAAGAAAACCTTCGAGGAAGTCCAACAAAAAACATGAGGAAGAAAAGGTGAGAGCCTGAGGATCCACACAGCAGGTACAGCAACTAACTGACAGAAATTCTAGAGCCAGACAACAGAACAAATAGAAGTGAGAAAATTACTTTTAAAAATTAATACAAGGTGGCCAGGCATGGTGGCTCATGCCTGTAATCTCAGCATTCTGGGAAGCCAAGCCGGGCGGATTATCTGAGGTCAGGAGTTTGAGACCAGCCTGGCCAACACAGTGAAACCCCATCTCTACTAAAAATACAAAAAATTAGCTGGGCATGGTGGCACACACCTGTAATCCCAGCTACTCGGGAGGCTGAGGCAGGAGAATCACTTGAACCCAGGAGGTGGAGGTTGCAGTGAGCTGAGATCACACCACTGCACTCCAGCCTGGGCGACAGAGCAAGACTGTCTCAAAAAAATAAAAATAAAAAAAATGATGGTGCCTTTAAGATTCTGAGGGAAAATTATTTTTAACTTCATTTTTATATTTATATAGAAATTGTTGTCCGGGTGTGGTGGCTCACGTCTGTAATCCCAGCACTTTGGGAGGCCAACCCAAGAGGATGGCTTGAGCCCAGGAGTTTGAGACCAGCCTAGGCAACGCAGGGAGACCTTGTCCCTACAAAAAAATTTAAAAATTAGCTGGGCATGGTGGCACTCTGTGGTAGTCCTTTGCTACTCAGGAAGCTGAGGTGAGAGGATTACTTCGGCCCAGGAGTTTGAGGCTGCAGTGAGCTATGCTTATGCCACTGCACTTCCAACCTGGATGACAGAGTGAGGCCATGTCTCTTAAAAAATTTTTTTAAAATTTAGCAAATGGAGTGTATTTTTTAAATGTGGCAACAGGGCAAACAATTCGTTTTAGGAAAAACAAAATGTAAAAAGAAGAAAACGCAATAATAATATACTGTTAGGCTCTGCAATAAACAATATTTACATACTCATAGTAAACAGAAACACTGATTACTATTTATCATAAACTGTGATGTACACAGAGGGTGGGAGAAAGGGAGACAGAGGTTGTGTGAGAGCTAAACACTCATCTATGCCAATGGTAACAGGAAATTAATAGAAATGATGATTAATTTTAAAGAGGAAATATAATCAGTCACATTTTTTAAAAGATATATGAAGACAAATACCAGAATATACAGCTAGTAAAAACTGAAAGTGGGGAAAGGCCCAGGTAGGGCGGTGGGCTGGATGTTTTCTCTTAGAAGCCTTTTAATGCTCTCTGATCCTTGTCTCTGTTTTGATTTTTTAAAATACTATTATTGTAAAAAGTTACTAGGTACTTTCCTCACAACAGTTCCCCTGCACTAGTGGGTGTGACATCAAAGCGGGGAACTGGCCTAGAGGACAGTGAAAACAATGACTCTGATGAGTCTTCTGCATCATCAAAGGCTGCTGTCCTCAGGGCCCCCTCCATCATGTATGGGATGTGTGTCAAACCATTTGGACACTCTGAAGACCTGTCCTTCCTGAGTGTGGAGGAGTAGCTCAATGGGAACCAGAGCCACAGGTGAACCAGGTGGGTGCAGGTCAACAGCCTGGAGCTTCCCAGGACCTGCCTTCCACCACCCAACCCCCCTCCAACCACCTGTGAATCTAGGCTCCCTACACGTGTCTAGCACTTTCTTGAACTAATTTCTCAAGGGAATTTTTGGAAATTGGCATGATATAGGTAGAAACTTAAGTAGAAAATAAAAGCATAACTTCTTCACACCCTATTGAGACCCAGTTGGATCCCTGGTGCTTGGCACACAGGAAGCACTCAGTAAGAAGCTGTTGGCTGAGTGTGGTGGCTCACGCCTGTAATCCCAGCACTCTGGGAGGCAGAGGCAGGTGGATCACCTGAGGTCAGGAGTTCGAGACCAGCCTGGCCAACATGGTGAAACCCCGTCTCTACTAAAAATACAAAAATCAGCCAGGTGTGGTGGCACGTGCCTGTAGTCCCAGCTACTCAGGAGGCTGAGGCAGGAGAATTGCTTGAACTTGGGAGGCAGAGGTTTACAGTGAGCTGATATCGAGCCACTGCACTCCAGCCTGGGTGATGGAGCAAGACTCCGTCTCAAAAAAAAAAAAAAAAAAGTTGTTGAAGGCATAATTAGGCTCCCACTTTTCTCTGTGTCTGACAGGTCATCAGGCCCTTCACATGCACGACCACATTCAATCCTTACAACATGCTCATATAGTGAGCAGAGGATTAGCTCCATTTTACAGATGAGGAAATGGGGGCTCGGAGTAACCTGACCAAGGTTACTTCACTAGTAAGGGAGGAGCTGGGATTCAAACCCAGGTGTGGGTGGCCTCACAGCCTGCACAACAAACAGCTATCACCAGCAACCCTTTCTGGAAAGAGGTTTGGTTAAATAGGTGGATGGATGGAAGAATGCGAAGAAAGTAAGAAGGGAGCTCAAAAACTAGCCCAAGAAGAGAACCTAAGAGACCCCCACTCAGAAGTTCGGAAGCTGCTGGCCACCAGCTGAAACCAGCTGCCAACACCTTCTACCCTTGCCCAAGGACCATCCATGTGGCACCCACCTTCTTCAGAGAGGTTGTTCTCTTTGGTCTCCTTGTCCATCTGGCAGCACCAGCCTTCCAGCCGCTCTGTTTCTGCCTGCAGTAGCTTTAGGAACCAGTAGCCGTCTCGGCGGCAGGCCCCTGGCTGTGCCGGCTCTGCTGGGGAGCTGGAGGAGGTCTCGAGCCAGGGGTCGGGTGGGGGCAGCGAGGACGCCTCTAGGGCAGGGTCGCTGTTGTCTCCATAGGAGAGGTTGCGCTTGATCTGGGCAATCTTGGGGGCCTGCCGGGGACCGGCATCGATGCTGATGGAGTTGGGGTGAGGGGTACAGTCCGGGAGGCTCCTCTCAGATGACTTACAGCTTGAGTCATTGGCATCCTGGGTATCCGAGTCTGTGTCCCGTCGGGAGGACATACTGTGAGAGGGGACGCTGCTTCTGTGGGTAGGGGGTGGATGGGGTGGGGACAGGAAGGAGTGAGTCACCAAGAGGGCCAGAGACCAGAGGCCGCCTTGACCCGGACACACGGGAGACAGAGAAACGGATGCATCATCTGCTCACCATGCGCCTGAAGCGGGTCCCACAGCCCCCATCTCATTCTTGGCTCAGCCCTTGCCCCATCCCGCCCAAGCCCACACGCACACACACACGAGGACAAGGTCATAAGGTTGCCTGTTTACTGCAGTGGGGCCAGGAAGACCACCAGCATCAGGGCAGCTGACGCCATGTCCTGGCCCAGCCATGGCCCCCGTGGGTGACTGGTCTCACAGAGCAAATGCTCATCTGTCCACCCGCCCGCCCCTGCCCAGCCTCCCATGCCTGGGCCACCACCCGCAACCCAAACCCAGCTTGGTTATTAGAAATCCAGCAAGGAGAAGTGGGTTAGGGAGAGCAGGAGAGGTGAGAGCGGAGGGAGGGAGAGGAGAGGGGAGAAGCAGCCGCCACCTCTGTCCGACTTACCGCCAGTCGTCCTCTACCTGAACCCCGATGGACTGGAATTTGGTAGCGGGACTGGGCTCCTCTTTTGGCACTGGCTGAATGCAGTCAACCTTATTGAAGGACAACGACAGCAACGGCACGGAGACAAAGACAAAAATAAAAAACAAACACCACACTTGCTGCTGAAATTCACATTAGTGGGACGACGCAAACGGACGTGTGGACAGACAGACACGAGGCATGCGGACACTGCACGTGGGCCCGAGGCCGGACCAGGTTAAGCCGGGCACTGCTCATTCGCGTGGAGGCGGGCAGGCGGGCGGGCGGGCAGGTGGGCGGGAGGTGGGATGGGGTGGAGATGACTGGCTTTCCCTACTCTGAGGAGGGTGCCATCACATCGATCGCTTTGGGTCCGTTGTCCTCCGAGAGGTGGGAACCGTTCCTTCTAGTCCTCTCCTTCACACGCATCAGAGAGAAAAAAAAAAAAGGACGACGAAAGAGAAAGAAAACACACACACACACACAAAGCCACAGCCGTTATCTGGTGTAGTTGAAGCTGGCGGCTGTCTTGAGGCAAAGATCACTCCCTGAACCCTGTGGCAGAAACCTGGAGGGCAGGCCAGAGGCGCCTGCACTAAGGGCAAACCCTGGACGGCAGTTCTAGATTCAGAAACTGCCACCCACAGGAGCCACCGAAGTCCCTGGACGTTATTCACACTTGGCTGAGGTTACCTTTAGCACTGGGTGGCCCTGGGGAGCAGTAGGAAGGACTGGGGTCAGGGCCAAGTGGAAAGCTGTCACTCCCTCCACTCCTGTGAAGTGGAACAGGACAACAGTGATGCCCTGCGCCTGCCTTTCTTCTCTGGGACAAAGGTCCCGGGCCATGGGGCAGCCAGGCCAGCTTTCCTATCATCACTCAAGAATGAGGGAGAAACCCACACTCAATCTAGGGCATGAGGCACCAAGGGTTCAGGGCATCCTCAGAAACTGGGGACTCTTCAGTCTCTTGGCCTTGTGGAGAGAAGTAGGGGCCAGGGAAGCTTTCTGGGACAGGGATGCAGCCACATTTCCCCTCGGCAAAAGCCGGCTCAAGGAATGCAGCACCACTGGATCTCCAAGGAGCTGCAATGAGACCAAGAATGGGGCTGGGGTGAATCCAGGGAATGGGACGCCCAGGACAGGCCTAAGAGAGTCCTTATCCCGGTGTCATTTTCTGGGTGAAAGGAATCAAGGGTAGTCCTAACTCTTAGGCTTTCCGGGAAGATAAGAGCGTCTGGTTTGGCCAGCAAGAGGGTGGGGCTGCCCAAAGATATGGGTGGTCAGGACCAAGGGTTGAAGATCAGGCTACTCTCTGTGTTTCTGAGAATCCCACCTGTGCAGCGCAGGGACTGGACACTTAAGAAGCCCAGAAAACAGCAGCAGAGTCTCCTGGCCAACTCTCTCTCTGTTTATACATGGGGAAGTGGAAGCCTAGAGCTGCCTCTTGGAGGAAACAAATACAGGCAACTGCAAGAAATTGCTCAGTGAGCCTTCTCTGTTC
This sequence comes from Homo sapiens, assembly GCF_000001405.40. Taxonomy (NCBI): domain Eukaryota; kingdom Metazoa; phylum Chordata; class Mammalia; order Primates; family Hominidae; genus Homo; species Homo sapiens. The sequence continues at coordinate 36,498,157 of NC_000020.11, read as the reverse complement.
CATTCAAGCTCCACTTTGTGTCCCACGCTCCTGCATTCCAGTGCTTTGTTATCAGCTGGGCCACATCCAATTGCTCAGGGGTGGCTGGAGGAGTCCCTTGCAGCCTGTGCCACAACACACAATGCCTCGTCCTCCCTGACTCAACCCCTGGGCTTGGGGGGGCCCTGTCTCCCCTCTCGCCCTCACCCACTGTAGCTGCCCCTCCCTCATGGCTCTGAACGTGCCCTAGTTTGGTCTGCAGGTCCAGCCAGGGCAGGGAGAGTCCACTCAATCTGGATTTAGAGAAACTCTTAAAAACTACAAGGCAGGGCCCAAGTTTCCCCAGCTCAGCAAACAAGACAGATTATTGACATCGGGTGCATGCAGGAGTGCAATGAAGCAGTGGAGGGGAAGCTGGCACACCTGCCCTGCTGTGTGCCATGACTATGGAGGGCCTGCTGACTTTGGCCACCTAACCCTGGGGAACCATCGCCTGGACCCTATCCCATGGAGGGAGGCAGTGAGACCGGCATCACCCTTCTCAATGACATGGGCCTGGTACCTCAAGCCACCTACCTGTCCCCAAGGCCCGAGAGGGCTCTGGGCAAAGTTCCCCTCGAGCAACCCCCATGGCTCAAGGGCCCTGGGTCCTGGGCCCCTGGCCCAACAGCGTCTATGCTCCATGCTGCTCCTGCCGCCAAGCGGGGCTATGGCCTCCGCACCCGAGCTGACCTTGGATTAGAGAACTGTTAGGCCAGTCCCGCCTCCCACGGGTCAGCTGGCAGGGCAAAGGGTGGAGTGGACAGACAGACAGTGGACAGGCAAACAGTGGACAGGAGATGGCTGGCTGAGTGTAACTACATTCACTGGGACAACCCACTGGAGGAGCAGAAACACATGCCCACAGCTGCTGACCAGCAGCACGTGTGGACAGATACCAGCGAGGCGTGGCTATGGGTGGAATTCGGTTTGGCCACTTGGGGCTGATCCCCCAAAATAGAGAGACAAACCACCTTTTCCCAGGAGACCTAGTGGGCCTCTACCAGATGTAATTACACACAGGCAGGTGCACGGAGTGGGCTGAGGACACAGAGTGCAAAAGGAGCCCCTACTTGTATTCCTATCGATGACAGTTTCCTTTTGGGGGCGGCCTCGGGGTGGGACTCAGAGCTGGTCAGCGTCCCTTGTTCACTTTTCAGAGCTGCATGTTTTGGGGGTGGCTCTGGGGCCTCAGGGGCTGGGGCGACTCCACCCCGTGTCACGCTGGGCGGTCGGGTACTGCTGTCCAGGCTGTCCGACGAGTTGCTCAGGCCCGACTGGCTAGTCACCTCGCTCTTGTGGTCCTGGCTGTCCAGGTAGGTGTCCTGGGCAGACTCAGTACTGCTCTGGACTGTGACTGAGATGAACGGCTTTGAAGTGGTGCGTGGAGGGACCGGTGGCGGGGTCTTCTTATACGCCACTAGGCATGATGAACCTGCAGATGGATGAGAGAAGGGCAGGGGAGAGGTGAGATGGTGAAGCCCCCAACCCTCTCAAGCCCCTTCCAATGCAGAAGCCCTGCCTGACTTGGCCCTAGCTCTGGGCTTAGCCATTCCGTCCGCAAGGATTTCTGGAGCAGGGAGAACGAGGGTCAAGACTGCAATGACCAAGACAGACACACACAGGCCCTACCCACCCTCATTCGAGACAAAGTCTTGAGGGGATGCCACCACTGGCCAAAGATATCCCCCACATCAGTCACACACAAACCTTATTATCCAGCAGGGGCATGTACTAGGTGAAGTGCGTGGGGCCACGAGGCTGTGACAGACCCTGACCCGTGCCGTGGGGAGGTGGTGACAACAGAGCAGATGCCAAAACAGCTAAGGAATGGTTAACCTTGCTATCTTCAAGGTCACTGAGAGACTCAGTGCTCCCCCTGGTCTTTTCCTTCCACACCACCTTCCCTCTCCCCTATTCCCTCTGCTTGGATGCCCCCTCTCCACCTGGTCAAAAATGAACACATCTGGCCGGGCGCAGTGGCTCACGCCTGTAGTCCCAGCATTTTGGGAGGCTGAAGTGGGCAGATCACCTGAGGTCAGGAGTTCGAGACCAGCCTGACCAACATGGAGAAACCTCATCTCTACTAAAAATACAAAATTAGCTGGGCGTGGTGGCGCATGCCTGTAATCCCAGCTACTCGGAAGGCTGAGGCAGGAGAACTGCTTGAACCTGGGAGGTGGAGGTTGCAGTGAGCCGAGGTTGCACCATTGCACTCCAGCCTGGGGAACAAAAGCAAAACTCCATCTCAAAACAAACAAACAAACAAACACATGAACAAACAAAAAAACACACATCCTTCAGGGTCCAGCTAACCCCTTTCCCTATCTTGCCATTCCCACCCCAACACTTTCTCGTTATGTGAAACCCGTACAGTGGTCTGCCTCCCTGTTCTCCACTGGTCCAACTCCCTGTTCTCCACTTTCTCCACTGAGATTCCCAGAGCCAGGACCTGCCATGGGTAGGAACCTGAACCATCTCTGAATCTCACCCTGACCCCAGCCAGGGGCTGACCCACAGCAGGAGCCCAGAACACCAAAGGCCCACTGCTTGCTTCTCAGACGATGAGAACTCTGTTGGCAATAGAAAGTGCTTTTCCAACAGTAGCTGTTTGCTGGGAGGGTGACGTTGGATCTAGTGCCTTTCTCAGCACCTTAACTCCAACTGCCTGTTGCCCTGTGAGGACTGAAACAAGCCCCTACCCTGGTCTGGGCCCATGAGCCAGATAAACTGTGCCTTCAAGGGGCTACAATCATGGTGATGGTGATAGCCCAGAGGCAACTCACAAAACAAGGCCCAGTATCACAGGAGCTGTGGACAAAGGACTGTAGAAACCATCCATCTGCCACTATGAGATACCATCACATAACCTATCAGAATGGCTAAAAAGTGACAACATCAAATGCTATTGAGAATGTGGAGAAAAAGTGATACTACTGTCATGGAAAATACATTGGCATTTTCTTATAAAAATAAAACATGCAGCTGGGCATGGTGGTACACGCCTGTAATCCTAGCTATCAGGAGGCTGAGGCAGGAGAATTGCTTAAACTTGGGAGGCGGAGGTTGCAGTGAGCCAAGATTACGCCACTGCACTCCAGCCTAGGCAATAAGAGCGAAATTCCGTCTCAAAAAAAAAAAAAAAAAAAAAAAAACCGAACAAAAAAAAAAAACCACTTTTTTACTTTTGGTAGAGATGAGGTCTCACTATGTTGCCAGGTTAGTCTCGAACTCCTGGACTCAAGGGATCCTCCTGCCTCAGTCTCCCAAAATGCTGGGATTATAGGTGTGAGCCACTGTGCCTGGCCTATAACATTCTTGAAATGACCTAGAGAACAGATTAGTAGTTGCTAGGGCAGAGGTGGTCACTAGGGAGAGGGTGAAGGGGAGGGCAAGGAGGGAAGTAGGTGTGGCTATAAAAAGGTAACAAGAGGGACCCTTGTATGAAGTGATGGAATAGTCCTGTATTGAGTGTGGGGATGGTTACATGAATGTATGCATGTGATAAAACTGCATAGCACTAACACACACACAAGTGGAACTGGGGAAATCTGAATAAGATGGGTGGATTGTATCTGTCGATATTCTGGATGTGAGAATGTATTAGTTTTGCAAGGTCTTACTATTGAGGGAAATCGAGTAAGGGGTATGAAGAATCCCTTTGTATTATTTTTTACAACTGCATGTGAATCTACAATTATCTAAAAATAAAATTTAATTTAAAATAATCCATCTGTTCATCCAATAGACATCTATGAAACCAAGGCCTTCTAGTGGATTCCAGAAAAGCCAGGAGCCCTCATCAGCAGAGAAACAGCTCTGCAGTGAGTTCTTTGAAAGTAACACATGCCACGATGTTAAGCCCAGGGAACTGGATGCTGTGCCTTGTGCCCAGCCTAGTCCAGAGGCCACAAAGTGCTCTGAGTTCCAAGCCAGGAGCACTCACTTCCTACTCGTCTGTTTGAAATGTCCCAGTCCTGCTCAGGCCTTGAGAAAACTCAGAGATCCCCCAGACAGACACCTGCATCTCTGGTTACCAACCTAAGAGCAGTGTACAGGCAGAAGGACAGCTACCTCTCTGGGCCAGAAGAAAGGCAGCAGGGAGGCAGGAGGCAGGGCTCAGGTCAAAAGAAGAATGGCTCTCCAACACATCATCCTGAGAGAGGAGGGACACGCCTGCTCAGCGAAGAGGAGCAACTGCGTTCAGCTGGCCACAAGGCACAGGCTGCGGGCCAAAAGCTGGGTCATTTACTAAGCTGTGCTCAGCAGCTTTGCGGCTTTCTAACGTAAGCCTCAGAGCCTGTGAGGTGGAGATCGTGACTATGCCCACTTTGCAGGTGGGGCACGTGAAGCTCAGGAAGGTTATACAACTTGCTCAAAGTTGCAGGAGTAAGCAGCAGCCGCATCTGCTCCACGGCACAGCCACCTCACTCTGCTCTCCAGGCCTTGGGCCCCTCCTCGCTGGGCTGGGCTGGGCTGGGCTGCCGGTGTTTGGGGCCTTCACTCATCACCACATCCCTACAGCATCCTGCTGGGCCCTGGGACCAGTCTGCAGGGGCACAACAAACCAAAATCTGACTGTGGGAGTAGAAAGGGCCTCGACGGAGGCAGAGGCCTGGCTTCCAGGCTCCTGCTTGCCCTCTGGGCTTCTCAGAACTCTCCTCTGTTCCGGAAGGGCGGGAGGGATTCTCACTGGGTCACAGCATACTGCATTCACACAGCCCCTGACAAACTCAAAGCACTGCCCCATTCATCTTCTCCCTCAAGGATGGGTGTGGAGCCTCCCATCACTGTGACTGCAGGGAAGATCCCCTCTGCGAATGCCCTCTCCACTGATGTCTGAAATCCTGAAATTCTCTAGTTTCAGAGTCATTTTGGTGGTAAGGGTCCAGAAGCCAGGGGGCAGTGTGGAACCAGACTAGCCTGAGTTCAGGTCCCAGCTCTTGTCACTGACCTGTTGTATGGCCCCAGTTTCCTCCTTGTAAAATGGGTGTGATTACATAGGTTGCATTGCAGAAGCTAAGGCTGGGCCAGGCCTAGGCTTGGCATCACTCCTCATTTCTGGTACAGACACAACTGGGCCTGTGGGTAGGGTGGGGATGGGGGGGCGAGCCAAATTTCTACCACTCCCCAGCCACTGGCAGGGAGTCTGGGCTGGTTCTCTGACTGGCCCAGGGACAGTTTCCACCAAGACCTGGACGTTTGTTTAGAGCAACTCTTGAAATCTATGGCCACCAGCAGAGACAGGACTAACTCACTGAGGATTTCAGGAAAGGAATGGATTTGTTTGACCTAAAGTCCCAAACAAATGGGGTTTTTTGCCCTAGATCAGAAAACGGAAGCCAACCTCAATTTGCTCAAAATGTTTAAGGGAGTATATCTCCCTTAGGAGGGTAGCAGTTAGTATGGGGGAGCAAGAACTGGGCACTAAGCCTAGCTTAGGCTGTGTGACACCAGAGTCCTTGTTCCCATCTGTGGGGTAGGGATGACACTGTCCATGAAGAGTGTGCATGCAGCATTCACGAGGTTCTGGTGGGAAGAGGCACACCTTCTTCCCAATGGAAGACAACAGGACTGCCCACAGTCAGGGTCTGGACAAAGGACTGACCCTCCAGCCTCTCTCTCAGAGCTGCTGGGCCCAGAGTTCTACTAAGCACCCTCAGACGCCCTGAGCCCTGGCCTAGGCAGCCAGTCATCAGAGGGAAAGTAACCCAGCCAGAAAGCAAGTCCAGGCCTGATTCGGTAAGAGGAAAGTGAGCTGATCTTGGATCCTCTGTCTCCTGAGGCACACACAGGCCACAGCCAGATAAGTGGTGTTGTCTAGCATACAAGATTTTGGGGCTTCAGGGGCTCCCTGGGGGACAGGCACCCCTCAGCTCTGAGTATTGCCTCCCTGAAGCAGGGAGATGGGACCTAACCTTGTACAGGAGAGCTCTCATTTCAAATGTGTGAATGCAGGAAATATAGTGAGGAAATACCTCACCCCCACCTCTTCCAATACCTCACCCCGGCCACTTCCTCCCCCGCTGGGGCCTTCACACATACTGTTCTTCTGCCTGGAAGGCTTCCCTCAGCTACCCACAAGTTTCAGAATTTCTTCCTCTGAGAGCCTCCCGACTGCCGTCTCTTCTTCCACCTGGGAATCTCCATCAGAGCACTGACCACATCAGTCCACGGGCTTGGAGGAGTCAACTGACAGCTACAGGCCTGGGGCAATTGAGGGAACTCTGTCCTGACAAATCATGCCACATGCCAGGATTGGGGTTATGCCTCAAGCACAAAGGCTCTCAATAATTTGTTGAAAGAGAAAATAAACCTCATTATCACTACAAAAACCCTCAGTTGCCAAAAACCCAGATTATTTGGCCATATAGCAAAGGCTCCCAACACTTTAGTATCCAAGGTTCTAGGGCTCCTCCCAAACCTGAGCCCTTTTTGCTTGGTCCCTGCCCATCCATCTCAGCAGCTTCATCTCATGCCCCTCCCACCCCCTCAGCATACCCCTTCCAGCTTCAGAGAACCAAATGCACAGTGCACCATTCCCAAACACGGCACACCTCCGTGCATCCAAGCCTTTACACATGCATGGGTTTCTGCTGGAGCCCCCTTCCCCTGTTCTCCATGCTTCCTGCCAGCCCCTAAACCACAGCACGTGAAACCACCCATCCCCATGGGCTGCATGCTTGCTTCTCCTGACCCCCTCTCAGCCATGCAGGTCCCTCATGCCACAGCCCAGACACAAGCCAGTTGTGCGATGCATCCTCCGTGCAGCCTGCTCCCAGCCCCAGGTATCTAGCCCAGCCTCCCTACCTCGCAGCACCTAAGTCCTTGCTTCTTCTAGAGAAGCTTCCTTTATCTCATTATTTCTGTCTTCTACCCCAAGATTTTATCCTCCAAACTGTATTTATCAGGTCAGAATGAATTTGTTTCTGCATTTTTTTTTTTTTTGAGACAGAGTCTTGTTCTGTCGCCCAGGCTGGAGTGCAGTGGTGCGATCTTGGCTCACTGCATCCTCCACTTCCCAGGCCTCAGCCTCCTGAGTAGCTGGGATTACAGGCATGCACCACCATGCCTGGCTAATTTTTGTATTTTTTTTTTTTTTTTTTTTTAGTAGAGATGGGGTTTCACCATGTTGGTCAGGCTGGTCTTGAACTCTTGACCTCGTGATCCGCCCACCTTGGCCTCCCAAAGTGCTGGGATTACAGGCGTGAGCCACCGTGCCCGGCCTGCATTTTGTTTTTTATTGTAAAGGTTATAAGCTGGCCAAACAGAGCTTCAAATACTCAGGAGTGGCTGTGACTCCATTTCCCGAGGGATGCGGAGGACACAGCAACCTCAAGAAGCTAGCCCCCTGCATGTGTCTTGGAGGCCAGGCTGAACTTGGTCCTGAGGCCTAACACGGGCCTCATGCCTGCTGGCTCCCAGGTGCCTGAGGGGGCAAAGGAGAGGCGGTCTACACTCCTCAAGAGGAACAGGTGCCCTGGGGCCACAGACAACCTGGAAGCCATGGCTCAGGCTTTACAGCAAAGACAGTGGGGCCGGGCTCAAGGCCCCCATGAATGGATGAAGCTGACCCCAGAGAAAGGCAGACTCCCTTAACTCCCTTTGCTGGTACTGCCAAGCTAGGGAAAAGGCTCATTAGTGGAAGGGCTGAGGGCTGGTTAAGATCCCACTCCCTCTCCCAGCCAGCAAGTAACTTGTCAAACCACACAGCTAAATTGGGCAACTCATCTGTATGCTATGATAAAAACAGCTCAAAGACTCCCACCCACCCAGCCTCAAATCCTTCCCTCCTTTCCTCTGCTTCTTTCTCCCAAGGCAGAAGCAGCTGGGAAGAGAATTCCAAGCAGCTAGGTCAGGATCAGGGACACATTGCCTTCTCAAAGCCACTTCTCTGTTGACAGTCCATGTGACCCTCTCCTTTCCCACTGTTTCAGTCGGAGAGCCACCTCCCTCACTGTGCCTTAAGAAATAGCAACACTGGCCGGGCGCGGAGGCTCACACCTGTAATTCCAACGTTTTGAGAGGCCGAGGTGGGTGGATCATCTGAGGTCAGGAGTTCGAGACCAGCCTGGCCAACACAGGGTAACCCATCTCTACTAAAAATACAAAAAATAGCCGGGTGTGGTGGTGTAGACCTGTAATTCCAGCTACTAGGGAGGCTGAGGCAAGAGAATTGCTTGAACCCGGGAGGCAAAGGTTGCAGTGAGCCAGGATTGCGCCACTGCACTCCAGCCTGGGTGACAGAGCAAGACTCCATCAAAAAAAAAAAAAAAAAAAAAAAGAAGAATTAGCAACATCAAACTTTACTTTCAAACTCCAGCAAGAGGGACTGGCAGCCCCTCTCACGGCAGCATCCTCCCAAGTCCTTCTGGGGATCCTCCTCTGCCCTTCACAGCCAGGCCCCTCCCATCCTTACCTTCTCCCCGTGATCTGGAGCCAGCCTCCCTGAGACTACCACAGATGCCCCCTGGCCTTCCGACCTCTTGTCCCTCTTCCACCCCAGCCATTTGAGGAATCCAATCATGTCACTGTTTGAAACTATTCAGTGGCACCACAACCTGAAACCATTCAATGGTTTGTAGACTTGGAACAAACAAACCCTTCAGTGGGGGCATTCAGGGCCTCAAGGATCTGCATCTACCTCGGACCCAAACATCCACAGAAGCCAAGAAGTTAAAAAGGTGTCAGGCTGATGAAGACAAAGCCATAAAGCTCAGGGAGCTAGCTCTGTCCTTGGAGCCTGGTACAGAAGCTATGATGCACTCCCTTCGGTAATGATTCTGATGCTAACAGCTGACCTTACTGAGTGCTAACCATGGCCAGGCCTGAGCAGGTACTTCATATACAGCTGATCCTACTTACTAATTCTATATGTGCAAAATCACCTACTCACTTGAATTTACTTGCAAAACCAACACTTAAGGGGCTCGCAGACATGTGCCCGCTACACACAACCCCAGCTGAGGTGGAACAAGGTGACACTCCACCTTCTCACTGCAGCTCTCATACTGTAAACAAGTGTCCTTTCGCAGGTCTATTTAGTGCTATACTTTTCCCATTTGTGGGCTTTCTGTTGGTGACTTCACTGTTTAAAATGGCACCTACATAATGCTGAAGCACTGCCCAGTGTTCTCAGTGCAAGAAGGCTGTGATGTCCCTTATGGAGAAAAGTGTTAGGTACGCTTCATCCATGCATGAGTCATAGTGCTGCTGGCCATGAGTTCAATGTTAATGAATCAATAGTATATTAAGTAAAGAATCTTTCAGCTGGGCACAGTGGCTCACGCCTGTAATCCCAGCACTTTGGGAGGCTGAGGCGGGCAGATCACTTGAGGTCAGGAGACCAGCCTGGCCAACATAGCAAAACCCCGTCTCTACTGAAAATACAAAAATTAGCTGGGTGTGGTGGTGGATGCCTGTAGTCCCAGCTATTTGGGAGGCTGAGGTGGGAGAATCACTTGAACCTGGGAGGCAGAGGGTGCAGTGAGCCAAGATTGCACCACTGCACACTCTAGCCTGGGCAACAAGAGACCCTGTCTCAAAAAAAAAAAAAAATCTTTCAACAGAGACACACATAAAACAAGGTTATGGATTGATTGGTTGGTTGGTAGAAACATTATGACCACAGGCTTGCAGTGACCCTATACTGCCCAGAAGAGCAATGGTTTAGCATTCACTATGACTCTGTGAACATAACTACAGTGAATGAGAATCTACTTTAGCTATCCTTTAGCTGACTGAATCCTCAAAACCAGTATGAAGGAGGTTCCTATTTCCCAAATGTAAATGCCCCATGTTACAGAGAGGTGGAGATTTGCCTGCACTCACCTCCCAGCTAGGCAGTGCTGAGGCCGCGGCCTGAAACCAGGGTGCCTGAAGGCTGACCACTACTCGATGGCCCCTCTGCTGCACTAACTGCTTTTTTTTTTTTTTTTTTGAGACAGAGTCTCACTCTGTTGCCCAGGCTGGAGTGCAGTGGAGCAATCTTGGCTTACTGCAACCTCTGCCTCCCGGGTTCAAGCGATTCTCCTGCCTCAGCCTCCTGAGTAGCTGGGATTATAGGCGCGCGCCACCATGCCCGGCTAATTTTTGTATTTTTAGTAGAGACGGGGTTTCACCATGTTGGCCAGGCTGGTCTCAAACTCCCAACCTCGTGATCCACCCGCCTCAGCCTCCCAAAGTGCTGGGATTACAGGCATGAGCCACCACGCCCGGCGCACTAACTGCCTTTTACATGGCAGTTGTTTTACCCATAAAAATAGGATGTGATACTCAATGTGCTCCGGGTAGGAGCCAAGGAGCTGACAGGCATGAGGTATTTTTTGATCTTGGGGTGGGCCCATGCCAATTTTGTTACCATGGTTTCTGGATTAAGGAGAAAGTGATTGCCTTCTGGGAGGCAATCTGGGGGCCTTTCTGGAAGACACTAAGGTTGCCTGCGTCTAGATGGGTGGTGAGAGTCGCTTAGTGGCAAGGAAATACAGAGCTTTCTGGTGAAGGGACCCTCTGTGAGCAAAGGAGCAGGGCGGGACAGTCCAAGGCATGGGAGGACAGATGCTGAGTGGGGCACAGTTTGGCAAAATGTAACTTAGGTACCTTAGCTCGTGGAGGGAGGATAGGGATTGAGGAAAGGAGATCCAAGGAAGGCTGCCTCCTCTCAGGATCCTCAGCTTCCTGGGGCTGCTCTAAGCAGCAATGGGAACAGAGGCACCTTCTTCCTGCCCATAGCATCCCATTTCTCATGAAGTCCCTCCAGACTGGCCCATGGGCAGATAATTTTACAGTGCACAGGCACTGAAAGCAGTTAGGAGGGAGTATCACCTACTATCTCAAGAGTCCCAGTGCACTAGGCAGCTGTGCCAGGGAGTGCCAAGGCCATTCAAGTTGAGTGTGTCCAGAATGAATCTGAATCCTCTCCTCCTTCACATCAGCCTTGCTCTCCCAGAGAGGGGGCCCTGAACACTCAGTTATACACTCCAGAAGCATGGAAATTCCCATCTCCTCCTTCCACCCTCCTCCATCTGCAGAGCCTCACCTCTCTACCGCAAAAGCACAGCTAACAGAGACCAGCGTCTCTCCACCCCAGCAGGCCTGGTCTTTTGCGTCCCTGTTTTCTCTATGGCCCATCTTACCCACAATCACTCTTGGAACCCTGACAGTTTTTAAAAGCTCAAACTGGATTGCTTCTCCCCTTTTCTGAAGCTTTTCAAAGGCTCCCCATTCCAGGCCGGGTGAGGTGGCTCACACCTGTTATCTCAGCACTATGGGAGGCTGACGCGGGCGGATCACCTGAGGTCAGGAGTTTGAGACCAGCCTGGCCAACATGGTGAAACCCCGCCTCTACTAAAAATACAAAAAATTGGCCGGGTGTGGTGGCGCAGGCCTGTAATCCCAGCTACTCAGGGGGCTGAAACAGGAGAATCACTTGAACCTGGGAGGTGGAGGTTGCAGTGAGCCGAGATTGCGCCACTACACTCCAGCCTGTGCAACTGAAGCAAAATTTCATCTCAAAAAAAAGGCTCCCCATTCCATACAGAATAAAATCCACATTGCTTACCTTAGCCTACAATAGGAACTGGCCCACCCTCCCCTCCCTAATTCCATTCCAGCCACACCAGCCTTTTGCTATTCCTCAAATGCTCCAAGCATGTTCCCACGTGGGGCCTTTGGACCTGCCATGCCCTGTCTGAAACTAACTTCACCCTCATGTTGGCATGTCTGCTCCTTCTCATCATGATTTTAGGTCCAGCTCAAGTAGCATGTCTTCAGTGAGGGCCTCCCTGACCATCCAGTCTAAAGCTATTATTCTTTAAGGACTCTGCTTGTTTCATTCAAGCACTGGTCATTTATTAGCTCACATGTCTTTGGTCTCTCTCCTCTACCAGATAGGGAACCTGAGTATCTGATACAGGTCCCTGATGGTGGGGACCTTGAGTATCTTATATAATCATGGTGCTTTCTCAGTACCAGGCTCAATACATGGTTGGGCTCAGTAAATATTTACTGAACGAATGAACAAACCCCTATTTGACAACTGGGTAAACAGAGGCACATGGAAGCAGAATGATTTATTCCTGGTCTTTTAGTTTGGATCTAATCCCCAGGGCCAGGGCTTTGAACTCCCTTCAGATCACGCCCCACCACACACAGGAGCACAGTCTGGTGGGAGGTAGAGCCTTGAGCAAATCTGCTTGAAGCTGGGCAATGAAGCTGTGGGAATGAGAGTGCAACAAACCCTCGGCACGGAGCAATGGAAAGTGTGTGAAAAATAATCATTTCTGAAAAGTGGCAGAGAAAGCATGTGGTGCTTCCAGCAACACTTTCCAGGCAAGGTGTAGCATTTGTACAGATTTAAAAGAATCATTACGGAGGCCTGGGCCAGGTGCTACTTTATCCTGACACAGCTCTGGGAGGAGTGGTAATTATCACTGATACTTTACAGATGGGAGAAGAGGCTTTTTACTCTTATGAGTGGCAGCGCAGAAAGCTCTGCTCTGCAAGGCCAGGCTGCCAGGATCTAAAATCAATGCTGGCCATGGTGGGCTGTGTACTCTGCACAGGGCCTGAGTCCCTTCTGGGCCTTAGTTTCCACAGCTGTAAACTAAGTGGGTTGTCCCTGAACGGGGGTCACAGTTCAAATGTGCACAGGGCATCAACCCTTTCTGGCTCACAGCTGCCATGTTGGAAACCTGGGCCCAGCGTTGTCAGAGCTGCCAAATGTACCAGAAATCTGGATTTTAAAATATACATTTCAAATTAGCTAGCAGTTTTTTTTTTTTTTTTTTGGGACAGGGTCTCACTCTGTCATGGCTCACTGCAGCCTTGACCTCTGGGCTCAAATGATCCTCCCACCTCAGTCTCCCAAGTAGCTGGGGCCACAGGCATGCTCCATCATGCCTGGCTCATTTTTAATTTTTTGTAGAGATGGGGTCTTTGTTGCCCAAGCTGGTCTCAAACTCCTGGGCTCAAGCAACCCTCTGGACTTGGCCTCCAAAAGTGCTGGGATTACTGGCGCGAGCCACCTCGCCCGGCCAAAGAAAATAATTTGAATATTCCCAGCACATAGAAAAATGTTTAAGGTGATGGATATCCTAATTACTCTTATTTGATCATTACATATTATATGGATATATTAAAATATCACATCTACCCTGAAAATATGTATATCTATTATATATCAATAGAAGAATCATTTGAGGAACAGTCAGTGGAAAAAAAATCAATTGGCAAAAAAACTCCTCTGAATTTTCAAATGGTGTTAATTTATAATTTTAAGAAATACAATGCAGGTGCACGTGCAGCGGCAGTGGCCCATGGCACACGAGTCTATCACTGCCGCAGCAGCTGCCCCAGACCTCCTTGTTCCTTCTAGGGCTCCAGCCCCCTCCCTTGCTCCCCAGGAAGACTGTCCATCAGAGCCTCCTCTCGGAAAGGCAGGAGCCTGGTGGGAACCTTGAGGTGGAGGCAGCCAGGAGGAACTTCTAGTGGTGTCTCAGTTCCGGCTGGGTGAAAGCAGAGAAAGTCCCTTTTGGCCGGAAGGCCAGGTCTGGTTTCAGGCTCTTGGCACCAGGACACAGGTGGCAGGAGAGCTGTATCCACAGTGCAGACAGCCACCCTCCTTCAGGGGCCTGGAGCAGAGGCCTGAGAGGGACCTGCTCAGTTGCCAGAGCAATGCCTCCACCCCACCCCAGCTGCTCCTTAGGAGAGCTGCTCACTCCCCAGTTGGGGTCAAGGGTATGAGGGGCTTTTTTCCTGACATGTTGGGGTCACAGGAGTCAGAGAAGAGGTTAAGCGATGCTTCTAGGCACACCCACAGTCCAGGGCGGCAGGTCCTCAGTGGGTGGGAAGCTGTCTGCTGGCTGTCCATGACATCTCCCACTGACAGAGGGCTGGACATGAACTGGCCTAGCATGAAGCACTTTAACTATATCGGCTCACCAACTCTTCACCAGGCCTACCATTCTGATTTCAAGGAGAAAAAATAAACAAACAAAAAACCCCTGAGGCTCAGAGAAGTGAGTAGCCCAGGATTACACAGACAGGAAGTGGAAAAGCCAGAATTTGAGCCCAGGCTTTCCTCCCAGAGCCAGTGCATTTAGCTGCTCTTTAGCCACGGCCTCCAGGGCTGGGAGTTAGGTGCCACCTGCCAGAGCCTGGCTGAGATCCTGGCCAGGCCAGTTCCCCAGTCAGGGCCTAAAAGGGCCTAAATGGGCCCTTTATTCCTGGGGTCTTCAGGCAGGGTTTGACTATTTCCTGAGTGGGTTAGAGGGTGGCAGCTCTGGCTCTGCTGACCATGAGGACAGGGGCCTGGTGACCGCTGGTGCAGAACCCCAGCACATGGCTAAGGTGCCCATGCTGCCTGTCCACTGTCCTCCTTCAGGTCCTGCTTCCAGACACATGGCCCCACATGCTCTGACTCTCTCACCAGGAACACCGGAACCACTCACATGGGTTCCCAGCCACTTAGGACTTCTCCAGCGTGGCTGAGTCTGGTTCTGGGGATTCCCAAGGGGGCCTGAGGAAGGCTCTTTGGACTCTCACCCCACCCCAGGTCCCTCAGAACAGCCCCATTTCCCCTTTTTTCTCTGTACAGAATTCCCACATGTTATTCTGAGACCTACCAGACTAATTCACTCTCTCATAGTACACATAAAAAAGGACCAGGAAGGCAAATGCATGAGCTGAGGATCTGGCAGCAGAGCAGGGACCCTTGCCTGGGGCTATGAGTGTGGGAATGTTCCTGGTTTCCCCCCAGCCTGGAGAACACCAGTTCCGGGCATTCAGGGAGGCATCCTCCCGTAGCTGAGCTCTGCCTCCTCTAGCCCCTGACCACTGACCTCCAAATAGTATGTCCAAATAGCATGTAGTTTCTGAAAAACCATTTCTACTACCACTGCAGCCATATCCAGTAAGCAGCCTGTCAGGAACCATCCACTCCTCACCCATTATGTATTGGAATCTGCCACAAACATCATTTTATTTATCCTCAGAGACCCACCTGCAGAGTCTGCTCTGCCAAGAGCTCTGCTCAGTGGTCCCTGCCCCAGCCCACCCTGGACACCTTATTACCATCATCCCTAGGAATCCAAGCTTTAAAGAGATGGTAGCGCCCAAGCTACTGTTACTAAATCACGATCTTGTTGTTTATCAAAGCTATAACCATTTGGCCGGGCATGGTGGCTCATGCCTGTAATCTCAGCGATTTGGGAGGCTGAGGCAGGGGGATCACTTGAGGTCAGGAGTTTGAGACCAGCCTGGCCAACATGGTGAAACCCTGTCTCTACTAAAAATACAAAAATTAGCCGGGCATGGTATCTCATGCCAGTAATCCCAGCTACTCAGGAGGCTGAGGTGTGGGGATCACTTGAACCCGGGAGACAGAGGTTGTAGTGAACCAAGATCATGCCACTGCACTCCAGCCTGGACAACAGAGTTAGACCCTGTCTCAAAAAAACAAAAACAAAAACAAAAAAACAACCCACGAGAAGCAGGTGCTAGTAAGCAGGAGAAACCGCCCAGTTACAAAGCTGCCTCGGCTCCAGCCCAGTGCAAAAACTTGACATGTGCAGCCCGCTTGGTCTGGTGAAGGACTGAGGGTAGAGAATGCAAAATGTGGCTTTTCAAATACTGGCTGTATCATACGAGCTTTGCTGCTACCTTTCCAAAGCCCTAAGATCCCAGAGCCCAGCCTGGGAAGTATTACTTGGAAAGAGCCTCAAAAAAACTACCCTCACTTCTGGAGGGCTGATGTCAATGGAGGGCTGACTTCAAACCCTGGCGATAGGTCACAAAAGCCCGGCTTTCACCAACTGTCATAGGCTGTGTGTCCAGTGTGCAAAGCCAGACGCTGCCAGGCCCTGTGCACCTCGATTGCTGGCCTCTTTCACCATTCTGAATGACCAAGCGAATCCCAGAATAGAAAGGCAGTGTTAACAAGCTCATTCACTGGGCCTGGAGTGGCAGGTGGCATATCAGGTGACAGGAGTAGGAGCCAAGATCCCTCGGCAGCCTAGAGTTGGGATGAGACGAATAGTGCAGGACTGAATGGGGAAAACCGTGAGTTCACTTCAGGTCAGCAGAGGTAATGCTGCCTGTCTCTGTGCCAGGCACACCCGGGGGACAGAGACACAGAAAAACAGAGGGATTTTTTTTCCCTCAGAGCTTATATTAAGACCCTGAGTTTGGGAACCCAAGTAAGACAATTACACAAGAAAAGCGGCATATGTGGAAAAATGGCTTAGTGACGTCAGCTGACCACAGACACTGAGGATGCACTGTTACAGGAAAGTCACAGGACCAGAGAGGGCGCAGTCCCCACTGAACTCTGGATAATACTGAGGGTATCATAGGTAATTCCAGGCAAGGGATATCGTCAAACTGGAACCTGAAGACAGAAGGTGATCCACACAGGGAGAAGTCTCAACTCCACCCCATTCCAGCAAATGCTTATTTACAGAGGGAAAGCCATGCACAGTGCCAGCCACTAGGGACCCAGAATGAGTAGTCCTTGTCCTCAAGAAACCCATAGAAATGTGGAGATGACAATGAAAAGCCTCCTCCACTGACTGGGCACTGTGGCAGCCATATGGAGTTGCATGAGAAAGCCCAGGACTGATTCAACAAGTGATTAGTGTGTCTGGGACGGACTTGTCACAAACGGGGCGTGTGACACATATGCACCAAAAGTTGTGCTTAGCGTAAAGTGAGGGATGGCTTGGAGAGGCTAGGATGGTCACCCTGGAGAAGAGAGACAATTTAAAAGGGCATGGCTACTGTCCTCAAATACCTAAAAGACTGTCAAATACACATGTAGCCCCAGAGGGTCACACTACAATCAGAGGGGAAAAGGAAGGTGGGGATTGTTAATGGAAGTAAATTTTGACTAATTATAAAGAGGAGCTTTCTAAGAAGCAGAGCTGGCCAAAGATGGAAGAAGGACCTAGAAAATGGCCAGCCAGGCTAGACACAGGCAGGATGGATGCCAGGGAGGAAACTGAAGTCCCCATGGGTGTGACTTTTAAGATTCCTACCGGGCCTGAGACGCTCTTTGCCCTTCTACTTTACATCCAGTTCTGGACGTGATACCACACATCATCTTTGTGTGCATGACATTCATAGTTCAACATTTTTTTTTTGAGACAGTCTCACTGTCATCCAGGCTGGAGTGCAGTGGTATGATCACAGCTCACTGCAGCCTTGATAGCCCGGGCTCAAGCAATCCTCTCACCTCAGCCTCCCAAGTAACTGGAACCACAGGGGTGCACCACCATGCCTGGCTAATTTTTTTAGTTTTTGTAGAGATGAGGTCTCACTATGTTGCCCATGCTGTACTAGAACTCCTGGGCTTAAGCAATTTTTCCACCTAGGCCTCCTGAAGTGCTGGGATTACAGGCGTTGAGTTACCGTGCCCAGCCAACTTTTTGTTTAGAGACAGGGTTTCACTCTGTCACCTAGGCTGGAGTACAGGGTGTGATCATAGTTCACTGTAGCTTCAACTTCCTGGGCTCAAGTGATCCTCCCACGTCAGCCTCCCGAGTAGCTAGGACTACAGACATGTACCACTGCTCCTGACTAATTTTTTTAATTTTAATTTTTTGTAGAGACAGGGTCTCACTATGTTGCCCAGACTGATCTCAAACTCCTGGGCTCAAGCCATCATCTCACCCTGGTCTTCCAAGTGCTGGGATTACAGGCGTGAGCCACTGGTCTTTTTTACCCCCCTACCTCCGGAGAATTGTTATCAACAAACAGCGAAATACAAAATGAGAATGTTCACACAGCCTAGCCACACGGGAAATCTTGTGAGGACTAACACCAGGGCTTCAGACAGCAAAGTCTGGAAGTAAAACACCTTCGTCTGGGAAGTCTAGCTGCATAAGAGCTCCCATCTGAGATGATAAATCCATCCTCAGAATAGGAGATCAGCTGATACTTGCTACCCTGCCCCCTTCAAAATACCTGCTATGACAGAAACTGCCAGTAGGTTAGGAATCCCTGGAATCAGCCTTCATTCAGTGTATGACTTAAGCTCCTGGGTCTGAATTTCTCCCATCTATAAAATGAGAATAATGCGGCTTGCCCTGTCTATTGCCCTAGGACTGCTGTGAGTTTCCCAAGACAGGTGGGAAAGGGCTTGGCAGGTGAGGAACTGTCATTACAATTGCCTGAGGAGCCTAAACATCTCCTGAGCAAAGGGCCCACGGAGCTGCTGCCCAATCCCAGGCCCTCCATGGACTCTGCATGCCAGAAGCTGAGGATTTCTGGCCTGGGGCAGAAATGAGGGGTCTCATCCTGTCCAAGGACTAAGTTCGGGAAGATTCATTGCCCTGCCCAGCACCCCCAACCATCCAGCCCCTCGACACCGCACTGTAGCAGCACCATTCTAACATTTTAGTGTAGGGACCACTGGCCTCTCTGCCTTGTCAATCACCCCTCTAACTCTCCATCACCCCCTTCATGCCAACACACCATGCTCAGCTTCCAGGCCTCTGTGCTGCCTGAACACCCTCTTCCTCACTGATTCTGCCTCCTCCTTTAGGTATCAGTTCCAGCATCACTCCTGCCAAAAAGCCTTCCCTAACAGTCTTCCCAGGCCCCTGCCCTGGCTCACTCACTGAACAACATCCCACATTCAGGCACACCACAGGCCCTTGCCCACCACACTATTTTTACAAACCTCTTTACTTTTCTGCTTCCTCCTTTAGACCCTGAGCCTCCTGAAGGCAGGGTGGCATCCCTGTGACCTCCAATCCTGGCTCAAAAGAGGTACCCAGGTGAATGCCTGTTGACACTTAGGAGGCAGAACCCCACCCTCTCATTTCACCCTAAAAATGACACAGGCTGGCAGAGCCCTCATCCTAGAAGACTTTGAAGACTCTAAGTAGAGAAGAGTAAGAGACAACTTGGCAAGCAGATGACAGTGATGCTGGAACAAGTCTTGACTATATGTCCCCTCATGCCCACAGAGCCCGCCCCACTCAACGTTCCTCTCAACTACCTCTGAAAGCACAACATGGTAACATCTGGGAAGATGTCTTTGAAAGAACATCTACCAATCAGAAGGTCACCAACCACCCCATCCTGTCCATAGAACTCTGCCCCAACAATGGCACAGGGTCAGCCACACTGAGGAGTGGCTGAACATTAGTGGCTAATAATCACAGTTGCCAGATGTTTTTCACCTGCTCAGGAATTGGTGGTTATTGCAGTAGCCCAATCACCATCTGAGGTCCTAACCTCTGCATCTTACATTTGATCCCCTCAAGGAGATGTTTTCATCATCACCCCTGTGCTACTAAGGAAAAAGGAGGCTCAGAGAGGTTGAAGGCTCTGTTCGGGATCACACAGTGAGTCATGTTCTATCTGCTAAGTGAGTACAAACCCTACAGGTTTCAACTTCCAGAATGCAACCTTCACAGGATCCAGCCTCACAAGTAGTAAAAATACAAGCTTGCTTCGGCAAGACTGACACATACATTCCTACAAAGCTTAGAAGCTGCTGTAGATAGCCAAGTTTGTCCTCCTGCTCTGGTTGGTGGAATCTGACTACAGTACACTCTCATAAACATCCCGAGGCCAGGCAGCATCCCAAGAAACATCTGGAGAAAACAGACTTTACCTTGATAACATCTACCCCCTGGGAGCTGCTCTGCCCTGATGTTTTTGCAAACATACTTCCGAAGGCTTCGAACTGTCCTGCCAGACTCTTTTCTGCTCTCACAAAGAGACCTGTGACATCAATTGCCCTTCATAGTCCTTTCCCCTCCCAGGACTGCCACCCATCTGTAAAAGCAGGGGACTGCACTAGATTAGGGAGGGCACAGATTCCACTGGGCATGCTACTTCTGGTTGATTGGTTTTGCCTGTGTCGAGAAGACTCCTCACGCTGTATCCAGGGGTCAATGGGAGTGCTGTGGCTGATGCTGTCTGCCATGGGTCCAGTAGGAGGGGTAATTGCCCAGTGCAAGATATTTGCTGTCCCTGGACAAGATGATCACCATGAAAGTCATTTAGGACTCTAGTCCTATGACACAGAATTATTGTCTTTATTCCCTACCCAAATCTTTACCCTCTATCCTCCCTCACAGGCCCATCAACACTGGAGCTTCTTGAGAAATGTTTCAAATCCAGTAAGACGGAAAAGCAAACATCTATTTCAAGTCTACTGTCCTTCGAAAGACTGACCAACAAGAAACCTTAAAAAGCTGCAACTTGTGGAGGGTAGCTGGGTTTCAGCCCAATTTTACCAGTGAAGTGCCGTATGACCTTGGGCAAGTCCCTGTATTTCTGGGTCTCCACTACTTCTACAAATTGGGATCAGGCGTCCTATTTTCCTTGCATTTAACTGCATCCAAACACTGTGCTAGGATTCTCAAAACTGCAAAGGAAGTCCATCATCTGTCTCACTGACTCTGAGTCATAAATATGTTGGAAAGTATTGTCCCATTTCCCAGAAGAGGAAGCTGAGGCTGAGGCAGGTGGAGGGACTTGGCCCAAATCCTAGAGCAAGTAGCTAATGAAGGAATTATGCTTGGGTCCTGTGATCAGATCCACAGCCTTCCTCATCCCATTATCCTGCCTCCATAGGGGGCAGTGGCCAGGCTCCTCAAAGCCACCAGGGGCTTTGGAACCAAGGCTACCTCTGCAGAGGAGGCTCTCCCAGATGATCAGTCCCTTAGCAATTCTGCCAGGATAAGGCCACACATAAGCTTAGATGTGCATTGTGCATTAACTTGGAGAATTGCCTGGGCATGGTGGCTCATGCCTGTAATCCCAGCACTTTGGGAGGCAGAGGCGGGTGGATCACTTGAGGTCAGGAGTTCAAAACCAGCCTGGCCAACATGGTGAAACCCCTCTCTACTGAAAATGCAAAAATTAGCCGGGCGTGGTGGCGGGTGCCTGTAATCCCAGCTACCTGGGAGGCTGAGGCAGGAGAATCACTTGGACCTAGGAGGCGAGGTTGCAGGGAGCCGAAATTGTGCCACTGCACTCCAAGCTGGGTGACAGAGACTCTGTCTTAAAAAAAAAAAAGAAAAAAGAGAAAAAAACAAACTTGGAGAATTAATCACTACCATAAGAGTTAATTATTCAGAGCATTCCCCTCAGCTGCCCTTCAAATATATCTCCTTAAAATGGGCCAGAGAGGGCTGGGCATGGTAGCTCACGCCTGTAATCCCAGCACTTTGGGAGGCTGAGGCAGGCGGATCACCTGAGGTCAGGAGTTTGAGATCACCCCGACTAAAATGGAGAAACCCAGTCTCTATTAAAAACACAAAATTAGCCGGGTATGGTGGTGCATGCCTGTAATCCCAGCTACTTGGGAGATTGCTTGAACCTGGGAGGCGGAGGTTGCGGTGAGCCAAG
This sequence comes from Homo sapiens, assembly GCF_000001405.40. Classification (NCBI taxonomy): domain Eukaryota; kingdom Metazoa; phylum Chordata; class Mammalia; order Primates; family Hominidae; genus Homo; species Homo sapiens. The sequence continues at coordinate 36,476,773 of NC_000020.11, read as the reverse complement.
ATTGTGCCATTGCACTCCAGCCTGGGCAACAAGAACGAAACTCCATCTCAAAAAAAAAAAAAAAAAAACCAAAAAAAAAAAAAAAATTGGGCTAGTGAATGAGATACCTAGAGTAATAGAATTCATAGAAAGAATGGTGGTTGCTGGCCAGGTGCGGTGGCTCACGCCTGTAATCCCAACACTTTGGGAGGCTGAGGCGGGTGGATCACCGGAGGTCTGAAGTTTGAGACCAGCCTGACCAACATGGTGAAACCCTGTTTCTACTAAAAATATAAAAAATTAGCCGGGCATGGTGGCAGATGCCTGTAAGCCCAGCTACTCGGGAGGCAGAGGGAGGAAAATTGCTTGAACCTGGGAGGTGGAGGTTGCAGTGAGCCAAGAGAGCGCCATTGCACTCCAGCCTGGGAGACAGAGCGAGACTGTGTCTCCAAAAAAAAAAAAAAAAAAAAAAAAAAGGTGGTTGCCAGGGACCAGGCAAGGGGGTAATGGGGAGTTAGTGTTTAATAGGCACGGAGTTTCAGTTTGGGAAGATGAAGAGTTAAAGAGACGGATAGTGATGATGGCTATACAACAATGGGAATGTACTTAGTGCCAATGAACTGCACACTTAAAAATGGTTAAGAAGGGCCGGGCGCGTGTGTAATCCCAGCACTTTGGGAGGCCAAGGCAGGTGGATCACCTGAGCTCAGGAGTTTGAGACCAGCCTGGCCAACATGGTGAAACCCTGTCTCTACTAAAAATACAAAAATTAACCAGGTGTGGTGGCGCGTGCCTGCAATCCAGCTACTCGGGAGGCTGAGGCACGAGAATTGCTTGAACCCGGGAGGCGAAGGTTGCAGTGAGCCGAAACTGCGCCACTGCACTCCAGCCTGGGCGACAGAGTGAGACTCTGTCTCAAAACAAACAAAAAAAAGGTTAAGATGGTCATTAAGACAGTGTTAAAAATGGACTAGTGAGCGGCCCACTGAAGAATGAGCCCCAGCAGTTATCAAACTGCTTTGATTTTACTCATTCCAAACCTAAAAGTCACAAATAAAATATTTAAAACTAAGCATTTTTAAAAATTTTCTGATTTGAGTTAACTGTATTTGTGAGCAAGGGCTGGTTAATAATCTGCCTACAATCTCTTTACTGAAATTCAGCAAATATAAATAAAAGAAAAATAATCCAAACAGAAAATAAAGATCAGAGGTGTACAAAGGCAGTAATGGATGTGTTAGTATCATAGAATCTTGGACAGGAATTGGGTAAGAGATTGTATGGAGAGCCGGGCTTGGTGGCTCACGCCTGTAATCCCAGCACTTTGGGAGGCCGAGGCGGGCGGATCACAAGGTCAGGAGTTCGAGACCAGCCTGGTCAACATGGCAAAATCCCATCTCTACTAAAAATACAAAAATTAGCCAGGCATGGTGGCAGGCGCCTGTAATCCCAGCTACTCAGGAGGCTGAGGCAGGGGAATCACTTGAACCCGGCAGGCGAGGCTACAGTGAGTCAAGATCATGTCACTACATTCCAGCCTGGGTGACAGAGCGGGACTCCATCTCAAAAAAAAAGGAAGAAACATATAAACATATTCACTTGCAGTACATTCATTATCACACCTCTTTAGGTTCACCGAGACCCCCAGGGTCCTGCCTGACCTTGAGACTACTCCAGATGTAACCCCTACCTCTCCTGTTCCCTCAAGATACCCCCACCTCAGGGTCGTGACACCTCCCAGTCGGCCCTTGACTGCCTCCTTCCCATCCAGCAGTCACTTTCCCTGAGATGCCTTCCCCAATTTCTCAGCATCTACTTGTTTCCTTTAGGGTTCTCATCACTAACAGATTAGACAGTATCCTGTTTATTTGTTACCTGCTTGGGTGGGGACTCCAAGCTGGAGGGAAGTCAATCTTGTTCCCTAGTCTCTCCCTGGCTCCTGGCACAGCACTTGGCACTCAAGTAAATGAATGGCTGATTGTTTGGAAAGAGAAGTGGAGGTGGGGTAGGAAGGAGGGAGGAGCCCAATCCCTGCCCTCCACCCCCCACCCTTCCCACACACTGCTGCATGTGCCTCTTTTAAAGAAACTGCTGGGACAGCAGCAACGGTGGCAGCCCTACCTTTACTGGGTGATGTCAGACAGGCCCCTCTTCCCCACCCCACCTTGGTCTGCACTCCACAGGCAGGCAGACAACTCCTATTACTGCATCCCTGTGCAGGGCAACAGCCACGCCAGGGGGAAGGCAAGAAAGTTCCAGGAGAGGCTAGAACTATCCAACCTATTCTCCGCAGTCAATAATAGGTCCTCGTCACAGCCCCCAGTAGGAAACTGCCCAGATGGAGTGATGACCCTGCAGAGAGAACTCTAGCTCCACATACCTGGCAGATTCTGACAGCCCTGGATAGATTCTCCAGCCTGATCTTGGGTTTCCTGAACCCTGGACAGTCTGCCCTTCTTCCCCTTCCCTCACGCAGAGCATTCGCCTCTCCCCTAACCCAGGCCACCTTTCCCCATAAGAGCCCTGCACTTGGCAAACAGCCATCAAATAACTGACTCCACTCCAAACAGCCCACCCAATCCATCTACATCTTTCCAGGCATGGGACATGGACAGTTTTTGGCTATTTCAAGTCTTCTCTTTCCCCCTGGATGTCAGTAACAGCAGCAGCTAATACTTCTCAAATGCTTCCTCTGTACCAGGCACTGTGCTTAGTGCTTTGCACAAGTTTCTGTTGTCCTCATGCTGGACTACAGTCAGGTATTATTAGCATCTCTATTTTGCAGGTGAAGAAACAAGCCCAGAGAGGTTAAGTACCTTGTCCAAGGTCTCACAGCTCTAGCTGGCAGCCCAGGAACTGAACCCCAGCAGTCCAACTCTACAGAGATGCTCTTAACTATAGGTACATATGACCTCTGGGGTGTGGGCTTCCTGATCACCTACTGTATGCTCAGTAGGTGCCCTTAGGGACTGGACTCCAGCTCTGTACTTAGGGACCCTGTGACTGTGCAAAGGAGAAGAGAGGTACATAAAAATCGTATTTGCTGGCCAGGCATGGTAGCTCACACCTGTAATCCCAGCACTTTGGGAGGCCAAGGCGGGCAGACTGCTTGGGCCCAGGAGTTTGAGACCAACGTGGGTAGCATAGTGGGAAATCTCTATTTTAAAAAATCATATTTGGTCTAGCAACAAAATTGATACCATATTTGCATTGATAAGTCTGAGAATTTCCTTAGTAAAAGCACAGGAAATAGGAACTTGAGACCCCAGCTAATCAGGTAACAGTTAATATCTGAAAGACACAGGCCAACCAAACTGGGTGTTACGATACTCTCTCACCAGCTTCCAGGAACCAAATTCAACTTAATAGCAGAGATAGAAGGAGCTCCCTCCTGCTGACAAACAAATGAGGAATCTGCAGGCCAGAGAAGGGAAGGGTCTTGCCTGAGGCCACCCAACAACTCAGCGACATAAAATGGTGAGAAGCCAGCAGTTCCAGCTCCTCCATCCTTTGGCTTTCAGGACATCTGGGTCCCAAAAAGAAACTATAGGAGGTAAGTAAGTGCCCACAGTGACCAAAAGTTTAAGAGTTTTCATGGTAAAGACAGGGCACTGGCTCTTACCTTCAGGGAAAGTGAAATGCTCTGTGAAAGCTGGGTTTGGGAAGCCAGGATTTCTTTCCCAAGCTGACAGAAGCCCAGCTCCAGCTCAGCTCTGCCCCGGAAGGATGGGAGTTTAAAAGGCCTACCTGGAGCCCGGCTGGGACCACACCCACATGGGGCTGACTTCACCAGAGAACCCATCCTACTGGCTGTCTCCCAGACAGCAGTGGGCCAGGCCAGGACGCCACTGCCTGTCTGTAGCCTGGCGCCTCTCCCTGCGGGGCCCCACCCAGTCCCTACCCCAGCCAGGCTCCCAGAGCAAGGGTGGGAGTGGGTAGGGAAAAGGCCTGCTCCCCTCCTCATGAGGCCACCTGGGCCTGGGTCCCTCAGAGTGTCCCCTCAGCCTGGGCTGGGTCTGAAGTGGCTGCTTCCTGCTTTGCCATTTTTCTTTCACTTTGGTTTTTAACCCCAAAGTGAAACTTTACGACTAGAACAATTTGGGAAAGATGTTGAGAGTTAAGGACTAGGAGAGTCAAATGCCTGGCTTCTAATCCAAGCAGAAGTGAGCTGAGACCTGTCAAGTTCACTGGGAGACTTGGGAGGAGATCTTCAACTTCTCCAGGCTGCAGTTTTCCTATTGATAAAATAGGAGGGAGGAACTAAGCTAGTGATTTTTTTTTTTTTTTTTTTTTTGAGACAGGGTTTTGCTTTGTCACCCAGGCTAGAGTGCAGTGGCACAAACAGCTCACTACAGCCTTGACCTCCTGGGCTCAAGTGATCCTTTCGCCTTAGCCCCACAAGCAGCTAAGAATACAGGTGTGCACCACCACATCCAGCTAATTTTTGTATTTTTTTATAGAGACGGCGTTTCGCTATGTTGCCCAGACTGGTCTTTAACTCCTGAGCTCAAGTGATCCACTCGTCTTGGCTTCCCAAAGTGCTGGGATAACAGGCATGAGCCACCACACCTGGCCCCCACTAGGCTAGTGATTTTAAATGTCATTTTAAATTAGAAAAAAATGATAGAACTTTCCCTTCCTCATCCCTGCTGCCACTGGAGCTAAAAAAGGAGCTGCAAAGATGATCTGCTGGGGGAGCCTTTTTGGGCCATCCTGCTGGCTTGGGGGAGGAGGCAAAAGTCTGCTGGCAGTGTAGACATGCTCCTGGTCTCCCTGACCACCTCTCTCGGATCTACCGACTGAGTTCCTTTAGCCTGCACAGGTTCTAGAGGTCTCAGCAACCTAGGGCAGAGCAAATTCCGGGAGCCCCTAAGTATGATCTTTTTTTTTCTCTCGTCTTGTATGTTCTTCCAACAAAAGCCTAAGTATGATCTTGACCGTATCTCAGCACAGCAAGAGGAGACACCTACCAATAGCTGCCCTAAAATTTCCAGCCTGAGGGCTGACCTGGCCATCTGCTAGGACTGACAACGGCCCACCCAGGGAACTGGTCTAGACTTCAGAATCTCTGCTGACCCTGGCATGCCCACTCTGTCTAGCTAAGACCACTTTAATACATTTCACGATGTCTTCCTACTGGCTGGTTTACCAAATAGCCAGGGACATGAGAAAGGCAGGAATGAGTCTCCCAACTATTCAGATGAGGAAAACTGAGGTTCAGTGAAGGGCAAGAGTATAGCAGCCAAGCCAGCACTGGGATTCAGGAGGTCAGTTTATTTATTTATTTATTTATTTATTTTTGAGATGGAGTCTTGCTCTGTCACCCAGGCTGGAGTGCAGAGGTGCAATCTCGGCTCACTGCAACCTCCGCCTCCCAGGTTCAAGTGATTCTTCTGCCTCAGCCTCCTGAGTAGCTGGGACTACAGACACCCACCACCACGCCCGGCTAATTTTTGTATTTTTAGTAGAGACGGGGTTTCACCATATTGGCCAGGTCGAGTAGAGGTCTCGAACTCCTGACTTTGTGATCTGCCTGCCTTGGACTCCCAAAATGCTGGGATTACAGGCATGAGCCATCGCGCCCGGCAAGGTCAGTAAATATTTGAATGAGCTCACTGGCTTCACCGTTGCTAAGCAGGTGCAGCACGAGAGGAGCTCATGGAGGAAACAAATTTGAATCTGGGGGTGAAGGCGGGGTGCCTTTTAAAATATATACATTTTCAGAATGAAAAAGAAGGCAATTAAAAAATACATGACAAAATTTTAAGCGCACAGACTCTTGGAAAGAGTAATTCTGTGTGCAGAAATGGCTCCGACAGCTACACATGCACTCGTGCATGGAGACACACAGGAAAGGGTGTTCACTGCAGCACTGTTTACAGCAGCAAGATTGAGAACAAGCTAAACATCCTTGAGTAGAGGACAAACAACTGGTGGTCTATCCGTCAATGGAAAGCCACATGCTCAGGAGCAAAGGTGGCCATGAACCTGTATGTGCCCACCAAGAATAACCTGCAACAGAGACTTACATGAAAAATTCAAGGTATAGAAAAGTAGGGAGAGACTATGCCACTGTCTAAGTAATAAAAAGGGATGTTACTGACAATAGCTGCACGTGATGCTGAGTATTTCTATAAGGAAACCTCAAGACTCGTCACAGTGATTAGGTGTCTGGGTAGGACAGGGACTAATTTTTCATTGGGCTTTTTTTTTTTTTTTAACCAAGTTTGAATTTTTTTAAACCAACATACATGTATTGCTTTTTCAGTAAAAATATAACTTTTACACACAAAAAAAACCTCCAGCAAAACGTATCCAGAGATGCCTCTTCCTAGATCTCAGGTATCAGACTCCCTGGGTTGGGAGGGGAGGCAGGACCCAGGCACACAGATTTTGAAATGTCTCCTCAAGGGCTGCTGGTCTAGCCTTGCAGAACAGGCAGTCAGCCTCTGAGAGTAGACTGAGGAAGCCTGGACACTGTGGGGCTCTGGGGTGTGGAGGAGAGTGCCAGGGAAGACTGTGGGAAAACTTGACTTTGAGGCATAGGAAGGATTTGAAGAAGGCTTTGAATGCTGACCATGTACAGCTGGGATGAGAGGGTTCCTACAGGAAGGACGGGAAATTAAGTGAAACTGATAAGGGAGGGGAAGGGGAAGGAAGGTCTCTCAGTATGGGATCCTGGCAAGTCCCTTTCCTCCGAGATTTAGTTCCTACTCATGGGAAAGGAAGGGGCTGGGCCAGAGTCCTTTTCAGACCTGCTATCCTAGGACCTTACTTTATTTCATCTCATTTAATATTAAAGGAGGTGGGGAGGGTCCCCAGCTCAGCACATGGCCATAGAGCTCCACACCTGTGCAGAGTGTAATCAAATATTTGGAGGCTGCAGAAAATTCACACAAGGATCTTAGGTAAAGCAGCCCTTGGGCAACGTTCCCCCAGGGAGAAGGAGCAGATGGCCTTCTGCTGAGATGCCCTTCCTCACCCTGTTAATAATTAAGCCATTCCTGAAGACCTCTTTTGTTACTTTTTTTTTTTTTTTTTTGAGACAGAGTCTTGCTCTGTTGCCCAGGCTGGAGTGCAATGGCGCGATCTCGGCTCACTGCAACCTCCACCTCCCGGGTTCAAGCAATTCTCCCGCCTCAGCCTCCTGAGTAGCTGGGATTACAGGCATGTTCCACCACGCTCGGCTAATTTTTGTATTTTTAGTAGAGATTGGGTTTTGCCATGTTGGCCAGGCTGGTCTCGAACTCCTGACCTCAGGTGATCCGCCCGCCTCAGCCTCTCAAAGTGCTGGGATTACATGCGTGAGCCACCATGCCCAGCCTCTTTTGTTACTTTTGAAGTTCGGTTTGCAGAGACTTATGCCTTGGCTTGCTTTATACCAAGATGCTCCAGGATAAGGGCTCACGGGCTGCAACAGTCTAGACCTAAGCCACAGGCCCAAACTACAGGGACCTGAAGTGGAGAGGGCCCAGGATGCAGGTTAGGAGCCTGGGGTGGATCCTGGCTAGATCTCGGTGTGCTGCTGCTGCAGACTCTGGGAGGTCAGAAACTAAGTCTTTAAGGCAGCTCTGTCTGTCAGTGTTTCCCCAGGGCCAGCTCACTGCCAGGCACAGAGCAGCACTTAATAAATATTTATTGAATAAGTAGCTCAGCCACAGTGAGCTTGGTCAAGCCTCTTTCTACCAGTGAACCTCAGTTTCCTCTTCTGAAAAACAAGGATGATAAGAATAGTAATACTTTCCAAAGTTGGATAAAGATCTACTGAGATAATGTGTATGAAAGTGCTCTGCAAATCAAAACAAACTAAACAAATATTAAAGATCCAGAACCAACGTGCTGAAACAAAACAAAAAGAATGAATATACGGGAGAATGAGCAAATTTACGAGAAAGCAACTGGCTCCAGATGGTCATCAAATGAATTACTACAATGGAAAGGGACAGCATAGGTCACTCTAGTCCACTGTTCCAAAGTCCAAATAGCATTTCTCAGGCCACCTCTGTTCCAAAGGAGCAAAAAATCTCTCAAAACCTTTGTCCAGATTTTGGTATGACGAACACGGTTACAGTTACAATTGTACCCTGCATACCACTGGGCTCAGAGTATCTGCCAAAGCAAACTGGCATACAGATGCTGGGTGTTTGCTGGAGGCAAGGGACCAGCAGGGTGAGGGGCACCTGGAGGCTGTGCCTGCCATGTGGTTGCTCTGCCTCATGACCAAGTTTGTGTTCAGAGGAGTGTGGGCTGCACACAGAGAGAATGATTGGCTGGGAGGCCTCGGCCAAGCCATCAATTTCCTGGCTGTACACTGGGACCAACCACTGCTGCCTCCCATGGTAGCCACTGTGTAAGCACTAGTCCCCTTCCCTTTCCCTCTGCCCACTGGGGATTCCTGGCTGCAGCCTGAGAAATGAGTCCTAGCCTCCGTCACTTGGCTCTCCTGTGCAAGGCACCTTGGAGACAAGTCCCTTCCCGCCTTTGTGGGTGACTGATTGCGTTGGCTGGGCCCCTCTCTGGTGGGGGCTGGCTGAGAATTCCAACAGACCCAGTGGTGGACATGCCTACTATCAGACTGGACATATACACAGCACAACTCCGGAACCTTCTCACAGTCCAGTGTGTAAAACTGCTTGTGTGAGGGTCCCTAGCTCCTCTGACTCTTCCACCTTTAAGGAATTCTAAACTGGCACCCTGACCTTCAGGATCCTTAGAAAGCAAGATTTGTGGGCTTTTAGGATAAATGTGCTTGCTCCTAATTAAAGGGAAAGAAGGCTCAGCCCCTTGGGACCCTAAAAGCAGGAGTTCCCTTTCCAAGAAGCAGAGCTGAGCTGTGGGAAGAGACACGGTTTGGAGACAGTTGGCCTTGGGCCTGAGCTACCTTTTCCTTATCTGCAAAACAGGGATGGGAAGTCCATCTGCCTCTGGCTTATTGTACAGATTTCATGAGCGCCCTTGTGGAGCCCCTGGCGCAGAGCCAGGCAAACAGCAGGTGTACAAGAAATGTGCTCAGACTGCTACTTCCTGCCCCAAACCAGCAACACCCAACATTTTCCCTTCTGGCCCATCAGAGCGCTGGCCAAGCTTTCCTAAGGGAGCACAGCATCCTCTGCTACCCCAATTGGCTCTTCCCACTCCCATGGGCCCCACCCAAACCTCACCCTCTTGTGTCATCTGGATGCCTGCAAAGCCTCCTCCCTGTTGTGATTTTTATTCATTCCAATTTACCCAGCCTGATTCATCCTCTGGAAAGTCTTCCAGTTGTGCTACCTCTGCTCTAAAACCTTCCATGCCTCCCCAGTGCCTCTGCTTTTCAGCTGTTTAACACTGCCTACAACCTCCTGGCTCCACCCAGATTTTCCAGCCAGAGCCCTGATGCCTCAGCAAAACTAGCATACTGCTGTTTCCCTAAATGCACACTTATCATCCAGCCATGCCCTCTGCACCCACCTCCCTGGAATGTCGGCACCACCCTCTGCCTCTGCAAATCCAGCTCCCCTCAAAGGGCTCTTGTTTCCTCTGGCTCATGCTCACTTCTTCCTTCTCAGACAATGCTTTTCCTCAGCAGACGCTTAATTACAGAGTGTCACACAGTCTCTCATAATTGTAGGCTTGTCTTCTTGTCAGACCATAAGTTCCTCAGGGCAGAGACGCCTTGTCTGTCTATTAATCCCCATCCTCTCAGAGCCTGGCCCAGGGCTAGGAAGGCAGGGCCGAGAGAAGGGGGGGGGAGAGAGAGAGAGAGAGAGAGAGAGAGAGAGAGAGAGAGAGAGAGAGGAGAGAGAGAGAGAGAGAGACAGAGACAGAGAGAGAGAGAGAGGAGAGAGACAGAGAGAGAGAGAGAGAGACAGAGAGAGAGAGAGAGAGAGCAAGAGCGAGAGACTCGCTTTGACCACTTGGGACCACTTCTCTTGCTCCTATCCCATGAGGAAACTGTTCACTGGCCAAACCAGACCTCAGGGCTCCAGGCCAGTGATGTACAGAGACGAGGGAGCCCGGGGGAGGGAGGCAGAGATGTGGCTCTAGTCTTGCTCTGGGATCCTAGGCATCCCTACCCGTCCCTGGGCCTGCCTCCATGCTGTGGAACAGCCATGTTTTAGCTCTAGAATGTGGCTTGTATTTCTCTTTAAGGTAGCCTTGGTTTCTAAGAATGGGTGGGTCTGTCTGTTAACACAGCTGATTCCAGCACAGGTTGAGTGAGGAAAGGCAGCCACAGTCAGGTCTGGGAAATCTGGGAACCCGAGAGAGATTTACACCACACACCTCATCAACCTCATTACATTCCTGTAAGGACTAGACTTCATTCCTGCTCAGGTGTTCAATTCCACAGCCTGCACCCTGGCCCAGTCTGACTTGACAGTGCCTGCTGCCAGGACCAAGTAGGGGAAAGGTGACTTGCTTCTGAAAACCACCAATCCCCACACAAAACAAAGCTGATGATGGTGATGACTGCCATTTATTGAGGGGCTGTTACTACACGAGTTCTCATTTCCATCCCAATCTGATAGGGAGGAAAACGGAGGTACAGAAAGCTGACTAATCCAAGGTCACACAGCAACAAGCTAGGCTGTCATGCAAACCAGGGTCCTCTCAGTTCAGCTTTTCCCAGGTTGCAGCCGACAGGCTCTCAGCACCAGCATCCTCTAGAGAGCTGGTTTAAAAACCTAGGGGCATGTGATTCCTGCCCCAAGACCTGCCAAATGAGAGTGTCTAGGGATGGAGCTTTATAAAGACAAGAAACCCAAATTTTATATATGAGAAAACTGAGGCACAGAAAGGTGGCGTGACCTGCCAAGGTCATGCCGTAAGCATCCTCAGGAGTCCTGCTGGGACTCCAGAGCCAGCAAGGACAAACTTCCTGGGGGAGGTGGCATTTGACAGTGTGGGCCTCTAGGGGAAGAGAGGGCACTATAGGGGAAGAGGACAGCATTAATAAAGGCTGAAGCGGGAAAGGACAGGCAACAACTTCTCAAAGTGGCTAGGGGAAGGAAGAAATACATACAGAACCACGATGACAGCCTTCCCGCAAGAGCCCATCTGAGCTTCTGGGAAGAAAGCCTGTGTGGCATTTACAATCTGCAGGTCTCCAGCAGTGGCCCTCTGGGTGTGTCTGGTTGCTGCTCAGGATGAGAAAGCCACGGGAGGTGGTGACTCAGTCCCCACCCAGCCTCCAGATAGCCTCCTTTTAAATTCAAGATGAGCTCAGAGACTGGGGAAATGTCAAGAAAACCCTCCTCCCAGAACAGATGGGAACAGACCCAGGGAAGGCGGCCTGAGGGGTAGGCTATCAGGCAGAAGCCATAAACCTGGAGAAACGCTGCGGGCTGTGGAGAAGAGGCCTGGGCTACAAGTTTGCCTGTCACTGCTGTGGCTGTGGGCCCCTGAGCAGGTCCTTGTCTCTCTCTGGGCCCCCTATTTTTCATTCACCTGTGAAACAGGGAGAACTCCACTGGCTTCCGACTTCCAGGCCTGTTGGTGGAGAACAATGGTCGGGAAAGAGCCTGGCTGATTACACAATGCCTCACACAGCCTGGGAGAGATGAGAAGATCACTCCTATTACTATTAGAATAGCCACAGGTGCTTTCCTAGTTATCTAAACCCCAACCACAGGGCATGCGGGGGTGGGGGGGATGGGGGGGGAACTGGGCTGTCTAGTTCCTACAAAGAGAAAAGTCACCCAGATGTTTTTGGGAAGGGAAAGTTCACATTTATTAAGTGCCTACTGTGCACCAGATTTAAAAAAAAATACATAATCTCATTTAATCCTCATCATAATCCTGTAGTACAGATCTTGAGTCCAGATAAGAAAACTGAAGCTCAAAGAAATAATTTGCCCAAGATTACAAACGCAGTGAATGATGGAGACTGATTAAAACCAGGCGTTTGTGGTTCTGAAACCCAGAGTTTCTACTCTCTGGAACAGTTTCTTCTTTTTTTTTTTTTGAGACAGAGTTTTGCTTTTGTCACCCATGCTGGAGTGCAATGGTGCAATCTCAGCTCACTGCAACCTCCGCTTCCCAGGTTCAAATGATTCTCCTGCGTCAGCCTCCCAAGTAGCTGGGATTACAGGCGTGTGCCACCACACCCAGCTAATTTTTGTATTTTCAGTAGAGACGGGGTTTCACCATGTTGGCCAGGCTGATGTCGAACCCCTGACCTCCAGTGATCTGCCCGCCTCGGCCTCCCAAAGTGTTGGGATTACAGGCGTGAGCCAGCGCGCCCGGTCGACAGGGTCTCATTTTGTTACCCAGGCTGGAGTGCAGTGGCATGATCTCAGCTCACTGCAGTCTCGACCTCCTGACCTTCTGGATTCAAGCTGTCCTCCTGCCTCAGCCTCCTCCAAGTAGCTGGGAATACAAGCGCATGCCACCACACCCAGCTAATTTTTGTATTTTTTGGAGCAACAGGGTTTTGTCTTGTTGCCCAAGCTGGTCTTGAACTCCTGAGCTCAAGCGACCTGCCTGCCTTGGCCTCCCAAAGTGCTAGGATTACAGGAGTGAGCCGCTGCTCACACAATTCTTGAGGGATTCCATGATTTCAGAATCAGTCTTAGGATAAGGAATGTTATTCCCATTTTATGGATTAGGAAGCTGAAGCCCAAAGGAAAGTGACATCCCTAAAAGTGGGTGAGATGTGGGAACTGGGATCCTGCACCCCTCACTTCCAGGCCAGGCACCAAGCCCTTCTTCTTTTCCACTGCAAGTAGCTGAAGTAAAGCACCAAGCACAGCGTACACAGTAAAAAGGTCAAAGGATGTTAGAGATTGTCATTATACACCAGGGGCAGGTGATAACAGCATGACAGTGACTTCTTCAAAGGCAGTGCCATGGAACAGGACCCAGAAGTCCTGGCTCAAACCTCTGTGGGTCCCTGGCCCTTCTGGGCCTCATCTCTTCATCTGTAAGACAAGGCGCTTGAACAGCTGATCTCATTCCCTGCACCAAAGTTCTAGGACATCCTAAGCTCCTTGACAGCAAACCCCAGCTCTCTGCAGAACCTCTCTCGGCTGAGGTCTTTGTTCCCCTACTCTACAGGGGAAGCAGGAAAAGCAGCCAAGGCTCACAACTACAAAGTGACTTTATTCCAAGTGCCACTGTCCAAGCAGGGCCCACCCTTAAACAACAATGGGATGGAACATGGAAAATCCAACTGTCCCCCTGCACAGACATCCCGATGGGCACGCCCATCTATCTTTACAAACGGACTAACAAAGAACAAGCAGGATTGGGGCCTGAATTAAGAAACAGCCGTCTCCCTGCTCTATTGGAAGGGCAGGTGCATTCTCGAATAACCAGGTAGTGGGGAGGAGGTTAAAGAGCCCTGGACTGTAATGTCCTAGTCCTGGATCCCTGTCCCAGCTCTGGCAGGAGCCAGCCAGCTGTTTACCCTTGGGCAAGCTCCTCTCCCTCGATGGGGCTGTTTAAAGACAGGCTGACAGTTCACAAAGCGTGTCTACAGATGTTTCATTTGATCATCATGACAACAGTGTGAGGCCAGCACAATTATCCACTTTTTACAGATAGGGAAACTGACAGAGAGGACAAGGGTCTCGCTCAAGGTTACAACACCTTGAAGCTGGCAGAACCAAGGCCCCAGAGGTTAGACTACCAAAGTCAATCCTCAGGGTGGTCAGATTAAGAAGTCCTCTCCCTGCTCATCCTGAATCGAATCTCAGCAAGATCCAGGCAGCACAGACCTTTGTTCACTTGCCCACTCTGGTGTTCTGCAAAGTTCTGGCCATGAACCCCACAGCCTAGCTGCCTAGGAGGCTGACCCCACCCCCACCCCCCTGCAAAATTTCATTACTCAAGCTGGCAAGAACGCAGCCCCCACACCCAGCCGGGGCTAAATAAACGTCCAAATGATATCACATCCTGCCGGCTCCAAAATAGCCCGGCCTGCCCACAAGCGATCACAAAGTGCCAGGCCATGCGGGGCCAAGTGGGCAGGGATGCCCAGCCCGTGGTGCCCTCCACACACTCAAGCAACTAAAGCAGAAGCCTCAGAGCAGGAAGGCCCCCCACTCCCTCCTCCGCCAGACAGCCTGGCCCCTCCCTCCTTTCCCCCTTTGTGGGAGGCCTCAGAGCCCCCTTGCCCTAGCGCCAGCCCTTGCCCCAGCGCCAACCCCATGGAGCCTCGGCCGCGGCCAGCCTGCGGGCCAACTCCGGCCCGACCCGGACACCCCACCACTCACATTGCTTCAAGAGCTCCAGACACAAAGCCATGAGGGCCGGATGGGGGTCAGAGACCCAGAGACCCGGCAAAGACAGAAAAAGGGAGAGGGAGACAAGGAGCAGAGAGAAGGGGAGACAGGGGGCTAGGGCTGAAAAAGCAAGGGGGGGCCAAGGGCCCCAGGCAAAGAAGCAGGCTCAAAGGGGGGCCTTCAGCGCAAGAGGCACAGAGTGGCGAGACCACCGAGACAGATGTGGGGGCACAGAGGGGCAGGGAGAGCAAAGCAGGGGACCCCGATCCCGAGAAGTGGGGGTGCTCGGAGACCTGAGAGAGAACAAGGAGAGACAGCGACAGGGGACAAACCAGGGGAAAGCAGAGAGGAGCTCCTGAAGTCAGGGAGCTGAGGACATATTGGGGGGTCCCAAGGAGAAAGACCCCAACTTGGGACCTAGGAGCTCCCAGTGGATATGGGGAACACCCAGAAGAGGGAAAGCCCAGGGGCAATGGGGGTTCAGAGGAGGCGAGACCCCAGCGACTTGGGGTGCAGAACCCCCAAAGGATGTGCAAGAAACTCACGGGGAGCCCTTGGGGAGAGTGGAAGGTGTTCTCAAGGGGAACCCCAAAAGATCTGGGGGCGCTCTGAGGGGGAGTCCCGAAGAGTGGGGTCGCCCAGAAAGGGCGGCTCTGAGGGCTGAAGAGCGCTCTGAGAAGGGGACCCGAGATGGGGAGCGAGGGAGGGGCTGCGGAGGAGCGCGAGGGCAGAGACAAAGAGACAGCGAGCCGGGGAGAGACAAAGCGGGCGGAGCGGGGACACGGGCTGGAGGACTGGCGGCTGGACAGGACGGAAGCGCGGGCGGGCGGGCGGGCGGGCGGACGGACGGACGGACGGACAGACGGGGAGGAGGAGGAGGAGGAGGAGGGCGAGGGCGGGGGCGGGGCAGGGCCGGGCCGGGCCGGGCGGGGCGGCCCCCGTCTCCTCGCGGGGCCGCGGCTGCTCCGGGCGGCGCTGGGCGGGCCCCGGGCGTCCGGGCTGAGGAGGCGGCAGCGACGACGTGGACCGGACAGACGGACGGACTGGCGGCGGCGGCGGCGGCCAGCGGCGGGCACTCACCCTCCTCCCTCACGCAGCCCGGCCCGAGGCTCCGGTTTTGTACGCCCGAGGGGCGGGGCTCCGGGTTAAAGTCCCGCACCTGCCCCGCCCCTCCCCGCCCCCCGCGTCAGCCGCGCGCGCGTCGTCAGGGACTCCCGGGCCGGGCAGGGGCGCGCGCAGCCCGCTTGGCATGTGGCCCGGCGCGCGCAGCCGGGCTGGTCGGCAGGCGCGCGGGCCGCCGCGTCCGGCCCACGCCCAGCCGGCCGGCCCAGGAAAGGAGCGCGCGCCCACGTCGGCACGCGCATGCCCGAGCATGGGGGGGTGGGGGTGGGGTCGCCGCCCCTCGAACCGCCTCGCCAAACCGGTTCCAGCTGGAACGCGACGCATGCTCTGTGCGGGAGGTGGACCGAGGCGGGAGTTCCCACCAGTTCACCCCAGCGACACCTCGCTGTAAGGGGGGAACCGAGGCTCCGAGGAAGCTGCCCGAGGTGGCCCTCTCACCCCTGCATAGTCAGATTGGCCCTCTGGTCCTGGCTGCTCTGCGCCCTAGGTGTATCTAGCTGTCCTCGCCACTGCATCCTCCCTTTGCTTTGCTAACCCAGAGTCCTAGAGATTGGGTTCCAATCCCGGCTCCGCCTCTGGAGGCCTGTGTGATCTTGAACAACATCCGCATTCAACTTCCCTGAGCCTTCCATTCCTCCCCCGTAAAATAAAACAACAAGCACACCTACGATCTCATGGAGGGCAAAGTGACCAGCTCGAGCCGGGTTGGCAGTAGGTGGTGCCTTCACGCCTCCTCGCCTTCCCAGTTCCTGGCTTCTACCCCGCGAGTCCCCTCTCCTCACTGAATCCAGGTCCTGTCGCTGCCTTGTGGGCCTCATCTCTCCAGGCCGCACCTGTGGTAGGTCTGCCAGACGCAGACCCAACTCTTGTTCATGACCTGCCTTGCTGGGTGACCTAGGCAAGTCCTTTCCTTTCTCGCATCTGTTTTCCAAAAAATGGAGAAAAGAATTTTTGACATATCAAAATATTTTGAGCACTGGCGAAGATGATAGTGTTTCCAATACCACTGTCATGGTTTTTGCATTAAGGTGTAAAAATAATAAACGGAATTGAGGGTTAGCCAACCGTTTTGAATCCAGGCACTGTGCTAAGCACTTTGAAGGTCATCCTATCTCAGTCACTTATGCTACGCCTGTACTATTCACTTTAAGTTGGTTATTTTTATTTTTTGTAGCGACAAGGTCTCTGTTGCTCAGGCTGGTCTTGAACTCCTGGGCTCAAGCGATCCTCCCACCTCGGCCTCCCAAAGTGTTGAGATTACAGGCGTGAGCCAAGGTTGATTTACTTAGGAAAAAAACAAGGTACATTTGTTATGGGCCCTGACAACCCAAGGCAGCACACACAGCATAAGATGAAATATCATTATTCCACTTCCACCCTCCCAAATTTAATAACACACTCCCTGTGTGACCTTGAACAAGTCCCTTTCCCTCTCTGGGACTCACCAGCCCTATCTGTTTCCTGGAGAGAAACTGGACCAAGGCAAGATTTTTCAAACTGTGGACCGTGATTGACACCCTGAAGAGAGATCACTGGGGGCACCAACTGAAAAGCAGATTCTGGGCCGAGTGTGGTGGCTCACGCCTGTAATCCCAGCACTTTGGGAGGCCAAGGCGGGAGGATCACCTGAGGTCAGGAGTTCAAGACCAGCCTGACCAATATGGAGAAATCCCGTCTC
The DNA here is from genome assembly GCF_000001405.40 of Homo sapiens. Lineage (NCBI taxonomy): Eukaryota > Metazoa > Chordata > Mammalia > Primates > Hominidae > Homo > Homo sapiens. The sequence continues at coordinate 36,459,790 of NC_000020.11, read as the reverse complement.
TACTAAAAATACAAAATTAGCCGGGCATGGAGGCACATGTCTGTAATCTCAGCTACTTGAGAGGCTGAGGCAGGTGAATCGCTTGAACCTGGGAAGCGGAGGTTGCGGTGAGCCAAGATTGCGCCATTGCACTCCAGCCTGGGCAACAAGAGCGAAACTCCGTTTCAAAAAAAATTAATTAATTAATTAAAAAAAGACCAGCCTGGGCAACATAGGGAGACCCTGCCTCCACAAAAATTAAAAAATTAGCTGGGTGTGGTGGCATGTGCCTGTGGCTCCTCAGCTACTCAGGAAGCTGAGATGGGAGGATTGCTTGGGCCCAGGAGGTCAAAGCTGTAGTGAGCTGTGATCCTGCCACGGCACTCCAATTTGGGTGACAGAGTGAGACACTGTCTCCAAAATAAAAAAATAACAAAAAAGAAAAGCAGATTCCTGGGACAGAACTCAGGCAGTGTCAAACAGTGTTTGTATTTTACCAAATTTGAGACCCTTGGGCTAGGAGATTTTAACAGTCCCTTCTGATGGTGATGCTTTAGGGTCCCAGAAGATATTTATGGAACATCTACTGTACTCCAGTACTGGGTCCTTCCCCTAAGAGCTCCCCAGTCTGGCTGGAATCCCTACAAGGCAGAGTTGGCTGGACCACAGCCTGAGATGGGGCACAGACAGGACTCACATGCTCCCCCTCCCTAATCCCCAGCCTGGACCCCAAGGCTCCCCATCCGGGGGGTGAAGATGCTCCTCTCCCAACTTCCCAGATAGTCACTGTCCTGTCTCAGGTGCCAGAACTGGCAGTTAGAGGAGTGAGGGCTGTCCCCACGCGACCTGGCTGTGTAACCATTCCTTCTCATCACCCCTTAGCTGTTCTCCTTCACTCTCACCCACATCCAATCCACCAAAGAATCCTGTTGACTCCACTTTCAGAGCCCTTCCAGGATCCAGTGAGTTGTCACCACCTCCCTCACTGCCACCCTGCCTAAGCCACCATCATCACCCTGGTATTCCCATATCACCCACTTCTCGCCCCTCAAACGTGGCTCCATGCAGCCCCCTGAGTAGTCTTTTTTTCTTTTTCTTTTCTTTTTTTTATTTTGAGACGGAGTCTCATTCTGTTGCCAGGCTGGAGTGCAGTGGCGCAATCTCGGCTCACTGCAACCTCTGCCTCCCAGGCTCAAGCGATTCTCATGCCTCAGCCTCCCGAGTAGCTGGGATTACAGATCTGTGCCATCACACCTGGCTTTGTATTTTTAGTAGAGAGGGGTTTTGCCAGGCACGGTGGTTCATGCCTGTAATCCCAGCACTTTGGGAGGCTGAGGCGGGTGGATCACCTGAGGTCAGGAGTTCAAGACCAGCCTGACCAACATGGTGAAACCCCTCGCCATGGCACTCCAAGCCTGGGCAACAGAAGCAAGACTTCATCTCAAAAAAAAAAAAAAAAAAAAAAAAGATATGGGGTTTCACCACGTTGGCCAGGCTGGTCTCAAACTCCCGACCTCAGGTGATCTGCCTGCCTCGGCCTACCAAAGTGCTGGGATTACAGGCGTGAGCCACCGCACCCGGTCTGAGTGTTTCTTTTAAGACACACACCAGGTCATGTCACTCTTGTGCTCCAGTGCCCCAGTGGTTCCCCCTTGTACTCAGAGCCAAAAGACAAAGTTGTTTCCACAGTCGGTGGCCAGACCCAACCCTCCCCTCCCTGTCCTCGAACCTCACCTCTTACCATGGCTCTCTCCTCAGTGCTCTGCCCCCCACCAGCCTGTCAGGCACCTCCTGCCTCAGGGCCTTTGTACCACTCACCCCCCGCCTGGAGCGCTTCCCAGCACTGCTTATTCCCACACTTCCTTCAAGTCTTCACTCAATCCGGGTGTGGTGGCTCATGCCTGTAATCCCAGCACTTTGGGAGGTGGGGTGGATAGCTTGAGGTCAGGAGTTCGAGACCAGCCTGGCCAACATGGTGAAATCCCCTTTACTAAAAATACAAAAATTAGCTGGGTGTGCCTGTAATCTCAGCACTTTGGGAGGCCAAGGTGTGCGGATCATGAGGTCAGGAGATCAGGACCATCCTGGCTACCACGGTGAAACCCCATCTCTACTAAAAATACAGAAAATTGGCCGGGCGTGGTGGCTCATGCCTGTAATCCCAGCATTTTGGGAGGCCAAGGCAGGCGGATTACCTGAGGTCAGGAGTTCAAGACCAGCCTGGCCAACATAGTGAAACCCCGTCTCTACTAAAAATACAAAAATTAGCCAGGTGTGGTGGCAGGTGCCTATAATCCCAGCTACTCAGGAGGCTGAAGCAGGAGAATCGCTTGAACCAGAACCAGGGAGGCGGACATTGCAGCCATTGCACTCCAGCCTGGGGGACAAGAGTGAGACTTTGTCTCAAAAAAAAAAAAAAAAAAAAATTAGCCGGGCGTGGTGGCGAGCGCCTGTAGTCCCAGCTACTCAGGAGGCTGAGGCAGGAGAATGACATGAACCCGGGAAGCGGAGGTTGCAGTGAGCCAAGATCTCGCTACTGCACGCCAGCCTGGGTAACAGAGTGAGACTCCGTCTTAAAAAAAAAAAAGTCTTCACTCAAAATCTCCCTCTCAATGAGCTGTACCCTAGCCACCCTGTTTATACCTCGGCACCCCTCCCTGCACTCTGCCACCACTCCCAGGACCCCTTATGCTGTGCCAACTACCAACAAACCACACACTTATTTATGTTTATTGTTTTGTCTGCCCTTCCCCTTCCCAGTAGAATACAATCTCCATGAAGGCAAGGATTTCCATTTTGCTCACTGATGGTACCTACAACACAGCCTGGCCCAGAGCACTTGATCAATAAACATCTATCAGTGAAAGATGCCTGATTGCAAGGCTCAGGTGCTTAACCACCATGCCGTAGGGCCTCCAAGGTTCTATTTAAACACCTTCATCTCTCTTCCTTTGGGGTGACTTCTCTACCCCCTGAGGGGATACAGAATGCCCCTGTCTTGTCTCAAGAGTCTCAATCCTGGGATTGGAGGCCTGCCCACCAGTCCTTCAGTCCTGGTCACTATTTCCCCCAGAAGGCTGAGTGGATCTGCTAAAAACAGGACATGGAAGAGTGAGGATCCATATACTCAGCACACAGTAGGCACTCAATTAATCAGGCATGTCGTAGTCCAAGGGTTGGTGGACCCCAGACAGGAAGCCTGCCTTCTGCCCAGTGTCCTCTGTGGAGAGGTGCCTGTTTCAGCAGTAGGGAATTGTGGTTCCTCATTATTCATTCTGGGAAGGCCTCCTGGGTCCTCCCATTATTCTCTGACCCTATGGCCCCTGTCCTGACCTCACTGTCACTTACCTAGACCACTGCACCAACCTGTGAGTGGCCTCTCAGCCTCTAATCCATCCTGCCCATGTTGCTAGAGGACTTCCCCTGCAACTCCTGTAACATACCTTCATTACCCATGCTTGTACTGCTTTACCAGGACTGGGTGGCTCCCACGCACAGGGGGCAATGGAGAACCCAGGGCTTCGAAGTCAGGCACACCCAGGTAGGAAACTGCTCCCTGACCTACTAGCTGGCTGACTTTGACCTTGATAGATAATCATCTTCCCTAGGCTGATGTTTCTTTGTGAAATATCTGTAAATGTGTGTGCATGTCTGTGTGTGCGCACGTGCATGTTGGGATAAGTGGGTTAGATCAGGAATTGCAGATGTATGTAACTCTTCTGGCTACGGTAGACATCGCGAATCGATGGTGGCACCTTTCTTTGCTTAACCAAATCTCAGAACTGAGCTCCAGGGATCAGAGATGACACATGGTTGAAGTCCATTTGCAATCTCCGGACATGATGGTCTTTGAGTTTCCTCTTAGCCCTGACACTGTGGAGACTAGAGGCGTTGGGCTGACAAGAGCCTGCGGTGGAGTGAGGGGACAGGTGGGCCCAGGGTAGGGTTGGGGGACAGGGTTGACTGGAGGGTTGACTGTGTACTGCAATTTTATCAACCTCCCTTCCTGTATACAGAGTGTGTGGTGCCGGGGGGAGGTTAGGGGTAGGAGGGCAGTCAGAGAAGAAGCTGGGGGATGGAAGATGGGACAAAGAGGGGCAGGCATAGCAGCTGATGACTGGATTGTCACAGATGGGAGGTACCTGTGGGTCCCCAAACCAAGGCCTCACAACACAGATAGAGACTTTGAGGCCCAGGGAAGGGCAGGTGCCCACTCAGAGTGACACAGAACTCAGGGTCCCTGAGCAAGGAGCAAGGGTGGTTCCCAGGCCTGGAGCCCATCCCAGGTCAGCCTAGAGCCACAAGCACTGTCAGGGAGTGAGCCCAAGTGTGTGTGCCTGTGTGCTTGCACACACTCAGGTGCAGAGAATGCAGCTGGCAGGAGTGGGGGTACACCCTGCAGCCCACCACCTTGCCTGCCCAGGCCACTGGCTGTCATCACAGCCTCCCTGTGATTCAGAGGGAGTGGGAGAGACACAGAAAGGGAGGACGGGGAGGAGGGCCAGAAACTGAGAGGGAAGGAAGGCAGAGAGGGTGGGAGGGAGAAGCAGAGAACTGAGGGAGACAGACAGAAGGCAAAGATGGTGGGGGGAGAAAGAGGGAGAGGAAGGGAGGGGAAGCTGGAAGAAAGAGAGGGAGATGGCAGAGTAAGAGGAGGGAGGGAGGAGGAGGGAGGCTGTTCTCCTTTCTTCTTTTTCTCAGAGGCATAGAGAGAAGAGAGGCAGGAGGGGGCAGACTGGGGAGTGATGGCACCCCCAAGCCCCCTCCTAGATAGGTCCTTTGGCTGGGGAGGGGCACGCATCCATAGCGGCTGCTTCTCCCACCATCCCAGCTAGAGCTGACCCCGCCTGCCAGTCACCTGCCAGAGCTATTTCTGGAATGTGGAATCTGGGTCAGACAGGGGGAGGGAGAACAGGGACAGCAGTAGTGGCACTGGCAGTGGAGAATTGGCCAGGTCCACGTGGGTGGGCGGGCAGGCAGGCAGCTCCTCACCCTGCCCACGCCCTGCTTGAGAGGGGCTCTCACTGCCTCAATAACTGCCGCTCCCCTACATCAACCCACCGGCCTGCACAGGACCTGAGTGCACAGATGCCTCTGTGAGAAGGACAGAGCTTTCATGCCCTTCAGCAACGTGGGGGCTCAGAACAGCCCTGGGGGTGGAGAAAGGACCCGATTGCTCACTCCTTGGAGACAGATGCTGAGGAGTAAGGGGGCAGCCTTCTGAGCAGGGGTGACCCAGTAGGGAGACAGTGGCTGGATGTACAGTGGTGAGGATGTGCCTGTGTGTGCTGGTGTTTGTCTGTGGAGGGAGTGATTTTGGGCAGGCTCGCCATATATGGTTGTACAAGTTTTATACTGATCAAGGATGCTACATATCGGGGGGAGCCATTCACCACATAGACATAATTTAATTATATAATTATTATGACAAATTTCTGGCAAATGGAAGTAAAGGACCTTATTCTAACAAAAAGTGTGACATGACAATTTTTCAACAGATGGCTGTTAAGTGTCTTAAGGAGTGCCCTTTCTTTCTATCTTTTTTTTTTTTTTGAGACAGAGTCTCGCTCTGTCGCCCAGGCTGGAGTGTAATAGTGCGATCTTGGCTCACTGCAACCTCTGCCTCCCAGGTTCAAGTGACTCTCCTGCCTCAGCCTCCCGAGTAGCTAGGATTACAGGCGCCCAGCTAATTTTTGTATTTTTAGTAGAGACGGGGTTTTGCCATGTTGGCCATTCTGGTCTCAAACTCCTGACCTCAGGTGATCCACCCACCTCGGCCTCCCAAAATGCTGGGATTACAGGCGTGAGCCACTGTGCCCGGACTCTTTTTTCTTTTTCTTTTCTTTCTTTCTTTCTTTTTTTTTTTTTTTTTTTTTTGGAGACAGAGTCTCACTCTTTTCGCCCAGTCTGGAGTGCAATGGCACGATCCCGGCTCACTGCAACCTCCGCCTCCTGGGTTCAAGCGATTCTTCTGCCTCAGCCTCCAGAGTAGCTGGGATTATAGGTGCCCGCTACCATGCCCAGCTAATTTTTGTATTTTTAGCAGAGACAGGGTTTCACCATGTTGGCCAGGCTGGTCTCGAACTCCTGACCTCAGGTGATCCACCCACCTCAGCTTCCCAAAGTGTTGGGATTACAGGTGTGACCCACCGTGCCCAGCCTCTTTTTTCTTTTTTTTAAAGACAGAGTCTCATTCTGTTACCCAGGCTGGAGTACAGTGGCATGATCATGGCTCACTGCAGCACGACCTCCCAGGCTTAAGCAAATCCCACCTCAGCCTCCCAAGTAGCTGTGACCACCATGCACAGCTAATTTTTTTTATTTTGTAGAGACAGGTTCTCACTATGTTGCCCAGGCTGATCTTGAACTCCTGGGCTCAAGTGATCCTCCCACCTTGGTCTCCCAAAGCATTGGGATTATAGGTATGAGCCACTGCACCCAGCCTCTGTTTCTTTTTAGACAGGGTTTTGCTCTGTCACACAGGCTGAAGTGCAGTGGCTAACTAAAAAAAAATTTTTTGTAGAGATGGAGTCTCACTATGTTGCTGAGGCTGGTCTTGAACTTCTGGCCTCAAGAGATCCTCCCTACGGTGCTGGGATTATAGCACCGTGCTCAGCACTGTACCCGGCCTGAGCTTGCTCCTTTTGGCTGCATTTGTTAAGGACTTACAAGACAAAGGGGCCAGGCGTGGTGACTCACGCCTGTAATCCCAGCACTTTGGGAGGCCAGGGCAGGCATATCACTTGAGGTCAGGAGTTTGAGACCAGCCTGGCCAACATGGTGAAACCCCGTCTCTACTAAAAATACAAAAATTAGCCAGGCATGGTGGCGCATGCCTGCAGTCCCAGATACTTGGGAGGCTGAGGCAGGAGAATGGCTTGAACCTGGGAGGCAGAGGTTGCAGTGAGCCGAGATCATGCCATTGCACTCCAGCCTGAGTGATAGAGGGAGACTCTGTCTCAAAAAAAAAAAAAAAAAAAAAAAAGACTTACACAAGAAAAAGGCCAAGCGCAGTGGCTCACGCCTGTAATCCCAACACTTTGGGAGGCCGAGGCGGGCAGATCACTTGAGGTCAGACGTTCAAGACCAGCGTAGCGAACATGATGAAACCCCACCTTTACTAAAAATTTGAAAGTTAGCTGGGTGTGGTGGCATATGCCTGTAATCCCATCTACCTGGGAGGCTAAGGCAGGAGAATGGCTTGAACTCAGGAAGTGGAGATTGCAGTGAGTTGAGATCCTGCACTTCAGCCTGGACAACAGAGCAAGACTCTGTCTAAAAAAAAAAAAAAAAAGATTTACAAGAAAAGGAGGAACTCAAAAGAAATAGCTAGGCCAAGTGCCGTGGCTCACACCTGTAATCCCAGTACTTTAGAAGGCCAAGGTGGGAGGATCACTTGAGCCCAGGAGTTCAAAACCAGCCTGGTAGAACATAAGGAGACCCCATCTCTACAAGAAATTTAAAAATTAGCCAGGCATGGTACTGCATGACTCTGGTCTCAGCTACTCGGGAGGCTGAGGCAGGAGGATCGCTTGAGCCTGGGAGGTTGAGGCTATGGTGAGCTATGACCATGCCACTGCACCCATGCCTGGGTGACACATGGAGATCCTGTCTAAAAAAGTAAAAAATAGCCGATCTTCAAGGAGCGTTTAGAGGAAAGGGAAGGAGACCAGAACTTGTTTAGTTGGAAAATAAATTTGTCAACTCCAGCCCCTCCAGAGAGTAAACCATTCTCAAATTAAGATACAGCCTCGTTAGGCATGGTGGCTCATGCCTGTAATTCCAGCACTTTGGGAGGCCAAGGCAGGCAGATCACCTGAGGTCAGGAGTTTGAGACCAACCTGACCTACAGGGAGAAACCCTGTCTCTACTAAAAATACAAAACTAGCTGGGCATGGTGGTGCATACCTGTAATCCCAGCTACTTGGGAGGCTGAGGCAGGAGAATCACTTGAATCCAGGAGGCGGAGGTTGAGATGAACTGAGATCACGCCATTGCACTCCAGCCTGGGCAACAAGAGCGAAACTCAAAAAAAAAAAAAAAAATACAGCCTCAGGGCAAAGATGAAACCAAGGTCATGGCCAGTTAAGATGCCGTATGTGGACAGGATCAAATCAAAGTGTGGTTATAATATCTCTTATTAACACTCTAAAAATAGTAGAGCCAGGCGTGGTGGCTCACACCTGTAATCCCAGCACTTTGTGAGGCCGAGGCGGGTGGATCACTTGAGGTCAGGAGTTCGACACTAGCCTGGCCAACATGGTGAAACCTTGTCTCTACTAAAAATACAAAAATTAGCCAGGCATGGTGGCACACGCCTGTATTCCCAGCTACTTGGGAGGCTGAGGCATGAGAATCGCTTGAACCTGGGAGGTAGATGTTGCAGTGAGCTGAGATCGCGCCACTGCACTCCAGCCTGGGCGACAGAGAGCGAGACTCTGTCTCAATCAATCAATCAATCAAGATACCAGGTAGCAGATGCTACTATCTGGTCAAAAGGGCCTACAGAAAGCTTAAGGGCATGGTCCCACAGAAGCCCAAAGTAGGCATCAAGTCAAGAGAGAGGCATGACTCAAAAACAATTATGGGTATGGCTTTTGGCACTCGAAGTTACAGGGAATCAAATACATAGAAAACTCATCAAATGTTTGAGGTAGGTGCATGGGTAAAATTGACCAGCTTAGGCTAAAGGGAGTAAGACCGTTCAAGATGCAAAAGACATCTAGCTCCCTAACTTTCTTTAGGAAGGAAGCAAGCTAAGAAAGGTGTTCCGTTCCCCAAGGCTATATTCTCCAAGTTCTCTTTAAAAGTGGCCAAAAATGCTGATGGAGAAGGAAGGGCTTTCAGAGAGCAGAACCAAGAGCTGTGGAGAACAGTAGACTAGAAGATCAACCCCAGGGAGAACTTGTACCTAATCAACAAATCTCAACGCATTTGCCCAACAGTTGCTCAGAAGGACTTCAGAATTGCCATGGATCAATAAGTCTCTGCATCTCTACTTTCCCCTTTTCTGAACAGGAGTATTAACTGCAGTTCTCCTGTCCCTGTTTCACCAGTGTATGCTGTGTGGTTGGGGAGGGTTAGACTGTAGGGTAGATAAGTAGTTTCTTTAAAAAATTAAAAGTCAATTGTTCGACAGAAGCCACATCCAGACCTGACATAGATCATAAGAGTCTGATCCAATCTCATGATTGGATGAGACTTTTGGGGGTCTTGGGAATAAAAGTTTTCTACCTGGGAAGGGCATGAGTAAATACAGCCAAGACAGTGGATCATGGAACATAGAATTGTTGACCCTGATTCTTTTTTTTTTGAGACGGAGTCTCACTTTTGTTGCCCAGGCTGGAGTGCAATAGTGTGATGTTGGCTCACTGCAACCTCCACCTCCCGGGCTTAAGCGATTCTCCTGCCTCAGCCTCCTGAGTAGCTGGAATTACAGGTGGGCACCACCACGCCTGGCTAATTTTTGTATTTTTAGTAGAGACAGGGTTTCGCCATGTTGGCCAGGCTGGTCTCAAACTCCTGGCCTCAAGTGATCCACCTGCCTCGGCCTCCCAAAGTGCTGGGATTACAGGCATGAGCCACTGCGCCCACCCAGACCCTGATTCTTTACCTCTCCCTGTGGCCACACCCTTTGCCATATGAATATAGTTTCCTACACAAAGGTGAGAAGATACTTCTCCATCCCTTGTCTATGAGCTCAGTCATATGACTTGTGTTGCCAATAGGATGTTAGCAGGTATGACATGAGCAGAGGCCTTGAAATGTGCTTGTTTGGTTAGTTAGGCTTGCTCTTCTGTCTTCTGCCATCACCATAAGGAGAACATGCCCTGGCTAGACCACTGATCCCAGGAGGACTCTTTGGTCCCAGGAGGAGGATGAAAGACATGTGGAGCAGAACTGTCCCAACTGACAAACTTGGGAGCAAGAAATAAATGTGAATTGTTGTATTACACTGATTTTGTGGTTGTTTGTTATGCAGCATAATTGTAGCAAGAGCTGACCAATACAGGGACCCAGGCAGTATTGGGACATGTAGCCCATCCCCTATCTTTAGTCCATTCATGAGTGACTGGGGTTGGAAAAACTGGTGAGGGATGGTTTATTTGAAGAGAATTGCTAGGGGTGCTGTCTATCCCTCCAGGCCCACTTCATGCTTAGAGAACTTCGCATGGGTGTGAGGATGTGGGGGATGTTATCCTTCACCCACGGCCCCTTTGGAACTGTAGCAGAGTGCCTGGGACAGCCTGGGAGAGCTCTTCTGGATGTGGAGGCCACAGAACCTGGGCCTCAGCTCTTGTTTGGAGACCTTGAAGGTGGAGAGGCTGGCAGGGCTACCGGTAACAGCAGGACTAGAAGGAAGGCTGTAGCGGGCCAGTCTGTATTTTCGGAGGCTGTAGCAGACCAGTCTATATTTTCAGAGTCCCAGAAGGCAAAGGCCCTTGTTTTCAAATACATTAAGTGGTCACCAAGAGGGAAAATAGGGCTGGAGTTGTCTTCAGAGGATTCTACCCAAGATGCCTGACTAGCAGGGCCAGGTGCCCTAGCAGAAAGAAGCTGAGTGGCGAGGAGGCAGACTGCCAGATGGAGAAGCTGAGGGGGAATAAGAAACAGTGAGGTGAATGAAGATTGCCCATGCTGGGAAAGATGGCACTGGGGACCCTGCAGGGTGCGAGAAAGAGCCAGTATGTGGCATCAGAGAGTCCCGATGCCAGACGACACCTCCCTGGCTACCATCCCTTCCCAAGTGGAGGAACCAGAAACAGAGGTGAACAAGGAACAGAGAAGACATTTATTTACATCAAACACCGGTTGAGCACTTGAAGCAGTGCCTCTCTTCCTACAACAATCCAACCCCAATTGCTTTTTTTTTTCTTTGAGACAAGGTCTTGCTCTGTCACCCAGGCTGGAGCGCAGTGGCTCAATCTTGGCTCATTGCAACCTCTACCTCCCGGGTTCAAGCAATTCTCATACCTCAGCCTCCCAAGTAGCTAGAACTACAGGTGTGCACCACCACACCCGGGTAATTTTTGTATGTTTAGTACAGATGGGGTTTCACCATGTTGGCCAGGCTGGTCTCGAACTCCTGACCTCAAGTGATCTGCCCACCTTGGCTTCACAAAGTGCTGGGATTACAGGCATGAGCCACCATGCCCAGCCCCCAATTGTTTTTGATTTTCAGGAAGCTCAGAGTCAGGTCTGAGAACCAACAATAACAGCTACCACTTACCAAGCTTCTACCACAAGAAAGTCCCTGCCTAAACATGTCCTATGCACAGTCTTGTTTCATCTCCCTAAGAGATCCCTGGAGTCTGGCTTATGCCCTCAATTTATACATGGAGAAACTGAGGCTCAGGAAGGCGAACTAGCTTGCCAGAGTAAGCTCAAACCTCTCTCTACTATTGATAAACAATAAATTGTGCTGTTTTTCCTTGGTTTTGATTTTCTATTATTATTATTTTGAGACAAGGTCTTGGTCTGTCTCCTAGGCTGAAGTGCAGTGGTGTGAACACAGCTCACTTCACCTTTCATCTCCTGGGCTCAGATGTCCCTCCTGCTTCAGCCTCCTGAGTAGCGAGGACCACAGGTATATGCCAACCCGACCAGCGAATTTTTAATTTTTTTAGAGTCCGGGTTTCATCATGTTGCCCAGGCTGGTCTCCAACTCCTAGGCTCAAGTGATCTGCCTCGGCCCCCCAAAGTGTTGGGATTATAGGCGTGAGCCACTGCACCCAGCTAATTTTCTATTACGTCTTTTTTTTTTTTTTTGACCATCTTAATAATACTTAATAAGGTATACATGCGCCACGGTGGTTTGCTGCACTTATCAACCCATCATCTAGGTTTTAAACCCCACATGCATTAGATATTTGTCCTAATGCTCTCCCTCCCCTTGTCTCCCCCCCCCCCACCCCCCTGATAGGCCCTGGTGTGTGATGTTCCCCTCCCTGTGTCCTCATTGTTTACCTCCCACTTATGAGTGAGAACATGCAATTTTCTATTATTTCATGGCTTGCTCAGTTATACAGGGTCCCCTTTTTTCTCTGATCACATATGGGTTATCTTCAGATGATTTAGAACAAGAATCCAGGGCTGGGCATGGTAGCTCACGCCTATAATCCCAGCACTTTGGGAGGCCACGATGAGCAGATCCCTTGAGGTCAGAAGTTCACGACCAGCCTGGCCAACATGGTGAAATCCCATCTCTACTAAAAATACAAAAATTAGCCAGGCATGGTGGCATGTGTCTGTAATTCCAGCTACTTGGGAGGCTGAAGAATGAGAATTGCTTGAACCTGGGAGGCAGAGGTTGCAGTTAGCCAAGATCATGCCACTGCAGTCCAGCCTGGGTGTGGAGTGAGACTCTGTCTCAACAACAACAAAACACCCAAGAATCCAGAAGGTATTCCCTGATTGTGTATATGAGAGAAGCCTGTAAAACACATCCCTTTGAGAAGGCTCAGTGCAGACCCCACCCTCACTGCAGGCTTCTCTGCAGGTTCCAACCTGCCCTACAGGTTTGCCTACCTGAACTAATTCCAAGAGGCAGGTCAAGCTGCAGTAAGCCCTGACTATAGCAGGTGGCTGCTCTGAGCCAAGGAGCAACCAAGTACCCTACAAGCTCCAGCCCCTCCAATACCTCCCATGCCCCCCAGGGGTGGCATCTGCCTCTGGGACCCCCATTTGAGCTCCAGTGGCCAATTGGCTGGAAGTTCAGCTCCAAGGCCTCCTGCTTTTGCTCCCAACCATCCCCCTGGTGCGGGCCAGCCTGAGACAGATTCCTCCCTGTATCCTCCCAGGCTGGCCCTCCAGGTATGGTCCTTGGGGTCCCCTTGAAAAGAAAAAAAACCCCTTCCCTCATCACAGTACTCACTCGGAAGCGTGCGACTATTGCTGAGGCTGCCGGTACTGGGCGGTGGGGAGAGGGACTGCAGGGAGACACTGTCCTCCTCCTGCGAGCAGCCTGCCTGGATGGCACGCAGGTAGCTGTGGCTGCGGGAGCGGAAGTAGCTGGGCAGTGGCAAGTCAAGCGTCTCTGCCGCTGTGGACTCCGCTTCACTGCAGGCTGACTCGCAGGCCGCCTCATACTGGTCACTCAGCTCTGCCTCCCGTACCTGTCCAGGCAAAGGCAGGCATGAGGGAGCTGGCTATCTTGCCCATCCTGGGGGGAGCGGTTCTTGGTGGTGGGCTCAGGGCAGGGCTGGACAGTCTGTGGGGTCTGACCTCAGCCCACCCCTGTCCATCTCACTCAGCGTATGGGATGGGGAGATGGAGCCCTTAAGAAAGAAACAGTCCTACCTCTCTGGGCCTCAATTTTCCCATCTCTATAATGAGGACAAAGTTGGAATATCTCAGGATATTAACTGTGATAAAAATCAGGGTCCACACTGATTAATAGATTTCAAGGTCACATCTGAATTTAGTGTGAAAGAGGTCTATAATCAATTAGCAATGTCTGTCCTGAATGTTGGAATGGGGGTGGCGGTAGGTAGCTGGATATTTACCATCCTATGGTCCAATCCCTTTATTTTACAAGGAAAGAAACCAAGGGTCAGTGAGGGGAAGACACTTGCCATGGGTACCCAGTGAGGAAGTGGCAGAACCAACACTCCAAATATGTATTTAAGGAAGATTAATCTAGCCCTCTTATACAGAATGGATGTTGGGAAAGGGGTCTGGAATGGAGGCAGAGGCCAGAGACGAAGCTGAAGCAAAAAACTGGAGTGAGGGTAGTTGCAGTGAGGATTGATTAATGATGTCTGCCATGGACAGTATGGAAAATGGTGATGTGTATGCTATCTGCTATCTTGCATCTAGTTCAACTTTGTGTAGATGGGTCCTAAGTATTTCTCCAGAAATGACTGTCTAGGACCCTGAAAATCTGAAGCCAAGGGTATGAGCATTGAGGGGCCTCACCATGCACATACTCTTTGAGGGTTCTGGAAGGGCTATCTGACCCATGTCTCAGGCCATGTTGGTAACTGAAGACCACAGAGGATAAGCTGGGGGGTCAGTTGGCCAAAGATGTGGACATCTTGGGGGCTGGCCTGGGCCACAGCGGGAGGGGGCACAAGCTGACTGACCATGTGGAGGAAAAGGTTGATCTGGGCCTGGGGCCAGCTGTGTCCCACCCAGCTGTGTAACCTCAGGCCATCACTATCTTCTCTGGGTCAGTTTCTCCTCATCTACATGAAATAGGTGCTCGCATTCTCATCTGAGACTGCATCAGGTCAAACAACTAGATGGGTGTTCACCCAATTTGGAGGGTGGATGGAAAGGTCTAAATCTGTGCTTTTTTAATTTTTTTGAGATGGAATCTCGCTTTGTCTCCCAGGCTGAAGTGCAGTGGCGCGATCTCGGCTCACTGCAACCTCCGCCTCCCGGGTTCAAGCAATTCTTCTGCCTCAGCCTCCTGAGTAGCTGGGACTATAGGCAGGTGCCACCATGCCCGGCTAATTTTTGTATTTTTAGTAGAGACGGGGTTTCACCATATTGGCTAGGCTGGTCTCAAACTCCTGACCTCGTGATCTGCCCGCCTCGGCCTCCCAAAGTGCTGGGATTACAGGCATGAGCCACTGCGCCTGGCCAAATCTGTGCATTTCAGTATGGCAGCCATGAGCCATGTATGGCTATTTGGGTTTAAATTAATTAAAATTCAGCCTGGGCAACATAGTGGGACCCCAGCTCTACAAAAGAAATTAAAAATACAAAAATTAGCCAGGAGTGGTAGCATGCACCTCAAGTCCCAGTAACTTGAGCCCAGGAGTTGGAGGCTGCAGTGAACTATGATTGTGACACTGCACTCCAGCCTGGGGGACAAAGCAAGATCCTGTCTCTAAAAAAATTAAAAAATAATAATAATAATTGATTAGTCCAGGCGTGGTGGCTCATGCCTGTAATCCCAGCACTTTGGGACGCCAAGGTGGGTAGATCACTTGAGGTCAGGAGTTCAAGACCAGCCTGGCCAACATGGAGAAATCCTGTCTCTACTAAAATCCCAAAATTGGCCGAGCGTGGTGGCACATGCCTGTGGTGCCAGCTACTTGGGAGGCTGAAGCAGGAGAATCACTTGAACCCTGGAGGAGGAGGTTGCAGTGAGCCAAGACTGGGCAACTGCACTCCAACCTGGGTGATAAAACGAGACTCCATCTCAAAAAAAAATTTTTTTTGATTAAAATTAAATAAAGTTCCATAGTCACAGGAGCCACATTTGACTTGCTCAAGACCACAGGTAAGCCAGGCACAGTGGCTCACGCCTGTAATCCCAGCACTTTGAGGGGGCTGATGTGGGAGGATCACTTGTGTTCGGGAGTTTGAGACCAGCCTGGGCAACACAGCGAGACCCTGTCTCTAATAAAAACTAGCCAGGCATGGTGGTGCGTGCCTGTAGTCCCAGCTACTCGGGAGGTTGAGGTGGGAGGATCACCTGAGCCTGGGAGGTTGAGGCTGCAGTGAGCCATGATCGCACCACTGCACTCAGCCTGGGTGACAGAGTGAGACCCTATCTCAAAAATAAGTAAATAAATAAAGTCACATATAGCTAGTGGCTATCTCATTGGGCAGTGTGAATTATAGAACATTTCCATCATTACAGAAAGTTCTACTGTACAGTACTGATAAATTAAAATATAGGCCATGTGGCATATCCAAAATTCACTCAGAAGGAGTGTTAAAGAGATAGGTGTTTCTCCTCCAAAACTGCAGCCTGAAGTTATGAAGAGACCCTTGTGACTGCCGGGGGCATGGGGTCTTGCTTTGGGATCACACAGGAACCACATGGCTCTGGAACTAGACTGCCAGGGGTCCAACCCTTGGCCCATCGTTTCCTCACAATGTGAACGTGGGCAAGTCACTTAATTGCTTTGTGCCTCAGTTTCCCCACCTATAAAATGGGGCAATAGTCCCCATTTCAGGGTTGTGGTCAAGATGAAATGAGAGAATTCATATCACAGGCTTAGGATAGAGTCCAAGAGAGTATGCACCTAGTAACCTCTACCCACGAATACAGGTAGCACTGTGGAGTCTGTCAGTGTTGGTTAAGATGCTCTTGAGCTGTCGGTGGGGAGGCCAGCTGGTCAGCGCTGCTGGTATGTGTATCACTGAGGATTTACTGTGTAGGGGGCACTGTCCTGGGGGCTTTGTATGTTAACGCATCACATCCTTACCACTCGCCTATTAAAGGTGGATGAGGAAGAGGTCGCTTGGCCCACTGTGGGCTCTTTAAATAACTTCTTGAATCATGTGTTCAGGAGGAACACACAGCTTCTGTGACATGGGGGAGAGGGACACATGGGGCATCCACGGCTGGAATCAGGAGCTGGAGGTCTGGTCCTAGTTTTGCCCCTGTGGGATGTGTGACCTTGCACAAGTCCCTTACCCACTCCTGGCTACAAAGTGGGGTTGATCTCAGAGTACCTTTCCTGCCCCTGGTTTTTGGTCTTTGGCCTGGGAGGGAGGAGAGGGCCACTTCCAGGGGCAGGATAGGAATGTCTAGGAGGTGGTGCCCTCAGGGCAGCCACAGTGCCATGAGCAGCACAACCTCACCAACCTGTGTGAAGTTGGAAAGTCTCCACACACACTCCAACACCCCAACATCTTTAAATGTCCTCCTGGCGCTCCAGAAAGGAGAAAAGCCAAGGGATCTGGGGGCTGGGACCTGGAAGCTAATATCATCAGCCCCCAGCCCCTGACCTGTCCAACTCAGTCTCCCCAGGCCTGACCCAGGCTTTCTGGGAGGAGAGAGGAGGGCAGGAGTCCTGGAGTTGTTTCTTGCCCCATCCAGAGCACCTAGCTCATTCTTCCCCATTTTCAAAAGGAGGAAACTGAAGCACATAGAGGTGAAGCAATAAGGGTAGGGAGTGGAGAGTCAGGACACCAATGTGACCCTCAACTCCATCCACTGGAAGTGGCTTTCCTGGTGATGGCTCTGCTTGTACCAGCCTGGGCCGGGTGCTGGGACCACTCAGAGGGCAGGCCTAAGGCCCAGGCCTACACTCTGGGATTGGGGTGGAAGAGAAGGGCAAACATACTGACCTGCTGCTCATGGCCAAACAACTGGGGGATCAGGGAGGCCTGTCCAAAAATCTGCAGGAAAGAGAGGGTGAGGGTTATGGAAGGACCAGGGCTGGGGCTGGGGTGGGGGATTCAGGGTCAATTGCAAGGAAACTTGAAGCTGGCTGGTCTAACCTCCTCCCCAGACTGGCTGGGACACAGCTGCTAGGAGGTCTCACTTGGCTTCTTCCAGGGATGGGAGGCTCACTCCTTCTGGGGCTGGGCATTACTGAGGACTTATAATCTGCTATTTAAAAGTCCTTCTTGGCTGGGCGCAGTGGCTCATGCCTATAATCCCAGCACTCTGGGAGGTCGAGGCGGGTGGATCACTTGAGGTTGGGAATTCGAGACCAGCCTGACCAATATGGAGAAACCCCATCTCTACTAAAAATACAAAATTAGCCGGGCATGGTGGCACATGCCTATAATCCCAGCTACTAGGGAGGCTGAGGCAGGAGAATTGCTTGAACCCGTGAGGCGGAGGTTGCAGTGAGCTGGGATCGCGCCATTGCACTCCAGCCTGGGCAACAAGAGCGAAACTCCATCTCAAAATAAATAAATAAATAAAAGTCCTTCTTTAGGTCTGGGCCCTGGGACCATGGATCCTCTGTCTGCTGCCTCTCATCTGGCAGGCAGCCCACCTGGAGATACAGATTAGGGATGGAGCCCAGAGCCTGCTCTTCCCCAGGCTAGAATATCTCTGACTTTGGGGCCAAATATATGGCTTGGGTCACTCAAACTTCTAGAGTTGAGGCTGTGAGGGGTCAGAGGATCCTGGACTAGGAGAGAACTGGGACTGGGCAGCGGGTGGTGGGTGAGACCTGCTGCGGCCCCCAGCCTGGCCGATTAATAAGCCTTTTTGTGTAGTTAAAGGACAAAGGTGTCCTGGGTGCCAGGCCCAGGCGGGGGTGGAGATGGGATGTGTAGAGAGACAGACAGACACAGAGAGAGACATGGAGATGGAGACACGCTGGAGAGAATCAGAGAAAAATGTGAATGAGGGGAGAGAGAACAGAGAGAGAGAAACAGACGGAGACAGACACAGACAGGAAGACTGAGACGAGAAAACGTGGTGGGATGGGAGAGACAGGGAGGGATGCCGTCCATTCAGCAAACACCTACTAAGCATCTGCCCTGTGCCAGGCACTGTGCCAGGTACTGGGGACACTGCAGGGAACAAGACAGCAAGGCCTCCGCTCCCAGGAGATCCTAGTTTTAAGAGGGAGACAGCATTAAGTAAATAAGCAAATGATTCTAGTTCCAGGCAGTGATAAGGTAAGGGAACAGCAGGGTAAGGGAACAGCGCCTGGGAAGGCTACTTTAGACAAGTGATCACAGGCAGCCTCTCTGAGGAAGTGACATTCGAGCAGAGACCTGAAACGCCAGGAGGAGCCAGCTGTGCAAAGATTTGAGAAGAGAGCCCCTGGAAGAGGAAACAGCAAATGCAGAGGGCCTGGAGCAGAATGACATGGCACACTCGTATATAAGGAGCAGAAAGGAGGCCGGCATGGCTGGAGCAGGGCAAGGGACAGGATCCAACAGGGAGGCAGGGCCTAGGTCTTACAGGGCTTCACAGGTCCAGGTAAGGACTCTGGCTTTCCCTCAGGGGGAGGTGGGAGCCAAGGGAGGGTCTGGAGCAGGGGTGTGGCTCTGACAGCTCCCTCTGGCCACTGAGTATGGATTGGAGGACGGCTGTTCAGGTGTGACTTGGTGGAGTCTGGATGAGGGGGGCAGGGGCAGGGGGCTCCCTGGGCTGCGGCACTCTACCCCTCCCCATGTCTGAGGGGCTGGGGAAGGAGCTTGGCTAGGCCAGGAATAATGGAGTTGTGAGGAGTCGGGGTCCCAAAGCCTTCTAAGCAGTCCTCTAGCCGTGGTCCTGGGCCTGCACACAGTGGCCTGTTCCTGCTGAGAGGAGGCTGGACCCGCACCTGGCCGCCCCACTGCCTAACTGCTACTACCAGTAGGTGTCTGCCTTCTCGGGGGGCTCATCTCCCCATCCACACGATGGGGGGTGCCTTTTAGTCCTGCCTGGTTCTCCCTTTGCAAACCCTAAAGTGCCGAGTACACGGCAGGAGCTGAGGTCCAGGTCTGGGCTGGACAGCCCCAGATCCCTGCCCAACTTTGTCTTCTCCTAGCTGCATGATGACTTCACCTCTCTGAGCCTCAGTTGCCTCACCTATGAAATGGGGATATGGATAACAAGGCCACCTCTGGGGGTGGTTAAGGGCTCAAGGAGCTGATGGTTGAGAGGGTGGCATGCAAATTCAACGTTCAGCCCAGTATGCTCCTCACTGACACAGGCAGGGCTGGCTGCGCCTGGGAGCACAACTGCCCACTGAGTAGGTGGCACAGAGGTTCAAAGTGAGCAGTCACTTGCTGGAGGTCACAAAAGATGCTAATAATAACCAGGAAGGCAGCTACCCTCTGCTGAGCACACCGCCTTCACGATCCCACTTATTCCTCTCAACAGCCCCCAGATAGAAATGCTCACCCTCCTCTGGTAAATCAGGAAACCGAGGTTCAGGGAGGGGAGGTGACTATCCTGGGTTCATACTGTCAAGTGACAAAACTGGGACTCGAACCTAGGTCTCCAGTTCCTTATCCTCATGGTTCTGAACCCAATGAGAAGTGACAGGCGCCCCGCTGGCAGCCTGTGTTTACAGTGGTGGTGTGGGGTCCTGGGTCAGGCCCCGTAACTGTGCTCTCCAGCCACAGGACAGTTGGTGGGGCAGAGACACACACAGGAGGCTTCAGGAACAAGGACCAAACAGAAGCACAGTGCAGACATCTGGGGGCCACTCAGCATGGGCTGGGCCTGGGCGTGTGTCCTCCTCCCAGATGGGAATCAGTACCCAAGCCCCCTGACTCTCCAGCCTCCCTGCCACCCTCACCTGGCTGATGCAGCTGGAGTCGTTGAGGCTGTCGCTGACGGGGGTGTAGTCCTCTTCCCAGCTCGGACACTTGGAGGGCAGCAGCATGTCCACTGAATCCAGGCGGTCCAGACTCCTGGTGGGGAGTGGGGAGCAGACAGGGCTCAGCCCACCCATTGTTCACCCAGCTTTTGGAGGCCTTGACCATCTGTGATGCACAGGTGGTCCACACCTGTGATGCCCGCTGCAGCCGCAGGGTGGCAGCACCAGCTTGTATTTGACTGTTTAAAACCCGAGGCTGGCCCTGCCCAATTCTACAGCCCCTTTCCTTCCTCCTTGAAAGTCTGGGACATTTCCAGAGGCCCGACAGAGGTGGGTCAAGTTCCACAGCCTAGGGCTCCCAAAGGGCATCAGCTCTGCTGCGATGTTCGAGTGGCTTCTATCAGGCCCCTAGACTCACCCCTTATCTCCACGGCCCCAGCCCTTCAATCTTTCTTACATCTACCTGATCCTGGGCATCCCCCAGTCCTCATTCTGGGGATAAAATCCAAGCATCCAATAGCTTAGGCCCCTGATACAGAAGGGTTTGGATTGGAATCCAGCTTTCTCAGCTGGGTGACCCTGGGCAAGTCATTACCCCTTACTTAAGTCTCAGTTTCCTCATCTCTAAAATGGGGATGATGCTACCTGCCTGCTGGGGCTGCAGTGAGGATTCAGTGGTGCAGATTAAAGGATATCAGGTCAGGCACAGTGGCCAGCGGACAAGTGCTAACAGACGGCAGCTGTTACTATTATTGCTACTACTACTACTGTTATTATTATTGCTTCCCTTGAATTCTAGGCTTAAGCCCCAGGCTTCCTGCCTCTCCCACCTTAATGCCTACTGGTCACTCGGATTGTAGGATCTCCGTACTAGAAGGGGTCTTAGAGATCCTCCAGCTCAGCCCCTTCACTTAAAGATGGGGAAACTAGGCCAGGTGCGGTGGCTCACGCCTGTAATCCCAGCAATTTGGGAGGCTGAGGCGGGCAGCTCACCTGAGGTCAGCTCAGCTACTCGGGAGGCTGAGGCAGGAGAATTGCTTGAACCCGGGAGGTGGAGGTTACAGTGAACCAAGTTTGTGCCACTGCACTCCAGCCTGGGCGACAGAGCAAGACTCTGTCTCAAAAAAAAAAAAAAAAAAAAAAAGATGGGGAAACTGACCAGGCGTGGTGGCTCACACCTATAATCCCAGCACTTTGGGAGGCCAAAGCAGAAGGGTCACTTGAGCGGAGGAGTTCACCACCACTCTGGGCAACATAGTGAGGCCCCATCTTTACAATATATACATATATATGTATATATTATTCAGATTGGGAAACTGAGGCCCAGAGGGAAAAAGACTGGCGAAGGTCATCCAGTGGCAGAGGGAAAAATGGAAGTCACTGCCAGCCTGGACAGTGTGAGGGCTGATGAGCAAGGGGAGAGCAATATATACATATACATACATATATATTATATATATATATATATTTTTTTTTGAGACAGTCTCACTCTGTCACCCAGGCTGGAGTGCAGTGGCACGATCTCAGCTCCCTGCAACCTCTGCCTCCTGGGTTCAAGTGATTTTCATGCCTCAGCCTCCCTAGTAGCTGGGATTATAGGCATGCACCGCCACAATCTGCTAATTTATATACTTTTAGTAGAGATGCGGTTTCGCCATGTTGACCAGGCTGGTGTCAAACTCCTGACCTCAAATGATCTGCCTGCCTTGGCCTCCCAAAGTGCAGGGATTACAAGCGTGAGCCACTGCACCTGGTCACAAAAAATTATTTAAAAAAATTAGCTGGGCATGGTGGCCCATGCTGGTAGTCCCAGCTACTCGGGATGCTGAGGTGGGAGGACTGCTTGAGCACAGGAGGTCGACAAGTGAACCATGATTGCACTATTGCACTCCAACCTGGGCGACATAGCGAGACCCTGTTCCCCACATCCCCACAAAAAAGATGGAGAAACTAAGGTTCAGAAAAGGGCAGACCTGGGATTGTCTGGTGGTGTCCTTAATTCCAACCTGGAGGCCATTCTCTATCTTCTGCCCAGTCAACTAGACTCCTGGCTGCTCTGAGAACACTGCCCTCTTCCTGCCTAGGTACCAGTGTCACCTGACCTGTTCTCTTCCCTCTGTCTCAGTCTTCCCAGGCCACCTCCTCCATGAAGCCTTGGCTCCTGTCCCCCCTAGTTGAAGATCTAGGGAGAAGCTTGTTCCCTCTAACTCCTCCAAGCCTTACAGCAACACGATGGGGCTTGGCTGGTGAATTCCAGGCAGGCACTGGGACAGGAAAAGTCTGTCTATCACTCTTTGGCTTCTGGATTCACCTCCCTCCCCCATCTCGGAACTCCCCACAGGGATCAGTTACAGGAGCAAGGGTAGAGCGGGCTTTGGCCTTCCCTAGGCAGTGCTGTTACAGGTGATGCACTCACTCAGGGCAGGTTCTCCTAACCTGAAGACCAAGATCCCGTGGGACAGTTCCCCTCTGGGAGTGGAACTTACCTGGGGATGTGGCTCCTGTGGGAGGGGTTTACCTGGACCTATCACCCGAGTGTGGCTTTCATGATCGGGGTTTACCAAAGGATGCAGCTCACCTGTGGTCAGGGCTGAACTGTGGGTGGGGCTCAAGGGGTAGTTCTCCAATTGGCCGGGCTCTTCGAGGTCAATTCATCAGAGTGCAGGGCCAACCTGAGGATCTCATGGAGGGAGCTAACCTGATGGCGGGTTCACTTAGGGGGCCTGGATCATTATAGTAGTGAGTTCACCTGGATCTGAAGCTGAGGGACAGGATTCATCTGTGGGCTGGGATCTCCGGGGGAACAGCCGAATGGGAGGAAGGCGGGACTCCTGGGGTAGGGGCAGAACTAAGAGGGGTTCACCTAGGGGACGAGGCTTGCGGGTGAGCGGGACTTGTACTTACTGAAAGAGGTTTTCCCCTGGAGGGCTCACAAGTGGGCGGGACTCACCCGAAGTGGGGAGAAAAGCCTCTGGGAGGGGCTTCCACGCGGGCGGGGCTTTTCTTTTTCTTTCTTTCTTTTTTTTTTTTTTGAGACGGAGTCTCGCTCAGTCGCCCAGGCTGGAGTGCAGTGGCGCGATCTCGGCTCACTGCAATCTCCGCCTCCCGGGTTCAAGCGATTCTCCTGTCTCAGCCTCCCGAGTAGCTGGGATTACAGGCGCCTGCCGCCAACCCAGCTAATTTTTGTATTTTTAATAGAGACGGGGTTTCCCCATGTTGGCTATTCTGGTCTTGAAATCCTGACCTCAAGTGATCCACCCGCCTCGACCTCCCAAAGTGCTGGGATTACAGGCGTGAGCCACCGCGCCGGGCGGGCCTTATTTCAATGAAGGGGTTCTCTCAAGAAGCAGGACTCATGAGTGGGCGTGGCTCAAAGGGGGCGTGGCTCCCACGCAGGCGGGGCTTATTTTAATGCAGGGCTCCTCCCAGGGAGCAAGACTCGTAGTGGGCGGGGCTTGCCTCTGGGCGGGACCGTAAGGGTGGAGCTGCGCGCCTACCTGCGGGGGTTGCTCTGCTCTCCCAGCGACTGCTGCGTGGCCCTCAGATAGCTCTGGCGCCGCGCCGCGGTCTTGGGTGAGGGCTTGGGGCTGCCGCCGGACTCGTCGCTGTCCTCGTCGCCCATGGCCTTGATGTAGCTGCCGCTGCGCATGCGCCGGCACGGGATAGGGCCCTCGGCCGCGGCATCCGTCTCGCGTGGGGACAGCAGCGTGGTGCTCCACTCGCCGCCGCCGCCGGGCACCTGGGGATGGGGCACAGGACTCAGTGGGGCCACCGCAGAAAATGAGCAGATGGCGAGAACCCCCATCTCCGGGACCTGAAGCTCCCTCGTTCCCTGCAGAATTCGGGCTCACGTGCTGGGTTTCCCGCCTTTGAAACCTCGGGGCAGCAGAGCAGAGCCCTGGGCTGGGAGGAATACCGGGGTTCCAGAGCCTCTCCAGCCTGGGATTTCTCCATGGATCCCAGGCTGGGTTTGCCCCAGAAGCAATGCCCTAGGCCCTGTGGTCATGGTGGCCTCCACTGCAGCCATCTCTACTTAGCCCCACAGTCACTTCACGTGGACTCTCAGGGGATGCTTATGATCTCACTGCACAGATGAGAACACCAGGCCTGAGGGACGCAAGGCACTTGCAGAAAGAGGCCCCAGACCAGGATCCAGAGCCTGAGCCTAGAATGGGGGATCAGACGACCCTGGCACATCAGCATGAGGGGGGACGGGATCCCAGAGCCAATGGATATTCTTTGTCCCACAGGTGGGGAAACTGAGATACAGAGAGCAGAGGTGCTTCCCCGGGTCAGGTAGCCACATGGTGAGCTGGAAAAAGGGCTCAGTTTTCCCATCTGAACTTCAGGGACTCCGTCCGTGGAACGGGGCTGTGATAGGGCAGGTGAGGTCACAGCTGTGAGGGCAGCCCTGGTCCCCCAGTCTCCAGTGGTTATGGTGGCAGTAACCAACCGAGGGGACCTTCCCTGTCCTTCTGAGCCGGGCTCTGCTGGCTGCCCCAGGGCAGTGCACACAGGCTACATTCCTCGCCATTTCATTCACACTGTTACGGAAACACAATGGATGGTCACTGTGTGATGAAAAATGCACACATCTCAGCACTCACACACAGCCTGTGCACAGAGTGAACATGCCTCATCCTGTACACATATCTCAAAATGTACAGAACAAGCATATGCCCCATGCCCCTCAGTGAGTACCCCCAGTGTACCACACACCTCACCAAGGACACACACCAGCAGCCACTTTGTCACAGCAACCCCCCCCCACAAGTATGCAGCATATACACAGAGCACACCCACCTTCCCACTACCCTCCCTCTGGACATTCGCGCCAGCAACTACTGCACTGTGGACACACATCTCAACGTGTATCTACCTTGCACTGTCCCCGCCTCCACATGCACACAGCATACCCCTCACCAGACTGCACATGTCACCACAGATGTCCAAGCCCACTCATTCAGTGTACACAGCATTCCCACTCTCTATAGCATACACATGCACACTGCCCAAGGGCCATGTCTACACAGGTACTGCACCATTCTCCATGCCCTCTGTGTCAGAGGCCCACTTTCCACAAAGGGAAGGTAATGTCCAGGACTCCCACTCCAGCCCCACCCAGCCTTCCCATAAACCCTCAGCAGACTGCCCAGCCTAGGGCCAGTGCATTCTGCCTACAAGCCACTTGCTAGTCCAGCCCCACTATCCCCACTGTCCCTTGGGAACATGGCCTTGTACATCACTGCTCAGAAACTGTTGCTAAGCCACCCACTCACCTCCTGTCACCCAAGCAGGCAGCACAGACTCCAGGGCCCACAGGGCTACCCTCTCATGGTGTTTCTGCGGCATTGTTACATGATCAGACCCAACTATACCATTTTGAGAGGAAGCCCGGTCACACATCACCCTCCCTAATGCTTCTAAACCAAGGAAGCAGTTTCAGAACCACAAGAGCCCTAAATATATCACATACTGCCTGGATTTCAGTTTCCTCCTATTGAAAAAGAAAATAGTCTCACTGTTTCTGGAATTTCATATAAGATGATAAGAAGTCAGCGCTTTGTTAGACCCCGAAGATCATCTCGTTCAAAATGCATCTCATGGCTGGGTGCAGTGGCTCACGTCAGTAATCCCAGCACTTTGGGAGGCTGAGGCAGGTGCTCACCTGAGGTCAGGAATTCGAGACCAGCCTGGCCAACATGATAAAACCCCATCTCTACTAAAAACACAAAAATTGGTCAGTCTTGGTGGCTCGCACCTATAATCCCAGCTACTCAGGAGGCTGAGGCAGGAGAATCACTGGAACCCAGGAGGCGGAGGTTGCAGTGAGCCAGGATCCTGCCATTGCACTCCAGTCTGGGTGACAAGTGTGAAACTCCATCTCAAAAAAAAAAAAAATTGCTGGGTGCAGTGGCTCAGTCCTGTAATCCCTGCACTTTGGGAGGCCGAGGCAGACTGGAGGTTAGGAGTTCAAAACCAGTCTGGCCAACATGATAAAATCCCGTCTCTATTAAACATACAAAAAATTAACCAGGCATGGTGGCGGGTGCCTGTAATCCCAGCTACTCAGGAGGCTGAGGCAGGAGAATTGCTTGAACCCGGGGGGCGGAGGTTGCAGTGAGCCGAGATCGCGCCACTGCATTCCAGCCTGGGCAACAAGAGTGAAACTGAAACTCTGTCTAAAAAAAAAAAAAAGAAATACTCATCAGAGTTCCCAAGGGCTGGCCAGGCCCGCGCTTGCATTCCCCCTGAGATGAGGCACTCACTACCTGCAGAAGCAGCTCCTTCCACCTGAAATCTGCTTCCTGTAATTTCCACCCACAGCCTGGCTTTGCCCTGGGGAGCCATTCAGTTCATAGCCCCCTGCCCTACCCTTGAGAGCCACTTGGAAATGTGCAGCCACGGTGATGTCTCAGCCTTCTGCCACTTTCAAGCCATGTGGCCTTGGTGCACAGCAAGTGCCTGAATCAGTGTTGGCATTTGAAAGAAGAAAGCTATTCCCCCAAGCTGGGTTAGGACCCCCTGGGCCCCTGCAACTCTTGGTGCTGATCCCCATCACACTCTGCCGACACTGACATGACCGTCCATGTCTTTCCCAGTATTCTAATCTTTGGGACTGTGTCTTCTTTATTTCTGACTCTGTTCATTTAATTGTCCATCTGTCCATCTACCCCTCCCTCGCTCACATTTCCTGAGCACTTCCTGCATGCCAGATCCTGTCCTGGGCCTTGGGGACACATGGCTGCATCAGATGTGATCCCTGTCCTCAAAAAACTGTCAGTCTGATGGGGGTGGCAGGGAGAGGCTGGCAATTAGAATGTCATGCAATTGGTTCTGTGAGGGGGTTGGGATGGCACAGCTTCCAGATTTGTCTTCTAAAGGGCAGGAACATATTTTAGTCCCTGCTCAGGGCTGGGCTCAGAAAGGCCCTAATTAATCTCTGTTGAGAGCATGACCAGTGGAAGGACTCCCTGATTAGCAGGTACCACTAGGCCACCCATTTTATAGCTGAGCCACAGAGGCCCAGAATGAAGTGACTTTCCAAGTGAATCTGTGGTACGTCTAGGCCTCAAAACTGGTGCCGTCCCCAGAGCCCTCATCCCACCCCTGACCCTGCCAGAGACCCACCTGCAGGTAATGGTAGGCTAGACCCTGGTGGCAGGATTTGGACTTGAGCAGGCTCTTATCCAAGGTGGCTGAGGTCTTCTGGCAGACCTCGTGGGCGTGGCTGAGGGTCAGAGTGGACCAGGAGCCCCGTTTGACGTAGTTGGTGTCAGTGCCCACCCCAAGGCTGGGGCAGGTGGCTGGGGGTGCGGGCGGGGGTGGTGGGGCAGTCAGCTCAGTAGTGTTGTTCTTGGTGGTTTTGAGCATGTGCCCACTGATGGTGTTGTAGGCGTGCATGAAGTAGCGTGGCTGGCTGCGTTCTGCCTGGCGGCCTAGTGTCATCAGCCCAGAGGCTGGGCCACTGCTGCGGAAGGCGCCGGCCTCGCCGTCCAAGTTGTCATCGGAGCTCCACCAGCCTGAGATGTTGGAGCGGCTGCGCCGTTTGGGCTCCCCAGCCTTGGCCCGCTCCTTGCTTTTGGCCCTCCGGCCCTTGCCGTCCTCCATGCCACCCTTCTTGCTGCCATTGCCACCGACCTTGCCCGCTGTGCCCTCCAGTGAGGGTGCCTTGGTGAAGAAAAGCCGCTGGACTGAGTGGACCAGGTGGCGGATGCGGCCAGGGCTCTCACCACGGGCCTTGGCCTCGCCACGGGGAAATTGGAGGGTGCTGAAGCCATCACGGTGGATGGGCAGCTGCTTCTCAAACTGGTCCAGGAGGTTGGCGGGCAGCCGGTTGATCTTGGTGGCTTGGGCATGGCTGGGGAAGGGGCTCTCCTCTGGCACCTCGAAGTGGGAGTTGTAGTGGATGCGGGGAAAGGTGCTGCTGGGCGGGGGCAGCTGGTTGTTGAGGGGAAAGAGGCCATCTCCTGGCAGGGTGTTCTGCCCGGGGAAGCGGGCCTCGCGGGCGAAGGCCTCCGTGGGCGACAGCAGGTAGGGGTTGCGGTCGGTCCCTGCAAACAGGGGCTCGTGGGGTGGGTCTAGGCTGTCGGAGAGGTGGCGGGGGCGGCTGTCACCGAGGCCTTTCATGATCCCGGGCCGAGGGCAGGGGCCTTCACCCTAGCAGGGCGCCCGGGTCACCTCTCCCGGGCGGCAGCTATCCTAGGGAGAGAAGACAGAAAGCGGTCAGCTGGTCAGCTGGATTGTCGGGGAGGGGTGCCGGGAAGGTCAGATCCAGATCGCAAGGCTGGGAGGATCTCTGAAGCCAGTCCTCAATGTTGTGGGCCTGAGGACAGGAGTACACACCGAGGCCCACGTACTCTGTGTATAAATAAAAGTTACAACTCAAGCTACCGACTATCAGACAAGCACAACATCTTCCATTCTTCTAGCTTGAGGACTGTATCTTTAAAACAACCTGGAAAACCAGGCTCAGACTCAGAGTTCTGGGTCTCCTCTGAATTCCATGATGAAATATGGGTGGGGGGCTGCCCATCCTCCACTCTCTTTCCGTTTCTGACTCTGTCCCTCACCCCGAGGGTCCACATAGATGCAAATACCCCAGCCCACATCTCCTAGCTCTGTCCACAGGCCCCCAAACAGTCATCCCGGAACCCCAGGATGGTCCCTGTGGCAGGGTCCACCTCCCACGGGAGGACCCTGTGCTGGCCCTGGAGGCAGGCGTGGGTCATTTGGGCAGGGAATCCCAGGGTGCCCAGTATCCAGGGTGGTCTATGGGGGGATGCAGCCTGCTGGTGGGCATGTCCCCAGGGCTCCTGAACTCTCCTTGCCTTATGGGGAAAAACATGGACTTTTAGAGGGCCAGAGAGGTCTTTTTTTTTTTTTTTTTTTAGAGACAGAGTCTCACTCTGTTACCCAGGCTGGAGTGCAGTGGTGTGATCCTGGCTCACTGCAACCTCCGTCTCCCGGGTTCAAGTGATTCTCCTGCCTCAGCCTGCCGAGTAGCTGGGATTACAGATGCATGCCACCACACATGGCTAATTTTTGTATTTTTAGTAGAGACAGGGTTTCACTATGTTGGCCAGACTGGTCTCGAACTCCTGACCTCAAGTGATCCGCCCACCTTGGCCTTCCAAAGTACTGAGATTACAGGCATGAGCCACCATGCCTGGCCTTTTTTTTTTTTTTTTTTTTTTTTGCAACAAGGTCACAGACAGCTCACTGCAGCCTTGGCCTCCTGGGATCAAGGGATCCTCCAGCCTTGGTCTCCCAAAGTGCTGGGATTATAGCTGTGGGCCACTGTGCCTGCCTAGAGAGGCCTTCCAAAAAGAAGGACCTAGGGCAAGGGCCCATCTCATCCAGGTCTGAGGGCAGTACCGTCCAATTGTTTAACAGAGGAATTCCTATGTCAAATGGAAGCCCTCTGCAAAAACCTGCTCTGCCCTTCACCGAATGTCTACCAAGTATGACTGCTGGGCAGGTGCTGAGGGCTTCTGACACCAAAGAGGCCAACAAGCCCATAGGCCCATCATTTCCAATTGAGATGAAGCAAAGATGGCCTGGAATAGAGCTCTCAGAGTCAATAACAGGGGCACGTCCTCAGGACAAGCAAGGCAAGGGCTCACAAGAGGGTGGCATTTAGGTGCAGTTGCTGTGCCTCAGTTTCCCCTGTTGTAAAATGGGAACATCCTGGAAATACTAGTCCAAAACTTAGGTAAGTCCCTTCCTTTTCTGAGCCTGGGCCTCAATCTTCCTGTCTGCCATGGAGCAGAGAGGTTGGCGAGGTTTCTAAGCCCACCGGCCCTGTACGTGGGAGTACCAAGACTTGGTTTGGCCTGAGCCTGGTGTGCTGAGGATTGGCAAAGAGTCAGTGTGGCTGGAGCAGAGCAAGTGAGGACAAGGTTTGTGGAGGGAGGGCTCTCAGAGGGGCTGGGTCAGGTCACAGCACAAAGGCTCTGGCTGACATCAAGTATGGAGGGCAGAATAATGGCCCCCAAATATGCCCATGACCTTGTCAAAAGGAACTTGGCAGGTGTGGTTATTTTGCAAATGTGATTAAGGATCTTGAGATGGGGAGACTATCATGAATTATCTGGATAGGCTCAAGCTAATCACACGGTCCCTATAAGAAAGAGGCATGGGCTGGGCATGGTGGCTCACACCTGTAATCCCAGCACTTTTGGAGGCCAAGGCAGGTGGATCACTTGAGATCAGGAGTTTGAGACCACCCAGGCCAACACAGTGAAACCCCATCTCTACCAAAAAACAAAAAATTAGCTGGGTGTGGGGTGTGTGCTTGTAATGCCAGCTACTTGGGAGGCTGAGGCTTCTGGAGAATCACTTGAGCCCAGGAGGCAGAGTTCGCAGTGAGCTGAGATCGTGCCACTGCACTCCAGCCTGGGTGACAGAATAAGACTCTGTCTCAAAAAAAAAAAAAAAAAAAAAAAAGAAAAAAAGAAACAGGAATGGGCCAGCCATGGTTTCTCATATCTGTAATCCCAGCACTTTTGGAGGCCAAGGCAGGGCAGATCACTTGAGGTCAGGAGTTTGAGACCAGCCTGGCCAACGTAGTGAAACCCCATCTCTACTAAAAATACAAAAATTACTGGGTGTGATGGCGTGCGCCTATAATCCCAGCTACTTGGGAGGCTGAGGCAGGAAAATCACTTGAACCTGGAGGTGGAGGTTGCAGTGAGCCGAGATTGTGCCACTGCACTCCAGCCTGGGCAACAGAGTGAGACTCTGTCTCAAAAATAAATACATAAATAAATAAATAAACAGGCAGGAAGGTCAGAGTCAGAGGAGATGTGCCAACAGAAGCAGAGATCAGAGTGATGTGGAGACATGAGCCAAGGAATGCAGGCAGCCTTCAGAAGCTGGCAGAGATGGCTGGGCATGGTGGCTTACGCCTGTAATCCCAGCACTTTGGGAGGCCAAGGCAGGAGGATTGCTTGAGGCCAGGAGTTTGAGACCAGCCTGGGCAACAAAGTGGGACTGTGTCTCAAAAAAAGAGATGAATTCTCCCCTAGAGCCTCCAGAGAGAATGTAGCTCTGCAATCCGTTTTAGACTCTGACCTCTAGAACATCCTATGAGACAAAGTGCGCCAGTCTGGGAACCAGACAGCACAAAGCCACACGGAACCAGGACTGGAACCCAGGTCTTCTTGACTCTTAACGCAGGCCCCACCCAGCCCACTGGCCCTGCTGAACTGGAGGATGTGCAAAGAAAGGGG
Organism: Homo sapiens; assembly: GCF_000001405.40. Lineage (NCBI taxonomy): Eukaryota > Metazoa > Chordata > Mammalia > Primates > Hominidae > Homo > Homo sapiens. The sequence goes on along the minus strand of NC_000020.11, from coordinate 36,428,613 downwards.
ACAGTGTGGGGGCTGGATCCACCAGCTGAGGGGCAGAGGGTGGGGAGGATGGGACGGTACCAGGTGGCCTCAGCAAAGAGTGGATGTCCATCTGGCCCAGCATGGCCCAGCTTCCACCAGCTTCTCCAACCTTGTTCCCATCTCTTACTGTCCACCTGCCAGCCAAGCTCACACCCTTCAGGATTTCTTCATAGCTCTCACTGCTCTGGGAAACTCTCATGTGTTTACTTGTTTGCTAGTTTCTTGTCCATCTTCCCCTAGATCTGAGCTGTCCAATATGGTAGCCACTGGGCCACAGAGCACTTGACATGCAGCTAGTGCGACTGGGAAACTGAATTTTTAATTTTTTAAAAAGTTTAATTAATTTAATTTAAATAGCACATGTGGCAAGTGGCTACCAGGTTGACAGTATAGTCCTAGAGGTTCAACCCTCCTCTTGCAAGGTGCCTCCCTCCCTCACCCCTGCTAAAGCTGGGTTCAGCACACTTTCTTATTCTAACACCTTTTCCACCTTTTTGAGTTGGACGTTTAGTTCATTTGTTTTCTGATCTCCTTATACTCTAATAAATGTGTCACAGAAAAGCTATATATTTTCCCCTGAGTATCTATTAGCTGCATATTATGGATTGTATTTTTCCAGTTTTTTTTCCCTTTTTTATTTTTATTTTTTGACACGGAGTCTTGCTCTTGTCGCCCAGGCTGGAGTGCAATGGGGTGGTCTCAGCTCACTGCAACCTCTGCCTCCTGGGTTCCAGCGATTCTCGTGCCTCAGCCTAACTAGTAGCCGGGATTATAGGCACGCACCACCACGCCCAGCTAATTTTTGTATTTTTAGTAGAGACAGGTTTTCACCATGTTGACCAGGCTGGTCTCGAACTCCTGACCTTCTGTGATCCACCCACCTTGGCCTCCCAAAATGCTGGGATTACAGGCGTGAGCCACTGCACCCAGCCTTTTTTCCTTTTTTAAAAAAAAACTGAGGAGAAATTAATGTAACATAAAATTAGTCATTTTAAAGTGTACAATTTAGTGACATTTAGTAACAATGCTGTGTAATCACTACCTCCATCTAGTTCCGAAATATTTCCTTCCTTCCTTCCTTCCTTCCTTCCCTCCCTCCCTCCCACTTCTTTCTTTTGATGGACTCTCACTCTGTCACCCAGGTTGGAGTGCAATGGTGTGGTCTCAGCTCACTGCAACCTCTGCCTCCCAGGTTCAACCGATTCTCCTGCCTCAACCTCCTGAGTAGCTGGGACTACAGGTGCATGCCACCACATCCGGCTAATTTTTGTAATTTTTAGTACAGATGGGGTTTCACTATGTTGGCCAGGCTGGTCTCTAACTCCTGACTTCATGATCCGCCTGCCTCGGCCTCCCAAAGTGTTGAGATTACAGGCATGAGCCATTGCACCCAGCCTCTTTCTTTCTTTTGAGACAGGGTCTCGCTCTGTTGCCGAGGCTGGAGTGCAGTGGTGTGATCATAGCTCACCGCAGCTTTGATCTCCTGGGCTCAAATGTCCTCCCACATCAGCTTCTTGAGTAGCTGAGACTATAGGTACATGCCCAGCTAATTAGAAAAAACATTTTTTTTTTTTTTGGTACAGACAGGAGTCTCATTATGTTGCCCAAGCTGGTCTGGAACTCCTGGGCTCAAGCAATACTCCTGCCTCAGCCTCCCACAATGTTGGGATTACAGGCATGAGCCACCACACCCAGCCCTGAAACATTTTCATAACCCCAAAAGCAAACCGCATCCCCAATAAGCAGTCATTCCCTATTTTCCCCTTTTCCCAGCTTCTGACAACCACGTCCATAGATACTTTCCGTGTCTATGAATTTTCCTATTTCCCGTAGGTATTACTTTTATTGTAGCAAAATACATGTAACATAAAATTTGCCATTTTAACCATCTTTAAGCGTGCAATTCAGTGGGGCATTATGGACACTCACAATGTTGTGTAACCACCACTATGATCTATTTCCAAAACCATTCCATCACCCCAAACAGAAACTCTGTACCCATTAAGCAAAAACTTCTTTTCTCCTCCTTCTCCTAGCCCCTGGTAATTTCTTTTATTCATTTTTTTTTTTGAGACAGAGTCTGAGAGTCTCGCTCTGTCACCCAGGCTGGAGTGCGGTGGTGCGATCTCGGCTCACTGCAACCTCTGCCTCCTGGGTTCAAGCGATTCTCGTGCCTCAGCCTCCCAAGTAGCTGGGATTAGAGGCGCATGCCACCATGCCCAGCTAATTTTTGTATTTTTAGTGGAGAACGGGTTTCACCATGTTGGCCAGGCTGGTCTTGAACTCTTGACTTCAAGTGAAATGCCTGCCTTGGCCTCCCAAAGTGCTGGGATTACAGATGTGAGCCCTATGCCTGGCGGCCCCTAGTAATATTTAACCTACTTTCTGTCTCTCTGAATTTGCCTATGCTAAATATTCTCAATATGTGGAATCATATAACATTTGTTATTTTGTGTCTGACCTATTTCACGTAGCATAATGTTTGTTTTCTAAGTTCACCCATGTTGTAGCATGGGTCAGAACTTCATTCCGTTTTATGGCTGCATCATATTCCATCCTGCATATATAGTACATTTTGTTTAATCCATTCATCTTTGGATGGACACCTGGGTTGTTTCTACCTTTTGGCTATTGTGAATAATATTGCTACAAACAATGGTGTCCAAGTATCTGTTTGAGTCTCTGTTTTCAATTGTTTTGGGTTAATATCCAAGTGGAATTGCTGGATCATACAGTAATTCTATGTTTAACTTTTGTTTTGTTTTGTTTTTGAGATGGAGTCTTGCTCTTGTCGCCCAGGCTGGAGTGCAATGGCATGATCTTGGCTCACTGCAACCTCCGCCTCCTGGGTTCAAGTGATTCTCCTGCCTCAGCAACCCGAGTAGCTGGGATTACAGGTGCCCGCCACTGCACCTGGCTATGTTTTGTATTTTTAGTAGAGACGGGGTTTCACCATTTGGCCAGGCTGTTCTTGAACTCCTGACCTTGTGATCCACCCGCCTTGGCCTCCAAAAGTGCTGGGATTACAGGCGAGCCACCACGCCCAGCCCCTATGTTTAACTTTTTGCGGAACCACCAAACTGTTTTCCATAGCAGCTGCACCATATGACGTTCCCACCAGCAATATACAGGGGTTCCAGTTTTCCCAGATCTTGCCAGAACTTATTTCCTTTTTAAAAAAATTATAGTCATCCTAGTAGGTGTGAACTGGTATCTCCCTGTGGCTTTGATTTGCATTTTCCTGATGACTAATGATGTTGAGCATCTTTCCATGTGCTTATTGGCTGTCTGTATATCTTCTTGGGAGAAATGTCTATTTAAGTCCTTTGCCCATTTTATAATTGGGTTGTTTGTCATTTTTGTTGTTAAGCTCTAGGAATTCTTTGTATATATTCTAGATATTGAACCCTTAGCAGATATATGGTTTGTAAATATTTTCTCCCATTCTGTCTTTGTGGGGTTTTGGTAGTATTTTTCTCCTCTTCCAGGACTGACCACTTACTCGCTCTTTCCTTCCCCATTAGCACTGATGGCTTCCCTTCCCCCCAGCATCCCCTGGCCTGTGAGCACCATAAAGAAAAGGAGTGTAAGGCTGGGCATGGTGGCTCACGCCTGGATTACTTGAGGTCAGGAATTTGAGACCACCCTGCCCAATATGGCGAAACCCCATCTCTACTAAAAATACAACAATTAGCCAGACGTGGTGGCTTGAGCCTATAATCCCAGCCACTTGGGAGGCAGAGGCAGGAGAATCACTTCAATCTGAAAGGCAGAGGTTGCAGTGAGCTGAGATTGTGCCACTGCACTCCAGACTGAGTGACAGAGCAAGACTCTGTCTCAAAAAAAAAAAAAAACAAACAAAACAAACAAAAAAACAGGAGTCCATGTGCCCGTAACTTTCCTGAGAGCAGGGGCTGGTTCTCATCTGGGGTCAGAGGAATGAGAACGGCTCTGGAGATGGATGTGCAGTGGATGCTGTGATGGCCACCCAGGACCCCCCTGCACAGAGGCACTCACAACCCCAGCTGCCAAGAGCATTGGCTGCTGACAATTCACAGCCAAGTTCCCGCTAGGAGCTGCTCTCAGCCAAAGGGAGATGCCTCACCCAAGATGCCAGACTTGGATCTCTAACTGCCTCCTTGACATCTTGCCCTGGAAGTCTGACAGGTCCAAGATACAGAACTCATTCTCCCACCCACCCTGACCTGCTCCACCCATAGTCTGTCCTTATGCTCCTTCCCAGGGGCACCCTGCATCCAATAACTGGTCAATGTTTGGGTACCAAGGTGTGGCTCCCTTGCCCCAATTCAGAACAACCCTAAAGGGCCATCCCAGTTCCAGAGCTCCCTATGGGATTCGCTGAGGCCTCTGTTGTGCTGTATTGAGGTTCACCTCTTCCCTCTGCCCAATCCTGTCCCCTTCACCTGTCACAGATGTTCCGAACTGATTTCCCAGGAAACTTCTCATGCAAACCTGAGTCTGTTTCCTGGGGAAGCTGACCTGAGATAGGACGGAACTGGATTCTACTTCTTCCCCTCCTCACTGCAGGACACTTGGTGATTCAGTCATTCCCCCTGAGCCTCGGTTTCCTCTTCTGTAACATGGGGATAATGATCCGTTTTCGGTTTTTTTTTAGACCGAGTCTCATTCTGTCACTCGGGCTGGAGTGCAGCGGCATGATCTCGGCTCACTGCAACCTCTGCCTCCCGGGTTCAAGCAATTCTCCCGCCTCAGCCTCCCGAGTAGCTGGGATTACAGGTGAGCGCCACCGTGCCCAGCTACATTTTGTATTTTTGGTAGAGACAGTTTCCCCATGTTGGCCAGGCTGGTCTCGAACTCCTGACCTCAGATGATCCACCCGCCTCGGCCTCCCAAAGTGCTGGGATTACTGGCCATGATCCTTACTTTTAAAAATTATAATAAGGTTGAACTGTGATGTCATATAGAAAGCCTCGCATTTCGATGCCCAATCAGTATCAGTCACACTCTGTTCCCCTCCTCACCTCACTATACTGTGCTTCTTGGGGACAGGCCAAAGCTTCCAGGTGAGGAATGCTGCACGGCATGGTGGAAACTGCATGTAGTTGGACCTGTATTCAAATACTGTCCTTTTTTTTTTTTTTTTTTTTTTTTTTTTGAGACGGAGTCTTGCTCTGTCACCCAGGCTGGAGTTCAGTAGTGTGATCTTGGCTCACTGCAACCTCTGCCCCCCGAGTTCAAGGAATTCTCCTGCCTCAGCCTCCTCAATAGCTGGGATTACAGTTGCCTGCCACCACGCCTGGCTAATTTTTGTACTTTTGGTAGAGACGGGGTTTCACCATTGGCCAGGTCTCGAACTCCTGAGCTCAAGTGATCCGCCCGCCTCAGCCTCCCAAAATGCTGGGATTACAGGCATGAGCCACCATGCCAGACCCCTTGGATTTAAATTCTAAACCTGCTATTTATTTGCTGTGACCTCGTACTGGTCCTTTCCCCCTTCTGTGCCTCAGTTTCCTCCTCTAGGCAATGGGGGGCTTGAATGAGGACGGTCTGAGCATCTGGTCACCCTGACTCCTCTGAGCTCCCTTGATCAGGGTTCCTGGCCCAGTGGGTGACAGGCCCTCAGCCACCCAACACCTAGGGTGGCAGGATCCTCACCTTAGGGAGGTCTTAAAATAGGCAGGCCTTGCCCTTGCAGGGGGAAGCAGCTGGCTGCCTCGAGCTGCCTTTTTCAATGAGCTATACTTAGGCCCACCCGGGTGCCCATAATTACTGCTCATTAATATAAGCATCATTGCCCTTATGGAAACGTGGAGGGCCCAGCAAAGCTGCTGCCTCCCTGGGAACCTCCCTGCTCCATGGTGCCTCTGTGTCTGCAGCCGCCACCCCCACATGCCAGAGTGAGACCTCCCTGCCCTACCTCATCTCATCGTGGTGCCAGAGTGGGCCTGTGAGCATGGGAGAGCTAATTAGGGACAAGGCCAGGAACAGAACCTAGCATGGCTCTTCCTGACACAAAACTCACCTGACTGCATCATTCCCTTAAGCCAGAACCTTCTGTGAATCCTTCTTCCCACCTCAGTCCAAACTGCTTGGTGTGGCAATCAAGACCCTCACTGATCTAACCATAAACCTTTTCAGATATTACCAATCCCATTTCCTTTCTTGACGGCCCTTCCCTTTAACCAGCCTGGATCCCTTACAATTCCCCACTCATATCTTGTATATTTGTTACTACCAGAAAGCCTACTTCTGTCTAAGGTTGCATTAACAGAGGTAGAGAGTCTAAGTGAAGGGAGGGGTGGTCCTGCTCAATGCTGAGTTAGATGATGAAGGCTTAGAAATGAAGTGAGGTGGAATGGCCGAACATTCTGGGGGTGTACATAGCAGTCCATGGAGGACACATTCTCTGCCTTAGACCTCTGAAGGGACGATGTGTGGAAGGGGAAGGATGGATTCTGTGGGGGCCTCCAGGGCCTTGCTGCTGCCTGGGGTGGGGTGAAGGTAGAGAGTGGCTGGCTGTGTTGCGCCATGGCTGTGTCTTTGGGCACCCTTCCCGTGCTCAACCCACATCTCTCATACCTGCTCCGGCTCTTGCTGGCTTCTCTCCTCTGACGTCTAAATGCTAGAGGACCCGGGTGCTCTCCGCCTTGCTCTAACACACCCTCTCCTCTGCTGATCTCATCCTGACGCATGGCCTTAAACACCACCTATCTGACAACTCCTGAATTTACATCTTCCGCCCAATCTGTCTCTCAGACGCCAGACTCAGATCTCTAACTGCCTCCTTGACATCTTGCCCTGGATGTCTGACAGGTCCAAGATAGAACACGGGATCTCTCACCCGCCCCGACCTGCTCCGCCCACAGTCTGCCCCGATTCTACTCATGACAACATCATCCTCCTGCTTGTTCAGGTCAGAAACCGGGAAGTACCCTTGACTCCTCTTTCACTACCCCAGCATCCCATTCAGCAGCACAAACTGTAAAAACAAGTCTCCCTTCCACATATCCCCAGAGTTCCTCCACCTACCACCTCCACAGCCCTGCCCCAGGCCGAGTCCCCACTATCTCTCACTCAGATGACTGCTGTTCAGATCCTTTCAAAGACTCCCATGGCCCTTGGACTAAAACCTATTCTCTCTTTTTTTTTTTTTTTGAGACAGTCTCACTCTGTCACCCAGACCATAGTACAGTTGTGCGATCTCGGCTCACTGCAACCTCTGCTTCCCAGGTTCAAGCGATTCTCCTGCCTCAGCCTCCCAAACAGCTGGGATTAAAGGCACACGTCACCACGCCCAGCCAATTTTTTTGTATTCTTAGCAGACACGGGGGTTCACCATGTTGGCCAGGCTGATCTCCAACTCCTGACTTCAAGTGATCTCCCTGCCTCGGCCTCCCAAAGTGCTGGGATTATAGGCATGAGCCACCGCGCCCGGCCCCTAGTCTTCTTTATTAGTATTATTTTTTGAAATAGGGTCTTGCTGTGTTTTTTGCCCAGGCTGGAGTGCAGTGGCATGTTCATAGCTCACTGCAGCCTTGACCTCCTGGGCTCAAGAGATCCTCCGGTCTCAGCTTCCTGGGTAGCTGGGACTATAGCTGTGCACCACAGGCACGGCTACTAATTTTTTTTTTTTCTTGAGACAGAGTTTTCGCTCTTGTTGCCCAAGCTGGAGTGCAATGGCACAATCTTGGCTCACTGAAACCTCCGCCTCCCAGGTTCAAGCGATTCTCCTGCCTCAGCCTCCAGAGTAGCTGGGATTACAGGCATGCGCCACCACGCCTGGCTAATTTTGAATTTTTAGTAGAGACTGGGTTTCTCCATGTTGGTTTGGCTGGGCTTGAACTCCCGACCTCAGGTGATCCGCCCGCCTCGGCCTCCCAAAGTGCTAGGATTACAGGTGTGAGCTACCACACCCAGCCTAATTTTTGTGTTTTTTATAGAGACAAGGTTTCCCCATGTTGCCCAGGCCAGTCCTGAACTCCTGGGCTCAGGTGATCCGCCCACCTTAGCCTCTCAAAGTGCTGGGATTACAGGTGTGGGTCACTGCGCCTGGCCAAAAACCAGTCTTCTTCTGGCTTTCCCGACCTCATTTCCTGCCCCTCTTCCCTTGGGTCTTCATTCTGTCCTTGGGACATGGATGGTTTGCTCCTGCTTTTGCCCTACCTGATCCAGCTGCCTGGAGTGCTCTTCCCTCCTGTGTCCACACAATGCCCCCTCACTTCATTCAGGACTTGGCTCACAGGCTACATCCACTGAGAGGCGATCCCTGACCACACTGTCCAAAGCAGCTCCTCGTCTGCCAGCCCCTCTCTGCTCTGATGTATGCCCGAAGCAGCCTGGAACAGCAAGTACAGACTGTGTCTCTGCCACCACTGCGTCTCCAGCATCCAGCACGGGGCTTGGATATAGTAGGTGTTCATGAAGATTGTGTTGAATGAAAGAGTGGTGGAAGGCCTTGGGGACGCCAAGAAATGATCCAGAAAGTGAGGCAGCTACAGGGTAGTTAAGTTTTCCACTCAAGCCAATCAGGCTAGTGGGGAGAGCTGTGTGTGATCCTTTATTGAGTGCTTATTGTATACCAGGTGCTTCACATTATGTGAGCTCATTTAATCCTCACTACAACTCCTCCTGCTGGGAATATTGCATCCACCATGGCAGCCAGCCTCCAAGATACACCCCGGTGGTCCCCACCTCCTGAAGTCCCATCCTTGTGTACACCCCTCTCCCTTAACATGTGCAGGGTTGACCGGTGTCACCAATAGGATATTGTGGAGATGACCAAGTGTGACCTCTGAGGCTAGGTCAGGAAAGACACTGCAGCTTCTGCTTTGCTCCCTTGGAGAAGTTAGCCGCCATGTTGTGAGGACACTCAAGTAGTCCTAAGGAGAGGGCCATGTGGAAGGAACTGAGGCCTCCTGCCAACAGCCAGCACTAACTTGCCAACCCTGTGGGTGAACCACCTTGGAAGGGGATCCTGCAGCCCCAGTTAGGACTTCGGATGGCAGTAGCCCCTGAAGTAGGACTTCAGATGGCAGTAGCTGACAACTTGACTGCATCTCATGAAAGACCCTGAGCCATTACCCGATTCCTGACCCCTAGAAGCTCTGTGAGATGATACATATTTATTGCTGGAAACCATGGCCAAGTTTTGGGGTGATTTACTATGCAGAAATAGGTCACTGAGGGCCAAGTACAGTGGCTCACACCTATAATCCCAGCACTTTGGGCTGAGCAGGAAGATCACTTGAGGCCAGGAGTTCAAAACCAGCCTGGGCAACATAACGAGGACCCCATCTCTACAAAAAATAAAGCATGAGAAAATTAGCTGGGTATGGTGGCACGCAGCTGTAGTCCCAGCTGTTCAGGAGGCTGAGATGAGAGGATTGCTTGAGTCAAGGAGGTCGAGACTACAGTGAGCCATGATTTTGCCACTGCACTCCAGTCTAGGTGACAAGAGTAAGACCCTATCTCAAAAAAAAGAAAAAAAAAAGAAAGAAAGAAATAGGTCACGAATCTACCCATGTTAGAGGAGAAGCAGCAGCTCAATGGCTGAAGTCACCTCTCTAGGCCCCACATCCAGAAGGGGGTGGCGCTGGGTATGAATCCGAGCCTGATCCTTGAGCCCACATCCCATGGCCCTGCCCACCAGGCTGAGTTGAGATTCCGGGATTCCTTCCATCTAAGACAGCTCCATAATCCTGATGCATTCAAGGTCTGAATTGTTTCCAGCCTAAGTCCGTGTCCATAGCAACTGTCTGAAAAGCATGATATTCAACTAGTTGTTTGGTCAACAAGATAGCAGGCCATGGCTGCTGGGGACGTGTGACTGACACTGCTCCCACCTCGGGTCCCTCCTCCACTTGAAGACAACCATGAGAAGTGAATTCCCAGGCCCATCCTGACAGTGAACTCTGAACACAGGGCCCAGGATGTGGATGTCACAGCTCCTCAGGGGGTGGGGGCTCGGTAGGGACAGGGCTGCTTACTTGGCCTCTCTGTGACCCCACCCCCATTGAAACCTGCCTGGCTTCAGCAGAGACTCTGTGGGTCACAGGGGCTCCATACGCAGCACTCATCTTTGTGTGGTAGACACTGAAAAGATAAGAAAACACAGACCTAAGAACTGAAGTCTTCTAGACTCTCAGAACAAAGGGACTACAGAGATGGAACCAAGGTTGTCCTTCAAAAACCCCAAATGGGCCAGGCACGGTGGCTCACACCTGTAATCCCAGCACTTTGGGAGGCCGAGGTGGGTGAATCACTTGAGGTCAGGAATTCGAGACTAGCCTGGCCAACATGGTGAAACTCTGTCTCTACTAAAAATAAAAAATTAGCCAGGTGTGGCAGTGAGCGCCTGTAATCCCAGCTACTTGGGAGGCTGAGGCAGGACAATTGCTGGAACCCGGGAGGCAGAGGTTACAGTGAGCCAAGATCGCGCCATTGTACTCCAGCCTGGACGGCAAGAGCGAGACTCCCTCTGAAACATACACACACACATATGCGCGCACACACACACAACCAAATGAGGCCGGGCGCGGTGGCTCACGCCTATAATCCCAGCACTTTGGGAGGCCGAGGTGGGTGGATCACCTAAGGTCAGGAGTTTGAGGCTAGCCTGGCCAACATGGTGAAACTCTGTCTCTAATAAAAATACAAAAATTAGCTGGGCATGGTGGCGAGCACCTGTAATCCCAGCTGCTCGGGAGGCTGAGGCAGGAGAATCGCTTGAACTTGGGAGGTGGAGGTTTCAGTGAGCTGAGATTGTGCCACTGCATTCCAACCTGGGTGACAACAGCAAAACCCCATCTCAAACAACAACAACAACAAAAAAAAAAAACCAAAAAAACCCACCAAACCTCAAATGGGATCGCTTCACCCAGTACCCCTAAAATGCTTCCAGGTCTACCCTCAGGCAGAACTCGTCTCAGGCCGGGCACGGAGACTCATGCTTATAATCCCAGCACTTTGGGAGGCCAAGGTGGGAGGATCACTTGAGCCCAGCAGTTTGAGACCTGTCTGGGCAGCATAGTGAGACCCTGTCGCTCCAAAACATTAAAAAAATTTGGCCAGGTGTAGCCGTGTACACCTGTAGTCCTAGTGACTTGGGAGGCTGTGACGGGAAGATTGCTTGAGCCTGGGAGGTTGAGGCTTCAGTGAGCCGTGATTGTGCCACTATACTCCAGACTGGGCAACAGAGTGAGACCCTAACTCAGAAAAAACAAAAACAAAAACAAAAACAAAAACAAAACTCAAACTCCAGCCTGCTCAGCCCACCAAAGCCATGCCAGTCTCCTCCTTAGTTACTTCCCCAGCGCTCCCAGCTCTTGCCTGCCATGGGGCCTTTGCCCATGCTGTTCCATCCACCCCTCAACACTTCACATACTCGGCTGCCTCTATTGATTTAGATCCCTGATTAAACGTCACCTCCTCAGAGGCCACCCCAGACCCCTGTGTCTAGAAGTCACCTCCCTCCCACTGCGTTCTCTCAACACCCCTCCTGATTGTTTTCCAAACCTGACCAGGGTCTCTGATTATCCTGCTTGGCTCCTCACATACTTGATTAGTGCCTCCCGCGCTCTGTGAGCTCCAAGAGGGGAGGGACCGCACCTGTTTCATTTTCCACTCTATCCCTGGTGCTAAGCGTAGAGTTGGCACCTAGTAGGTGCACAATCAACACTTGTTCAATGAATGAGGTAGTCAGACAGAGCCTCAAAGGGAGGGGAGCTGGAGAGCTGCAGCTGCCCGATGGGAGAGAAGGGAGTTGATGGATAGGCCTCTCCACACCTCTTTTTTGCTTCTTCTCCATGTCTGAATCCCACACAGGCTAGGCTGGCGTTTCTGTTCCTGAGAACATTCCTTAAAACACCCTATCCTTAGCCAAGCCTTTCCCTGCTTAAAATCCTTGAAGCTCAGAGAAGACACACCCTGCTCCAAGAAATCTTCCCTGACCTTAAAAGTCGGGGGTAAGGCCTCCTCTGGGTTCCCCATGATGGGAGCTCCCACCTGAGGAGTCACAGATTAACCTAAGTGTCCCTCTGAGCCAGAAGCAACGACTCTGTACAGAGCTGGCCCTCTATACATGGTGGTGCATGGAGAGGGCGACAGACATCCTGGTTCGCCCGGGTTCCACCAACTGTCCTGGAGTCCCCGATGGTTAGTGCTGTTTCATTCTCAAAAATGTCATGGTTTAGGCCGGGTGCGTGGCTCACGCCTGTAATCCCAGTACTTTGGGAGGCCAAGGCAGGTGGGTCTCTTGAGGTCAGGAGTTCGAGACCAGCCTAGCCAACATGGTGAAACCCTGTCTATACTAAAAATACAAAAATTAGTCAGGTACAGTGGCATATGCCTGTAATCCCAGCTAGTTGGGAGGCTGAGGCAGGAGAATCGCTTGAACCCGGGAGGTGGAGGTTGCAGTGAGCCAAGATCATGCCACTGCACTCCAGCCTGGGCGACAAAGCAAGACTCCATCTCCGAATAAATAAGTAAGTAAATAAATAAATAAGTCATGGCTTAGATAATGAATTATACGCTCATCCCAAGCATAAAGGACCATGGGGACATACAGCAAAGGAAGACAGGTCTGTGGCTGACATAAAGCATATGAGTCTGGTCTGAGCTTCTTCCCTGGACTCCCAAGCCAAGACCCCTTCAACCCCTGGGGAATCAGGTTCCCCCATCCTCACCTAGGAAAAGTCTGAGTTGAGGGGATGAGAGGGTGATCCTGATGATGATCATGGCTGGCCCCTCCCCTCCATCTCCAGGCCTCACCTGGGGACCACCACTTGAGATTCCAGGCTTCAGTGCCACTCCCTCTGCTGGCCCCAGGGGAGGTTGAGTAGGAGCCTGCCCCTGGAGATAGTGTATGTGTGTGTATGGCGTGGAGGCTGGGAATGTGGCTCTGGAGCCAGCCTTCTTGAGTTTGAATCCTGGTGCCAACATTTACTTGCTGTGTGACCTTGAGCCACTTACCTAACCTCCCTGAGCCCCAGTGTCCTCAAAGGGTTGTTGGGAGAGATCAACGAGGTAACACAGACAGATGGTTCTCAGCACAGAGGCTGGCATACAGCAAATACGCAAGTATTGCTGTTACTATCCCTAACAATGAGTCCCACCTACACAAGGAGGTCAGGGTGCTAGAGGAAGGATGGGCTCTAGAGCCAGACAGGGCCGGGCACTGTCTCTATTTAGCCATCTAGAAGTTCAGAGAGGGACTGAGATTTGGCCTAGTCACACAACATATTGGTGGCAGCTGCAATTTGTACCCAGACCTCTGGACTCCTAGGCCAGCGCTCTCTGGACGTTTTCGTTTGTTTTGTTTCTGTTTTTGTTTTGTTTTGTTTTCTTTTGAGACAGAGTCTCACTCTGTCACCCAGGTTGGAGTGCAGTGGCACAACCTTGGCTCACTGCAACCTCCACCTCCAGGTTCAAGCGATTTTCATGCCTCAGCCTCCTGAGTAGCTGGGATTACAGGCATGTGCCATCATGCCTGGCTAATTTTTGTATTTTTAGTAGAGACGGGGTTTCACCATGTTGGTCAGGCTGGTCTCAAACTCCTGGCCTCAGGTGATCCACCTGCCTTGGCCTCTCAAAGTGCTGGTATTACAGGAATGAGCCACTGTGCCCAGCCCTCTCTGGAGGTTTTGAACCAACAAAGGTTGGGTATGTTCTGGGCTGTGAGCTCTTTCTGCATGGCCCTCATCCCTCCTTGCATTCCCAGAGCACAACTCTCTAGACTTGCTCTATACATATGATTAAACTTAAATAGAATTAAATTTAAAATTTCAGTTGCATTTGCCATATTTCAAGTGCCCAGTGGCCACAAATGGCTAGTGGCCATTTCCCATGAGGCTTACATGGAACTGGAGGGGGACAGGAACAGGGCCTCTGCCCCCTGGAGCCCCCATGGAATACTCTCTAAAGCCTGTGAGTTGTGGAATGTCACCCAGCACCAAACCTCTCATGTCTGATCCAACTCTCTCACGCTCCACTTTGCTAACTGGGCTCAAGCAGGGGCTGACACTTGCCCAAGGTCACACAGCAGGTGGAGGGCTCAGTTCTCCTGATCCTGAGCTTTCTGCACACTCAGGCTGGAGAATCAGCAGCCTGGCCATGCTTGGAGAAGTGCTAGTCAACAGAAACAACTTTTTGCTGATGAATAAATACCAAAAACCACCCTGGTATGGACATTCCTGGGGCCTTGCAGAAGAGCTGGTGGGGGACAGCTGGCCACAGCTGCAGGGCGGGCACCGATCAGCCCTAGAGATGGCTCTCCAGGTCACCACTGGGACAACTATAGGGCTGGGAAGGGGGACGACGCAGGCACTCATCTTTCCGCCTTCCCATTCCAGCAGGGTCTGGATGGACCAGGATCACCCCCTTGGCTGCTGTTTTCAAGCAGGGTTTGTTGTTGTGCTTGTGGGGGCTGGGACCCCAGTCCTGGCTAACTCACCTTGTGACCTCAGGCAAGTCACCTTTTTCATCTCAGTTTTCTTCATTTGAAACTGGAGATGATTATCCCAACGGTGTGGGGCTCTTGTGAGGGGCAAACGGGACCAGCTGGATAGGAAAGAGCTTGTAAACCAGGCATCCTTAAAGGGGGAAGAGAACAGGTCTGGACCCTATTTGACCTGGGTATAAATCTCACTCTACTTCTTCCCCATGGTGTGACCCTATGCATGTCAGCTGGCCTCTCTGAGCCTTGGTTTCTTAACATGGGAAGCATGTATCAGACACTTCACTTGCCATACAATGGAATATTATTCTGCCATAAGAAGGAATGAAGTTCTGATCCATGTCTCAGCAGGAATGAACCTCAAAAACATGCTCAGTGAAAGAAGCCAGAGGCAAAGGCCACCTAAGGTAGGACTCCCTTTATATGAAATGTCCAGAATAGGCCGGGCGCGGTGGCTTATGCCTGTAATTCCAGCATTTTGGGAGATCGAGGAGGGTGGATCACGAGGTCAGGAGCTCAAGACCATCCTGGTTAACATGGTGAAACCCCACCTCTACTAAAAAAAAAAACAAAAAATTAGCTGGGCCTGGTGGCACACACCTGTAGTCCAGCTACTTGGGAGGCTGAGGCAGAAGAATCGCTTGACCCAGGAGGCGGAGGTTGCAGTGAGCTGAGATCATGCCACTGCACTCCAGCCTGGGCGACAGAGTGAGACTCCATCTCAAAAAAAAAAAAAAAAAAAAAAGTCCAGAACAAGCAAATCAACAGGAACAAAAAGTGGATTAGTAATTGCCAGAGGCTAGGGAGGACAGAGGAATGGGGAGTGACTACTTAATGGGTACAAGGTCTCTGTTAGGGGTGATGAAAGAGTTCTGGAATAAGGCCGGGCACGGTGGCTCATGCCTGTAATCCCAACACTTTGGGAGCCCGAGGTGGGTGGATCATCTGAGGTGGGGAGTTCGAGACCATCCTGGCCAACATGGTGAAACTGTCTCTACTAAAAATACAAAAAATAGCCAGGTGTGGTGGCACACGCCTGTAACCCCAGCTACTCAGAAGGCTGAGGCACAAGAATCGCTTAAACCCAGGAGGCGGAGGTTGCAGTGAGCCAAGATCGCAACACTGTACTCCAGCCTGGGTGACAGAGTGAGACTCTGTTCCAAAAAAAAAAAAAAAAAAGAAAAGAGTTCTGGAATAAACAGTGGTGATGGCTGTACAACACTGTGAATATACTTCATGCCACTGAATTGTAACTCTAAAATGGTTTAAATGGCCAATTTTATATGTATTCTACCTCAGTTTTAAAAGGCGTTTCACCTGGAGGATGTATCTGTAAGCTCCAGTATGAGTGTACACAGAGAGCACCCCATAAGGTCTCTAGTAGGTGCTCAATAAAGAGGTGCTGCGGTTGTTACATGAACTCCCAAAAGTCTTGTGAATCAAGACCTTTTCAGAGCTTACTGATCAGATGCTTCCTACATACACGTAAGCACTTTGTTTGGATGATCTTTTTGAATCCTCCAATCAGCCCTATGAAGGAGGTCTCATTGTTGGTCCCGTTCTATAGAAAGAGAACAGAGGCATAGAGAGAAATGATTTGTACAAGGTCACACAGGTGTCAGAGCTGGGATTTGAACCCAGGCAATTTGGCTCCAGAGCCCATGCCACTAATGAGCTTCCTGTGCTGCTTCTCAGCTCTCAGGAGACAATGTCCAGTTGGCCACCACCTCACAGAACCCTGAGCCTGGGCCATGCTCAGGGGACACAGCCTCTAACTGTGGGCTCACCAAAACCTTCGTCTGACAGGCTGGGAGATGCCTCTTAGGGGAGGACTGTGCAAAGGCTGTCCATGCTGCCCTGCCCTCTAGCCTCAGAGCTCTGACTGCAGGGCAGGCGGATTCTGGAGGCCACCTGCCTCGCCCTGTTTCATTCCGGCCCCCACTGGGGAACCATCCTGGAAGGTCATGCTGGCAAACAGCAGAACAAAATGGTCAGAATGCAGCAATTGCCAGCACATTTAATTCAATTCTTCCAACATTTATGGAGCCTGCTCTGTGACTCAGATGGCCTCAGCCCTTAAAGAGCTTGTGGACAAGTGGAGGGAGGCAGAAATACACACAGCACTTGGAGAACACATAAAAATAAATCCTGGAGTGTCGAAGCCAGGATGTGCAGCCCAGTGAAGACAGAGATTAATACTCACAGGGGCACCAGGAAGGGTCCCCAGAGGAGACGGTATTTCAGCCAGATCTCTGAGGACAAGTAAGATTTCCACAGACAAAGGTACAGGGAAGAGCGTTTCATAAAAAGGGATAAGTAGAGACAAAATCATGGCCAAAGGCGAGGGATTCAGGGAGTGCTGGGGGACAGCAGATTGTCCATGTGGTGGGCATGGGCTTTGAGGGAGACAGGGAAGCGAATGCCTGGGCTCAGATCCTGGAGGGCTTGATGCCCCCTGCCCCTCTAGGAACTCTGGATTTAAACTGTAGGCCATCAGCCATCAAAATAGAGGAGACCCCAAAGGCCATGGGTGCCAGCAATTCCGCTTCTAGGAATTACCAGCGGCCTTGCCTTATGCACGTGGGAAATGATGGGTGTGTGGGGCCTTTCCTGACATAATATTTGTATTAGCAAAGGGCTGAAAACATCCCAAAAGGCTGTCCATGAGGAGACCGGGTAAAAGATCACCCAGCACCCCATGGACTGCTATGCAGCTGTCAAAAAGAATAAGGTGGCACTGAGTGTACTGATGTGGAAAGCTCTCCAAAGGTACTGTAAAGTGAACACAGCAAGGGGCAGAACGGGGTCAGGGCATCTGTCTGATTTGGGTTCTCCGAGAAGCAGACCCTCAGACAAGAATTTGAATTGAAGGCCAGGCGCGGTGGCCCACGTCTATAATCCTGCACTTTGGGAGGCTGAGGTGGGCGGATCACCTGAGGTCACGAGTTTGAGACCAGCCTGGCCAACATAGTGAAACCCCATTTCTACTAAAAATACAAAAATTAGCTGGGTGCGATGGCGCATGCCTGTAGTCCCAGCTACTTGGAGGATGAGGCAGGAGAATTGCTTGAACCCAGGAGGCGGAGGTTGCAGTGAGCTGAGATCATCCCACTGCATTCCAGCCTGGGCAACAGAACAAGACTCTGTCTCAAAAAACAAAACAAAACAAAACAAAACAAAAAAGAATTTGAATCTATTTGGGAGGTGATCCCAGGAAGTACAGTGTGGGGATGGGGACACAAGGAGAGCCAATGAAGGCTGCACAACCTCGCTGTGGCACCCAGGCTTAACCCCGCTGGGAACTCTGCTGATATGGTTTGGATGTTTGTCCCCTGCAAATCTCATGTTGGAATGGGATCCCCTGTGTTGGAGGTGGGGTTTGGTGGGAGGTGTTTGGATCATGGGGGCACGTCCCTCAAGAATGGCTTAGCACCATTCCCATAGTGATGAGTGAATTCTCACTCTGGTAGTTCACCAGGTTGTTTAAAAGGGTGTGGCACCTCCCCTATCCCCCACACTCCCTCTCTTGCCATATGACACTGCCTGCTTTCCCTTCACCTTCAGCCATGATTGGAAGCTTCCTGAGGCCCTCATCAGAAGCAGATGCTGGAGCTATGCTTGTATAGCTTGCAGAACTGTAAGCCAATTAAAGCTCTTTTCTTTATACATTACTCAGCCTCAGATATTTCTTTATAGTGATGCAAAATTGGATTATCACATCTACACTTCAGGTAGAACACATATCTCAGAGTTATCCCATGGAAGGGCGAGGGAGTTGGGGTCCGTATTCTCCACTTCCTTCTGCAATGGCTGAGGGCTGCCCCTGGGGAAATGAACACCCCAGCACTTCCACCCTCCCAGTGCAGGCTGAAAGAAAGCCCTCAGCTGGAGAAATGCAGGTTTTTCCAGAAGGAAGTGGCTGGCATAAACCAAACTGAGCTTGAGGTGGTAGAGGCAGGGCACTGACAGCATCTGCTACAGTATGCAGCTACCAATCCTCTAAAAGAGGGGTCCAAGAATTTTATTCGTATTTGCCTATCAGTGGAAGGGTACCCAATAAACTAGGAACAGGAACAAGGTGGATGGAAGAAAGAGTAGGAGGAGTACTTTTTTTTTTTTTTTTTTGAGACGGAGTCTAACTCTGTCGCCCAGGCTGGAGTGCAGTGGCGTGATCTCGGCTCACTGCAAGCTCCGCCTCCCGGGTTCATGCCATTCTCCTGCCTCAGCCTCCCGAGTAGCTGGGACTATAGGCGCCCGCCACCATACCCGGCTAATTTTTTTGTATTTTTAGTAGAGACGGGGTTTCACCGTGTTAGCCAGGATGGTCTCGATCTCCTGACCTCGTGATCCGCCCACCTTGGCCTCCCAAAGTGCTGGGATTACAGGCTTGAGCCACTGCGCCCGGCCAGGAGGAGGGCTTTTTATTATGTTTCTTTTTTTTTTTTTGAGACAGTCTTGCTCTGTTGCCCAGGCTGGAGTGCAGTGGTGTGATCTTGGCTCACTGCAACCTCTGTCTCCTGGGTTCAAGTGATTCTCCTGCCTCAGCCTCCCTAGTAGCTGGGACTACAGGTGCATGCCACCATGCCTGGCTAATTTTTGTATTTTTTGTAGAGATGGGGTTTTGCCAGGCTGGTCTCAAACTCCTGACCTTGGGTGATCTGCCCGCCTCAGCCTCCCATAGGATTACAGGTATGAGACACTGCACACAGCCTATGTTTCTTTAGAGTTAAAAAAAAAAAAAAAAGAGTTAAAAAAAAAAAGTCTTAAAAAAATTTTTTTTATTTTACTTTAAGTTCTGGGATACATGAAAAAAATAAGTCTTTTAGGTTGTGCACGGTGGCTCACAGCTGTCATCCCAGCACTTTGGGAGGCTGAGGCCAGGAGTTGAAGACCAAGAGTTCGAGGCCAGCCTGACCAACATGGCAAAACTCCGCCTCTACTAAGAATACAAAAAAATTAGCTGGGCATGGCTGCACATGCCTGTAATCCCAGCTATTTGGAAGACTGAGGCATGAGAATCGCTTGAACCCGGGAGGTGGAGGTTGCAGTGAGCCAAGATGGCGCCACCACACTCCAGCCTGGGTGACAGAGCGAGACTCTGTCTCAAAAAAAAAAAAAAAAAAAGCCTTTTATTTGGCAATAGTTTTAGATTATTCTAGGTTGCAGATAGTATAGAGACTTCTTGTATAACCCTCACCTGGTTTCCTCTAATGTTAACATTTTACATAACAATGGTACATTTGTTGAAATTAACATTGGTACATTACTATTAACTAAACTCCAGACTTTATTTGGATTTCACCATTTCCATTAACGTCCTTTTTCTGTTTCAGGATCCAGTCGAGGATACCGCATTGCATTTAGTCATTAGAATTTTAATCATGTGAATATATATCTATTGCAAAACTTTATTTTAAAATATAATAAGCTGCAGGCTCCTGGGAGTCCTCAAAGTTTTCCCAGCAGGCATGACCTGACCTGACCTCAGTGCTAGACGCCTGGGGAAAGGTGAGCCCAGGCTGTGCAAAGAGCCCACAGGGGCTTCTTACTCTGAGGGTTCCCCCAGCACAGGCATTGGGTGGTCCCTCTTCCCGCAAAGGCAATGGCAGGATGAAACCTGTGGCAGATGCCTACTGCAAATGCTTGTGACTGCCTGCAGGAACAAGCTCAGCTTGGACACGGGCCAAGCAGGAAATATCCGGGAGATGATGCCCGCGGAAGCAGCCCTCAACCAATGACGGATGGGGAGCTGGTGGATAAACATCCCGCCCGCTTAGTCCTCGGGTGCAGATAACTCTGCCTTGTGTATTCTGCTTGGTCCTCCAGGGGTCTTTAGCGGAGCTGAGCCCAGCTGTCAACAGGGATAACTGCCTGGATAACAATAAGGATTGTGGTTGCCCTCCTCCCTGTTCTTCCCTTTCTCACTCCCCTACCATAGTTTCCGGGGATTATCTCCCAAACAAACCCCCACAATCCTTGTCTCAGCATCTCCAGGAAAACTCAAACTAAGATAAAGCCCAAGCCTCCTGGCTTGGCCCCTAAGTCTGACCTTGCCCAGATCCCCGTGTCTCCTTCCTCACCAGCTTCCCACCTGGAAGCCCCCGACAAAGGGCCCTTTGGAGCTCCGAGAACACATTCTGATGTCCCAGACTTCCATGACTTTGCTGGGATTCGAACCCAGGCTGCCTAAGTCCAGAGACCATGCTCTTAACCACTGTCCACATCTTCCTGACTCCAACCACATCCTCCTTGACTAAAGGGCCTCCCCTGGCTGCCCTGCTTCCCTGGCATTCAAGGCCTTTGGCAACCTGCCCCTGCCTACTTCTGCGGTAGCATCTCCAGCCCACGCCATTCACTCTTCCCAGGACACGCTCCCTCCAGGCTGTTTGTGTGTTTCCTCTGCCTTGGTTGGCCTTCTCCTCCCCTGGGTCTGCAGCAAGGCCCAGCACACACACCATCTCCTCCAGAGGCCCTCCCTGACCTGCTCCTCAACTGACCACAGCCGGTTGCCATATCTTCTGCCTGGAATGTTCTCCCTTTCCTTGATTGCCAAGGGAACTCCTATTTATCTCAGTAGCTGGGCCCAAATGCCCTTTCTTCTGACTCTCAGGGCTACATGGTGCTTGAGTCACCCCTCCAGCAACTCTGGAGTCTTCTCTCCCACACTCTGAGTCCCTTGAGGACAAAGACGTTTCTGAGTCATGACCACATGCCCAGCTCAGAGCCTGGTATACAGCAGGTGCTAAATAAAAGCCTGGTGAATGAATGGATGAACAATGCAGGAAGAAGTGAATGGCCATTTAGAATCACATTTTAAAGGGGAACACCATTCACTGAAGGTCAACTGTACTCCAGCCCTGATGCAATCATGGCTCACTGCAGCCTTAAACTCCAGCCTCAAGCGGTTCCCCCATCTCAGCCTCCCAAGGAACTGAGATTACAGGCATGTGTCACAACACCCTGCTAATTTTTTCACTTTTTGTAGAGACAGGGTTCTTGCTATGTTGCCCTGGCTGGTCTCAAACTCCTGGCCTCAAGTGATCCTCCCACCTCAACCTCCCAAAGGGTATTATTACTTCTGATTGAAAGATGAGGGAACTGAGGCTCTAGTTCCTCTGGTAAGTAGCAGAGCTAGGATACGAACCTGGGTCTGTTGGACTCCTGCAGGCTTCCCGCTGTCCCCTACACCCCTACTTTAGAAAACTGGGGCACAGAGGCTGCTGACTGGTCCTCATCGGGCCCCTAACTCACTACATCATCTGAGGCTGGGCCCTGTTAATCTCTGGGCCTGTTTCCCTGTCTGCGCAATGTGGGGGTTGGCTAGAAAAGGGGTCTTTAAGGTTTCCTACAGCTCACACAGTCTAGGATTCCAGGGTCTGCAGCCCACTGCCCTGGGTGAAGGGGACTCACCCTGTCCCTTCATCACTCAGGGATGGGAAGGGATGGGTTGCGCACAGTACTTTGCAGTTACAAAGCTGTGTTCTAGCGTTGGGAACCACCCATGGTATCCAAACATACTGCTATGAGCTGCACCTCCACTTTAAAGAGGGGCATCAACAACTGACCGGCCAGCCCCCTGGAGGTCCCCACAGGTGCTCCGTCACCCCTTCCCAGCCCTGTGACCAAGACACGCAGAGCATCTGTGCCTTGCAGAACAGACCCAGCCCTGTGACCAAGACACGCAGAGCATCTGTGCCTGGCAGAGCAGAGGTGACTCAGCCAGCATGACTTCAAGGGTGAATTTTTTTTTTTTTTTTTTTTGAGGTGGAGTCTCGCTCTGTCACCCAGGTTGGAGTGCAGTGGCGCAATCTCGGCTCACTGCAAGCTCCGCCTCCCAGGTTCACGCCATTCTCCTGCCTCAGCCTCCTGAGTAGCTGGGACTACAGGCGCCCGCCACCATGCCTGGCTAATTTTTTGTATTTTTAGTAGAGACAGGGTTTCACCGTGTTAGCCAGGATGGTCTTGATCTCCTGACCTCGTGATCCACCCGCCTGGGCCTCCCAAAGTGCTGGGATTACAGGCGTGAGCCACCGCGCCCGGCCTTCAAGAGTGAATTTTTCATTGCCACCCAACTCCCCACCAAGGAGAGGGGCTGAATGGGTGGAACAGGGGGCTGAATGCTCTCCTTATGGCCCTAGCTTCCAACAGCAAATGCCGCAGTTGGAGCCCGCAGCTCCAGACTCCCGGTGGCACCAATACTTTCCTTGGGTCACTGCCTCATCACCTTTGAAGAAGCATCGCTGCACCCCAGGGGCTGCTCTTACCTTGGGCCCTGCTCTTGGGGACCAGCCTGGCGTGTTTCTTGGTCTCCCCTTTCTGGAGGTCCCCAGCCTGGAGTCCATGTGGGCCTGGATGTCCTAACATGGGTGTGTCACCATTGGGGTGCCCTCACTCCACCCTCTCTCCAACTTCCCATTTAACAGGCACCAGGTCCTTCTAAGGTGGCAGTGCCCAACACCCTAACCCAGTCCTGGCTCCTCTCCCCATGTTCTCTGGATGGTTGGATCCCATCAGCTCTGGCCCAACCAGTCCCCAGCCCGCTCCAGCCTCCCTGCCCCATCCACCATCATTATTAAAATAGCACACGCCTAGGATGTGTTCAAAGAATAGTAAGTCTCCCTCCCACCGAGGCGCCCCATGTGTACTCCCTGGAATTTCTCATGTGGTCTGCCAGAAATGTCCCAGCCTCCCTCGCATGTGTACATAATACTTAGAATAACTAACACTTACACTGCCTCATGATGTATCAGACTCTGTTCTAAGCACTTACGTATGTTAACTCACTTTCACCCTCAACAGCCCCTTGAGACAGTTGGCTGCTAGCAGCATCTCCATTTTGCTGACGAGGAGACTGAGACACTGAGAATAAGTAATTTGCCCAAGGTTACAGAGATGGGATTTGAACCCAGGCCGTTTAAATCCAGAGTCCATACTCTTAACCACTATCCACATCTTCCTGACTCCAACCTCCTCTTCCTAGACTAAGGGGCCTCCCCCGGCTGCCCTGCTTCCCTGGTATTCAAGGCCTTTGGCAACCTGCCCTTGCCCACTTCTGTGGCAGCATCTCTAGCCCATGCCATTCGCTCTTCCCAGGACACACTCCCTCCTGGCTATTTGTGCGTTTCCTCTGCCTTGATTGGCCTTCTCCTCCCCCAGGTCTGCAGCAAGGCCCAGCGCACACCGCCTCCTCCAGAGGCCCTCCCTGACCCGCTCCTCAACTACCCCCTCGACCGCAGCTGCCTCCCTCCAGGAGGCTCTGAACCGTGCAGAGGCTGCTAGATCATCTGCACTCTGTACTGGAATGAGGGTCCCCATGGGACTGGTGGGCTCTGCACAAGCTGCAATGGCAGCTTACTCATTTTTGTCTCTGCTTCATTCATTCATTCATTCATTCATTCATTCATTCATCCAACCAACAAATATTTGTAAACATCTCCCGTGGGCTAGGCCAGTGCTCACTAAGAGAGCTGTCTTGTGGGGAAGACTGATGTCACACACAGAAACACCATCTATGCATGCCCATCCTCTCTGCTCCCCGCATTCCATTCCACCCCCTCATTCACGGTCTCTCGTAGAGGAGCTTTCAGAAAAAGCTCGCTGGAAGGGGAGATGGATGAAATAGGATCTAATCTATGTGGGATTTTTCAGGAGTGGAGGGATGTGCCAGTCACAGCTTATCTGCTTGAGACGCCTCCTTTACAATGAGGTGGTCTAGTGCCTGGGGATGGTACCTTCTAGGGGAACAGCCTGCAGCCTGCATTGGTGCCTCTCATGGACTTTGGGGGTGACCACAGGCCTCTGTGTCCCCCTCTGGCATGCCCTTCCCCTGAGTTCCACCACCTGGAGCTCTGCAGCTGGCCTGACACACTGACCCTGAGTTCACCCTACCATAGACCTACAGGAACTCTTAGGAATCACCAAATCCAACCTCCATTGTACAGATGGGGAAACTGAGGTTTAGAGTGGACATCTGACACTGGAAGGTACAGTCAAGATTTCATAGTCCAATTTGTGATAGCCAGCCTCCAAGGTGTCCCCTGATGAGTCTCGTCTCCTGGTATTCACAGCCTTGAATGGTCGGTCTCCTCCCATACTGACTAGGGTTGACCCGGGTAACTAACAGGATACTGTGGAAATGACAGTATGTGACTTTCAGAGCTAGACTATGAAAGATACTGCAGTTTCCAACTTGCTGTTTTGGATCTCTTGCTCTGGGGGAAGACATCTACTGTGTTACAAAGGCACTCAAGCAGCCCTATGGAGTGGTCCACGTGGCCTCCTGCCATCAGCCCTATAAGTGAGCTTGGAAGCAAATCTTCCAGCCCAAGTCAAGCCTTCAGATGGCTGCAGCCCTAGCTGACATCCTGACTGCAACCTAATGAGAGATCCCTGAGCCAAGACCACCTAGCTAAGCTGGTCCTAAATTCTTGATCCACAGAAACTGTGTGATAACATGTGTTTAGTGTTGTTTTAGGCTGCTAAAGTTGTTTTGCAGCAATAGATAAGCAATACAAATTTCCTCTGGAAACACGTTGAGTTTGCTTGTATACTTCCAGAAATGGGCAAATTACTACCTCACAAAGCAGTCTGTTCTACCACTGGGCAGCTCAGACTATCGGTCTCCTTGAGGTTTCTTCTTTGGCCCCAGCTTTGCCCTCTGGGATTATAGGTAACACAAGCTCCCTTTGCCCTTGGTTGGCCATGCAGGGATTGCATTCTGCTATGGTCTGACTGTTCGTCCTCTCTAAAACTCATGTTGAAATTTAATTGCCATTGTGACAGTCTTGGGAGGTGGGACTTTAAAGATGTGTTTAGGTCATGAGGGCTCTGTCTCATGAATGATATTGCAGGAGTGGGTTCACCTCCTCTTTCCATTGTTTCTCTCTCTCTTTGACCTTCTGCCATGTGATGCCTTCCACCATGTTATGACATAGCAAGAAGGCCCTCGCCAGATGCCAGCACCTTGACTTGGACTTCCCAGCCTCCAGAACTGTGAGCCAATTCATTTCTGTTCATTATACATTACCCAGCCTGTGGTATTCTGTTACAGTAGCACAAAATGGACTAAGACATATCCGCTCTGGCTGTCTCTTCTTCTGCCAGCTACACAGCCTTGGGCAAATCCACCCCTCTTTCTGTCCTCTTTTCTCAGAGGACAAGGCTCTAGGTTTCTACTCATTCTGTGCTCTCTTTAAGCCATGTACTAGATTATCACAGAGTTGAGTGGCAAAGAGGAAGTAATACCAGCTACAGAATCCAACACACCCAGGCTAAAAGCCCAATTCCTCCACCATCTGTGTGAACTTTGAGTATGTTGCTTCCCCTCTCTGAGCCATTGTTAAGATGAAGGTAGTAACAGAGGGTGACTAGGAGGAGTAAATGAATTACTGTATTTAATAAAAAAAAATTTTTTTTTATGAGACAGGGTCTTGCCCTATCACCCAGGCTGGAGTTTGTGATCATAGCCACTACAGCTTGGAATTCCTGGGCTCAAGAAATCCTCCTGCCTCAGCCTCCCAAGTAGCTGGGACTACTGGCATGCACCACCATGTCCAGCTAATTTTTTAATATTTTGTAGAGACAGGGTCTCACTGTGCTGCCCAGGCTGGTCTTGAACCCCTGGGTTCAAGCAATCTTCCCATCTTGATCTCCCAAAGTGCTGGGATGACAGGCATGAGCCACTGCCTGAATTACTGTAATGATGATGATAGCAGTAGTAACAGCAACTATTTCATTCATGAGGCACATATGATCCAACAGACACTTGACACGCATTAGCCCATTTAACAGACCCAAAGTGTAGGTGAGATTATGCCTTTTCTTTTATAGAGGAGGAAACTGAGTCCAGAGAAGCAAAGTGACTTGCCCAGTTGGTAAGTGGTAGAGATGAGTTTTGAACCCCAAATGACTCTGACCAGGTTGAGGGATATCCTGAGTAACAGGTAGTTCCTTTTTGTCAGCCTATTCCCATCAGTAGAGCCCTAGCACGGAACCTGGGGCCAGGTTTGCATCTGCGCTGACTTGGGGGCCCTCCCACTGGCATGACATGTGTCTTCCTGGCCCTGCTCATTTGCAGTTGTAAATGGTTTCACAATTCATCTACTGAACACAGATGTAGCATGAACTGACACCCCCAACCCTGGCCCTGCCACTGTCTCCAGCTTTCTCTCACACCCCGCTCCTAGTCATTCACTCGGCTCCAGCCACACTGGTTTGCCAGATCCTTCAACTCACCAAGCACTTTCCTCCCTCAGGGCGTTCACATTGGCTGTACCTCTTTCTAGAATACTTTTCCCGATTCAGGTCTTGGCACAGACGTCACCTCCTCAGGGAGGCCTTCCCTGATCCTTCAGTCTACAGTGGGTGCTCCCTCTTTTTCTCTGTCACAGCAGCCTGTGTGTTTTGTAAAACTCGTCTCTGTCAAAAGCGGTCTTCATTTATGTGCTTATTGTTGCTGCCCTCTTCCCAGATTGTGAGCTCTGCCAGAGGGGAGAGACTGACCTATCTTATTCAAGGCTGTGTCCCCAACGCTAACCACGATGCTGGCACCCAGCAGCTACTGAGGGACTGTTTGTCAGATGAGTGAACATGAACTTCCTTGCTCAGCACTAGGGCACTGGGGGAGAAGCAGGAAGGGCAATGTTGCAAACCCATTCCGCAGGTGAGGACACACAGCCCGGGAGGGAAAAGCCGCCTGCCTGAGGTGACACCAGGGCTAAGCAGCAGCACGTGGCAAAGACTGGGGGCTCCCCTCTCAGCTCAGAGCCCCCTCCTCAGCCAGGACTGTCTGGACCCGCCAGGGAGGCAGCTGGATGCTAATTGATATTCTGCCCGGGACTGCTTGGAATGGAATAAAATATTTATCTGTGGCTGGAGGTTTGCAGAGGACATTTAAGATGGATCGCGTTCTCATGTGCCTATGAAATCTAATTGGATTCATTGTAGGATATTTGGTTTCTCGGAACAGGCATATCATTTTCTCAGGGAGCGGCAGCCTCTGCCGCCCAGGATTGGATGGGTGCTGTTTTGGCCTCAGGCTGCCCAATTGGCCGGGGCCAGGTTAGGTCTCTGGTTGCTGGGCGGGTGGGGGACTGGAGGAGGGGTGGTGGCAGGAGGAGTTTGACTGGCCTCTCTGTGGGATGGCCTGATTTCCTCTGAGGTTCCCAGCCACAGAAAGCCAGTTTTTCCGGCAAAGGGGGGAATTCCTCAAGAAAGCACATTGCCCCTCACCTCTGATTCCCCGCTGGCCCCCCAGCGCCCGGTGACAGCTGCCTGGTGGCCTCCAAAACATCTCGAAACTCCGCACCTGGTTTTCATCGCCATTGCCACAGCCACCCCCTCCTTCACTCCCATTCCCCTGTTCCAGGCACGTCACTGGTCTTCTGCCCCCAGATTCCCCCCACTCCAGAGTGCGAAAGATCTTCCTAAAGTATATGTTTCAAGTTCTGCCTCCCACTTTCCATACGAACAAAGGCAAGCCTCTTCCCCACCCCCAGCCTCAGTTTCCCCATCAGAAAGGAAGGAGTTGGGCTGCAATGTTCCCAACCCCATCCAACCCCCTCAGACCCCAAATGCCATTTTTATAGAAAATATTTTGTAATGTCCCCTTTTATTCTCCTGAAATAAAATTCATAGATCATATTACCTACCTACACACGTAATTTAAAAACATACAATGCCCTAACTGAAATATAAAGGAGAAGTGAAAGGAAAGTAATTTATAATACGACTCATATTGTAAAGCACAATGCTGGGACACAACTCGTCAAGAAGGCGTAATGAAGGAATCAGATGCCAGCACCTACCCACAGAATCTGTGACAGTTACAAATGCAGACAGAGAAAGATGTGCTGTTGAATCAGCTGCTCAAATATCGCTGGTACCACAAGCTAGAGGGGATGATCCTTCCAAAATGGTGACCAACTCTTGGTAAAATTCTGAACCAACAGAAGAAGCACATCCTTTCTTTGGCATTCATGACAGTTACATTCCTGGTATATTAAAACTGGGTAAAAAGGTACTTCAAGCTTGTATACAAAATATAGTGAGGGTCCAGGATCAGGGAGTTACAAACAGGTTTTTTGTTTGTTTGTTTCAGTTTCGTTATTTTTGCCTACAGGAATGGCTGGCAGGACATTTGAAAGTCACATGGAACGCAGCTGGGACAATTCTTCATTGTGAAAGTTTGGCCTGAATGTTACCAGTTTCCTGCCCTCTAAAAGCTAGTAGCCCCTGCTCAGTTACTGTGGTAACAAAAATAGCCCCTGGGAGGCGCTGCTGTGCCCTTGAGAGCCTCGGGACTACAGCCTGACTAGCAGATTCAGAGCTCACCACCAGCTGTATTTCCTACACCTGTGGCAGACATAACTAATGGAAACCTCACGTTCTCATTGATGGGATAAGGCCTGGAATCCTCGAATCTGCACTCTATGCAACCCACTGGAATTAGCTCATGAGCTGAAACTTGGCTCAAAGTTGAAACTCATTCAACTCTTACAAATACTTACAGAATTTGACAGAGCTAACTGAAGGGTCTGCGAGGTTCTTTAGCTTCACTTTCAAGGCTCCAGGCTTCCCTGCCCCTCCCCAGCTCAAGGCCCACCCATAGCTCCCCAGTGCTGGCAGCAGGCAGTTCTGTCCCTTGGCTGGCCATTCCCAGCTCTCTCTGGGTTGGTCCAACAATGACAGACACAGGCAGAGCACTTCAGAGATTGCAAAGCAGGCATGATCTTATTTTTTCTTACACAGAATGTGAGGCAGGCAGAGCAAGGGCATGGGTCTCATTTTATAGATAAGGAAACCAAGGCTCTTCGGGTGGAAGTGACTTGCCCAAGGCCACAGAGCTAGGAAGTAGTCAGCACTGGAACCCAATTCTCTTGAATGTAAAGCCCTCATCTTGTCCAGCCTGTGCTTTTTATGTTTTTGTTTTTGTTTTCTTGGTTGTTGTTGTTTGTTTGTTTTTTGAGACAGAGTCTCACTCTGTTGCTCAGGCTAGAGTGCAACCTCCAGCAACCTCCTGGCTCACTGCAACTCCGCCTCCTGGGTTCAAGAAATTCTTGTGCCTCAGGCTCCCAGGTAGCTGGGATTACAGATATGCACCACCATGCCTAGCTAATTTTTGTATTTTTGGTAGACACAGGGTTTTGCCTTGTTGCCCAGACTGGTCTTGAACTGCTGACCTCAAGTGATCCACCCGCCTCAGCCTCCCAAAGTGCTGGGATTACAGGTGTGAGCCACCGCGCCTGGCCAGCCTTGCTGTGTATTAGGTAATCCAAGCTCCAGTCACAGCCAGCCACACGTTATTCTCCAGCAACTCCCATCATACCCAGGAACCACAGCATAGTGGCTGAGAATGTGGGAGCCAGAGTCAGACTGTATCTGGCTGACTTCCAATCCTGACTCTACCATTTGGAGCTGTGTGACCTTGGGCAGGTTACTCAACCTCTCTGGTTTCCATTTCCTCATCTATAAATGGAGATAATGGTATCTATCTCACAGAGCTGTTAAAGGGGGTTAAACGAGGCAATCACATAGAACATTCAGCATAGTGCCTAGCAAGCAATAAGAGCTTAATGGATCTTGGCTGGTATTATTGCTTCCACAGCTCCTGCCACCTGATGTACTCTTCTCTACGGCTGTGTTAGTAATATCTTCTCTCATAAACATCACTCCTTTGACCCTGCCACCTCCACCAGACTGATCTTACCTCACCCTGATTCCTAGCAAATTTTATCAGTGTTTCCATTTTTGCCAAGAGTTACTCCATACCTCCATGCCTTTGCCCATGCTGTTCCCTCTGGGTGGAATGCTTTTCCCATCTTGTCTCCTAGCCTAACACTTACATCTTTAAGTAGTAACTCCTCCAGAAGGCCTTCCCTGAGACACACAGACCGGATCAGGAATCTCCTCTTGGGTCCGACAGCCCTTGGTTCTCTCTAACACACCAGAATTGTCACTGGACATCAAGAACAGAGAAAAGTTTGAACCCCAAAATTAGCAAATACGTGTTTTTTCAAACACATATGTAACATTTACAAAAATTGGCAAAGTTTTTTTGTCGCCCAGGCTGGAGTGCAATGGCACAATCTCAGCTCACCGCAACCTCTGCCTCCCAGGTTCAAGCGATTCTCTTGCCTCAGCCTCCTGAGTAGCTGGGATTACAGGCGCCCGCCACCACATCTGGCTAATTTTTGTATTTTAGTAGAGACAGGGTTTCACCATGTTGGCCAGGCTAGTCTCGAACTCCTGACCTCAGGTGATCCACCCACCTCATCCTCCCAAAGTGCTGGGATTACAGGCGTAAGCCACCATGCCTGGCCTAATTTGCCAAGTTTTAAGCTGCAAAGCCAATCTCAACGAATACCAAAGAAACAATGCAGTAACAAAAGATAACTGAAAATTACCCATACGTTTGAAATTTAAAAAACATCTATTTCTAAATAACTCGTGGGCTGAGGAAGAAACCAAAAGGAAAATGAGAAAAGACTTAGAAATGAATGATAATGACAATACAATATATCAAAATTTGAGGGATGCAGCTAAAGTTGTATCTAGAGACGTATAGTCTTCAGTGTTTATATTAAAAAAAGAAAAGAAAAAAACAAACTGAAAAGCAATATGATAAACAACTCCAAAAGTTAGAAAAGAAACACCAAAATAAATCCAAAGAAGGGAGAAGGGTGGGAGTGCCTGCCAATTTCCACATATGCCTCCCTTATGGCACTGGGGAGTATCTTTGGGTCCTGCAGGCTGGCCAGGGCGTGACACGGAAGGGCTGTTAGTGAATGTCAGTTGAATGCATGCTCTGGATAGAATAGCTTTGGTTTCTCGCTATTTCGTTTCTGTGTCAGTGTTTCTCAAGTTGGGTTCCCAGAACCCCTGAATTAGGACTCACCCAAGTCTAAATGGAGTGAGACCCCAGAACTTACATTTTCTAACAAGCTCTCAGGCGAGTCCATGTGTACTGATCCTTACTCCATGGCAAGGGAGTACAGGGCTGCCTCAGGGAAACTTACAAGGTCAGGCGTGTCTGTTAAGGGAACCCGCCCTTCCCCTTAGGGACCTTCTTCCCCACTGATGTTTTTGTTACCAGCTCCATACCACTTAGAGATAATCATGTCTCAAATCTAAGCCTCAGTTTACCTGCCTGGAATATGGGAATAAAGATGGTTCTTCCTCTGCAGCTTCAGGTGCCTCAAGGTTTTTCTTCCCAGAAACTCCTCCCTGGGGCACAGGTCAACTTCCTGTTCCATGGTGGGTTGTCACTCTTTAAAAGGGCACAGCTCTCAAAAACCACTCTCCCTCTTCTGAATCATTTGAATGCAACCGCCCTGAGAGGGCAGGCAGGGCTCGTTATGGTTCGTGTTTTATGGATGGAGAAACTGAGGCTAAGTAGGGCTGCCTTCAGGGTGAGAAGTCTTCAATAGGCCCCTGGAATCACCCCAGAGGAAGATCAAAAGTTCCATCTATCCCTCATGGTATGTGTATGTGGTATGTGTGTGGTGTGTGTGTGTGTGGTGTGTGCGTGTATGTGTTTGTGTCTGTGGTGTGTATGCGTGCGTGTGTGTGTCTGGTGTGTGTATGTGGTGTGTGTATGTGTGTGTCTGTGGTGTGTGTGTGCGTGTGTGTGCACGTGTATGTATGTGGTGTGTGTGTATGGTGTGCATGTGTGTGGTGTGTGTGATGTGTATGTGTGTGTGTGCATGTGATGTGTGTGTGTGGGTGTGTGTATGTGGTGTGTGTGTGTGTATGTGGTGTGTGTATGTGGCATGTGTGTATGTGGGGTGTGTGTATGTGCGTGTGGTATGTGTGTGTGTGTGTGCGTGTGTGTGTGTGTGCTGGGTTCTGGGTGAGGGGTTTGGGATGATCATCCTCTTAGATGTGGGAACACCAGATCTGGAAGAGGTCTCAAGCCGGTCAAGTAACCCCACTCACTGCACTTCTGCGGTGCTGAGGGGCAGATGCTGGCCCAAGGTCACCCAGTAGGAGGATGTCAACCTCGGACTAGACCTTGGGGCTCCAGCCTTTCCGGAGGTGGTGCTTCCCTCCTCAGTGGACGAGAGTCCCCACTGCCATGATGTTGTTTCAATGGGCCTCCCAAGATTGCTGTGTGTGCAGGTGGGCTCCTCAGAGCTGGTGTGGCCTTGGAAGCTGGGACCAGGCAGGCCTGGGCCTCAATCTAATCAGCCCAGCCAGTCTCAGGGACCTCTGGGACTTCTTAAAGCCTCATGCCTTTATCCAGAAAATGAGACGAGTAATAACTGCATCTCTCTCATGGACTTGATGGTGAGGGCCATAAGCGATCAAATATGTGTGACCATCCAGCACAGAGACTAATGTTTGCCACACCCCTGCTCTGAGCATGGTCGAGAATGGCAGTGCTGGCCAGGTCCGGGACTTTGGGAGGCCGAGGCGGGCGGATCACCTGAGGTCAGGAGTTTGAGACCAGCCGGGTCAACATGGTGAAATCCTGTCTCTACTAAAAATATAAATATTAGCCAGGTGTGGTGGCATGTGCCTATAATCCCAGCTACTCAGGAGGCTGAGGCAGGAGAATCACTTGAACCTGGGAGGCGGAGGTTGCAGTGAGCCAAGATTGCGCCACTGCACTCCAGCCTGGGTGACAGAGCAAGACTCCATCTCAATAATAATAATAAAAAAAAGGCAGTGCTGACTGTGATAACTACATTGCTGACCGCTGAGGGCCAGGCTCTGGGCTAAGTGCTTTAGGTTCACGCATTCATTGAACACATATTTGGATACTGAGCTCCTACTATGTGCCAGGCACTCAAAGCTCTCGGATACAGCAGCAAAGAAGACA
Organism: Homo sapiens; assembly: GCF_000001405.40. Lineage (NCBI taxonomy): Eukaryota > Metazoa > Chordata > Mammalia > Primates > Hominidae > Homo > Homo sapiens. The sequence goes on along the minus strand of NC_000020.11, from coordinate 36,395,338 downwards.
GTCCTTGCCCCCATAGAGCCTACATTCTAGCTGGGGAGACAGGTAACAGGTAAATGAATATATAATATAATGTCATGCAACAATACCTTCTTGGAAGCCAATTAGAGAAGGTAAAGAAGAATGCAGTGTGATAGGGTCAGGAAAGTCTTTCTGCAAAAGCAATATTTGGGCAGAAGTGACGGGTGGGTCTTGTGGATGCCTGGGGAAAGGGCATTCCTGGTAGAGGAATGGTGAATGTGGAATGGAGGTGCAGCTGGTGTGTGTGTGTTGGGTGAAGGGACTGGTGCAAGGAGGCTGGTGTGGCTGGAGCAGAGAGAACGACGGGGAGGCTAAAAGAGGAGGGGGCAGCTCTAGGGAGGGTCCTGGAGGGCCACAGCAGAGCCTCTGAATCCCCCAGTGAGGCATTTTTATCCCCAGGTTGCACAATCTGGGTGGAGGAGTCAGGTGCCCGCCCAGGCAGTGGCATGCTAGGGCCCTCTCTTTCCACGTGGCCTCCACAAGCACTGCTGGAACCTGGAGCCCATCCTGAATGAGAGGTGTGTCTTAGGGAGAGGCCCCTGAACCCTGAGCTTCCAGAAGCCAGAGCCTGTGAACGTGGGAGGCAAGGCAGGTCGAATCTGGGTCATGGAGAGGCTGGGAGAGGGACCGGAAAGGGTGGCAGAGGCAGCCACCTGGGGCTGGGTGGGTGGGAGCAGCCTCTCCATGGCGACAGCGTGGGGAAGCACCGCTGGAATTACTCACGGAGGCTCGTGCGCACACGTGCATGTACCCAGGGCCACGTGCACACACACGCACCACAGCCCACACAGCCCCGGCTCACTGCAGAAGCCACTTAATGACTGACGTCATGCCCCGGGGGAGATGGGGACCATGGAGTCCGTCTTAGGAGTAAGGAAGGGGGCAGCACCCAGTGGGGCCAGGGCTCCTGGGTACTCCCTGCAGCTCACACCCCCACAGGGCAGAGTCGCAGGGCAGAGTCGCAGGGCAGTGGCCCAAGCACCCATCCAGCCAGCGCTTCCTCAGGCCCTGTTCTGTGATAGGCCCCAGCCAGGGTGTCAGGGAAGGGAGATCATAAACATCTAACCACACGGGCGGATAACGGTGACAGCAGCCCCTGGAGCCTGGGAGATGGGGTAGATGGGCTGAGGAGAGCACTTCACACGGACAAAGTGAGGTCTGACCTAAAGTCTGAAGGATGAGTAGGAATTGACAGGATGATATGTGTGTGTATGTGAAAGAGAGGGAGAGAGAGAATTTTCCAGGCACAGGGGACAGCATGTGCAAAGGCCTTGAGGCTGGAAAAAGATTCACAGGTTCTGAGAAATAGAAGGCAGGCCAGTGCGGCATGGAGGAGGGAGGGGGCACCCTGTGAAGGCCACCTCCCTGTGTGTACAGCAGGGCCTGGGGCGCATTCTGTGGGCAGGCGAGGGATGAGTCCCTGAGCCCCCTCCTCAGCTGCCTCAGGGCTGGCCGAGACACAGGCTAGGGTTGGAACGCACACACTCCCTGTGTGACTTTGGGCAGGTCACCTCCCTCTCTGAGCCTCAGTTCCTCATCTGAACAATGAAGACCCCAATCTATGTCTAATTCCAAGACAATATGGCTAAAGTGCCACAAAGGGTGCAGGCACAGAGCCCCCCTTTCCTTCCCTCCTAAGTGCCAGGGTCGGCCTCAGTTTCTCACTTTGGTTCTCAGCTCTCTAAAGGGGCTGGGGCTGGGACAAGCTCTGGCCTGGGTCAGTCTCCACAGCGGCTGGCTCGCTTCCCTGTGCTCCCCAGGGGCTCGGTGTGGAGACCTCAGGGGAAATAAGTCCAGAAATCCAGGCCAGCCCCATACTTCCCAGCTTACCAAGAGGGCTGGGTTTCCAGACCCCAGAGCGTCTCCCAGGAGCCCAGCACTTCGTAAGTTAGCAGCCGGGGGACAGGGATTAATTTTATTGTTTACCAGATGAGGAAGCTGAGGCCCAGCAAAGAGGAGACCCTAGGCCACACAGCGAGGGAGTGTAGAGCTTGGGGTTCTCACCCAGGCCTCTCTGACCCCAGGCTAAGGAGGCACTTCCAGTCTTGCTCAGGCTCTTGGTTAGGTCTGTGTTCCCATTCAGTCACCTCCCCAATGCACCTCATCCCCTGGGATTTGAATCACCCCCTTCCACCCCTTCTGCCCTAATGACTCCCAGTTCTCCAGTCCCACCCTAGTCTCACCCCTGAGCTCTTGACCAAAACCAAACCCCTCATGAAGGCCACATGATTCCTTCCTGAACATTCCTACCCCACCCATTCCCCCGCCCCCAGCCTCCCTTTCCCAGTCCTCAGCCCAACTGGCCTCCTGTTTCCTGCCTCAGGGCGTACTGGCTGTTCCCTCTACCAGGAATGCTCTGCCCCAGACCCTCGTGTGGCTTCTCCCTTGATTCATTCAGGGCTCAGCCCAAGTGTCACCTCCTCAGAGACACCTCTCTCACCCCCTTCCTCACTCCCATGTCACCCAGGAGCACAGCATCTGTTCGTTTATTTTACTTATTGTCTATCTCTTCCACCAGACTGATAACCTCAGGAAAGTTGAGGTTGGGTCCCGTCTGTTACAATAGCCTGGGGCCTGAAACAGTACCTGAAACCTAGTAGGTGCTTAATAAATATCTGTCAAAGGAAGGAATGCATAAACAAATGAGTGAATGGGCTGGGCGCGGTGGCTCACACCTGTAATCCCAGCACTTTGGGAGGCTGAGGCGGGTGGATGACGAAGTCAGGAGTTCGAGAGCAGCCTGACCAACATGGTGAAACCCCATCTCTCTAAAAATACAAAAATTAGCCGGGCGTGGTGGTGCATGCTGTAATCCCAGCTACTCAGGAGGCTGAGGCAGGAGAATCGCTTGAATCTGGGAGGTGGAGGTTGCAGTGAGCTGAGATCATGCCATTGTACTCCAGCCTGGAAGACGTAGCGAGATTCTGTCTCAAAAAATACCCCCCAAAACAAGCAAACAAACAACAAATGAGTGAATGAATGACAGGCAATCCTAAGGCTCTAACCCCTCCTGGCTGTCTCTCCTGCTTGCTGGCCAGACATCTGAGACTCAACGCATTTGAGCTGAATTCCAGATTTCCTCTGACACACTTGCTCCTCTCCTGTCTCTCTCCTAGTGGCAGCCCCTAGCACCTGAGCTGGAAGCCGAGTGGCTCCCTCACTCTTGCTCCAACAGCTCCTGCCCCCCAGCTCACTGGCTTTCCATCCCTGCTGCCTCACTCTGAACCAGACCACCCTCTGCTGTTCGGGACACGACCCCAAGCCACTCCCTGCCTATCACCCAGGCCCTGAGGCCCACCAAGTGAAGTCAGGGCGAGTTTAAGGATACTCCCAGAAGCCTCTGCAATTCCTCCAAAAGGACAAGCCTTAAGCCGCCTCCCCTCAAGGGTGACCCGTGATTTAACTGAGATTTCTGGATAACCCCGATGGTGCACCTTCAGGAACTGGGACAGGCTATGGGAAAGCTATGGCAGGTGTTGCCCACTTGCTCATGTGATACTGGTTGCATTGGAGACGGCATTAACACCCAGAAGCTCCTCTGCCAGGCCCAGAGCTGAGCACTTTGCACCTCATGGAATCCTACCCCCCAGCACTATAGACTGGGGGGTGAAGGGTGGGCGCTGTTCCATTTGCAAGACAAAGGGACTGGAGCTCAGAGCTGGGTAGTGACTCATCTGAGACACCAGTCAGGAAGCAGAGCTGTCGTCAGCCTCCAGCGTCCCAGCTTCTTCCACCCAGCCAGGGTTTGTGGCTGCTGGGAACAGTGTTGGGCACAAGAGAGAAGGCAATTCCAAAATGCAGGGGGTGGGACTTCAATTGGTGACAGGTGGGACTGTGATGAGGGCCCTCTGTGGTGGGTGCGTTTGAAGTTTTTGGGCTTTAAAGGATGAATAGAGCTGCTCTGAACCTGGTCCCTGGGGCTGGCTTTATCATGAAGGACACAGATTTTATAAATATCTCAGCCCTCACCACAGATCGCATGGCCTGGAGAATTAGAGAGGAGGCAAATTAGGAGAAGGGGCGGGAGAGCTTTCAGCTGTGCTGGCAGCCTGTTTGGGGTTGCAGAGGAGTTCATGGTCAGAGTGGGCGGCCTGAATGGTTCTATCTCCCACGGCTATAGGTCCCCAGGCCACTGCAGCTGAGGCCAGGGTGTCGGGGGCAGTCTCTGAGATAGAACCCTCAGGGCACAATCTGAGTCACTGGCCTAAATGGGGGTGGGGCCCCTCAGCTGAGTTTCTAGCATTTAAAGGGGGAGAAGGAGTCCCAACTATTCATGTCCCCAACTGCCAACCATCTGGGTCAAGGCCAGAGCTCAGAGCTTAGTCTGAGGCCAGGGTCACGGCTCAGCTTGAAGAAGAGGTCAGAGTTGAGTCTTGGATCAAGGTCAGGTCCCAGTCTGGGGTCAGGGTCAAGGTTCAACCTAGAGAAGGGATCAGGGCTCAGTCTGGGACCAGGGTCAGGGTTTAGTCTGGGATCAAAGTCAAGGCTCAGTCTGGGGGCAGGGACCAAGGCTTAGTCTGTGGATAGGGATCAAGGCTCAGTCTGGGGCCAGGGTCAGGGCTCAGTGTGTATCCAGGATTCCTCAAGTGGGTAGTTCACTCCTTATACTAAGTCTTACTTAGGGACAAGCTAGTTCTCCTCTTGCAGTAACACAGACCCAGGATCCAGGACCCTGCTCTCTCCTGGAGAAGGGAGCTGTGACCAGCAGTTCAGTTAGACTAGAGGGGGGTACAGTGGAGGCATGCCCCCCCACTCAGGATTGCTATTCTGGGCCTCTGTAAGTCACAGCGTGGGAGTTAAATATAGGGGGACACCATGTGGCAGGCAGTAGGTGGTTAATGACCCTGCAGGAGGCGAGTCAGAACCCAGAGAAGCTGTAGTCAGGGTAAGGAAGGGGAACTAGCTTTGGTCAGAGAGGCAGAAGGCTTGGGTTTGAGGCCTGCTAGGTTCCTGCCTCTCTGTGTGACTCCAGGTTTAGCCCTGCCTTCTCTGGGCCTCAGTTCTCCTATCATGGGAGTGCAGCTGAACTTGAATCTCTAAGCTCTCTTTATCTGTAACAGGCTGTGGACGACGCTCCTTCTCAGGCTGGGTCTGATGGGGAACTCAGGACCTCCATTGTCATCTCCAGGGGTCAGAGCCTTACTCAGCTTTCAAGGCCTATGCCAAATATGATGTCTTCTGTGATGTCTTCTCCCAGCTGAAGTTCACTGCCCCTTGGTCCAGTTTGCACACTTCTCTGCCCCTATTTCAGCCTGGAGCCCATGCTGCCACGCAGCAGGATAGGTGTGGTCCTGGCTGTTTCCCCCATTAGAAGGCCAGGAGCCCAGCCTCCACCACCCATGCTTTGGTTTCATGGCCTCCAGAGTACCAGTCATGGCCCCTCTGAACCCCAGAGCCTTTGGGGACTAGAGTCATAGCAGCAGCCCCTGTTGTTACTGTATTTACTGTATGAATGGCTCTGAGGACATGGATACTCTGCACACACCTGAGCAATTAATTGACTTATTTTCCTTTCAAGGGCACAGTGAATCATGCTACTTCTTGTTTCCTTTTTTTCTTTGTCTACTAGGAAGCTCAGAGGCAAATTTATAGCCTACCTTTAATAAAGTATAACCTAGAATCATCTTGTTTTGTCTTTTCTTTTCTCCTTTTCTCTTATTTATTTTTCTTACTTATGTAAGGTAATTTTTTTTAAAAAGAGAGAGGAAGAAAAGGAACAAATGAATCAATCAGGAAACCTTCACAGCTTAGACTCACAGCTAAAAATGATAATTACTAGAGTTCATATAGACAGTGCTTAGCGTGCAACAGGTCTCAGGTAAGCCCATGACTTGGCATCATTCATTATCTCCTGTAATCCCCACCACATCTCTAAGGGAGAGATGGGCATTACTGTTACCCATTTGGTGGATGGGAAAGCAGAGGCACAGGGAAAGTAAGTAACTTGTCCCAGACATACAGTGAGAAACAGCCAGAGCTGGTACTCGAACCACCTGACTCCAGAACAAGCCTTCTTAACCACTGTGCTGTCCTACCTCTCAGAATAAAACTACGTCTATGCAATAGCAGAGGAAAAGGTCTGGGAAGGTCTGATGACCCCCACATTGACACATCAGGCCTGGAATCCTCCCTCCTCCCAAACCCTAGATTCACATATCCAATTTTCAACTCAACATCTCCACTTGGATGTCTAACAGGCATCGCCAACTTGTCATGTCTAAACCTGAACTCCTGACCCTGCAAACCTGCTCTTCCCGGTCTTCTCCTTCCCACTGATGGGAGCGCCACCCTCACAATGGATCAGACCAAAACTCTGGACTTGGCCCTGACTCCTCTTTGTCATCCCCACAACCAGCCCCACAGCAAATCCTGTCATCCTAGTTTCTCAGGCAGAGGATGCAATGGTGGTCCTTATCCTGGCCAGAGCCCATCTGGGTGCCCCTTTCAGCTCTGGACACCTCTTCTGATGGGTAGGCATGGAACAGTGACCAGGAGCATCATGAAGAAGTAATAATCGCAGGAAAAGTGTGAACAGCTATCACTTCCTGGGCACCTGCACCAGGCTCAGGCCTTATGCTCCGAATCATTTACATCTCTCATCAACCCTCTGAGGTAGAGGGTCTATTACCCCAATTTAACAAATGAGGCACAGAGAGGTTAACTGCCTTTCCCAGAGTCACACAGCTAATAGGTAAGTGAGCAGGAATTCTAACTCAATGTGTCTGACTCAAGTTCAAACATACCACGCTGCCTGCCACTAAGCCAAGTCTTTGACGCACATCAGAGGGAACCGGGGTTATTGAGTTTGGGAGTCTAGAGAAAAGAGTTGAGGTGGAGGGGAAATGTCTGCTCTCTGAGGTCAATGAAGGGTGGGCCACGGGGGAGGGACGTGTGTTCTGGGGGCTCCAGGAGCTGGGGAGGAAGTGGGACACAGGGAGGCCAACTTCAGCTCAGTGTAAGACAGCACTTTCTAACAATCAGGCCCCAGACAGACACACACAAAGGAGTGGGCTGCCTTGCCTGATGGGAGTCCCATCTCCAGAGATGCCTGACAGTGTCATGCTATGGATTCCACTGATGGCAGCAAAGCAGAGTGCGAAGAGAACATACAAAGGAAGAATCAAGAAGTGGGGACGGGGAGGCTTGTCCTACCAGATATCAAGCCACATAATACAGCTATCTGTGGCAGTTCTCAATAGCCAAGGGACTGCCCTCCTAGGGCGACTTTGCAAACGTGTTTTTCTTCATAACACTCGCTCAGGGTATTTTTCTTCATAACACTCACTCAGGGGAGGGTTCTACTGAGTGCCAAGGACTGGATGACGGGTGCTCAAGAACTTATAATGAGCAGGACAGTCCCACCCAAGGAAGGATTGTTGTACCCCAAATGCCAAGATGTCCCTGTTGAAAAATGATGAGATACAGTGATTAGTGTAGAACCGAAATAGACAAAGAGATAGACAAAGAGATCAATGAAACAGAACAGAGTTCCCAGAAACAGATCCATAAATACATGGGCGCTTAAACATAAAACAGAGATGGTATTTCAAATCAGTGAGAAAAGGACAGGGTGTTCAATTAATGCTGCTGGGACAATAGGCTAGCTATAGAAAAATGAAATCAGATCCCTATTTCACACCGCATGCAAAGATAAAAGACCTAAACTTGATTAAATATCTCAATATGAAACAAAAGGAAATAAAATGAAAATACTTAGAAGAGATCTAGAATTATCTTTATGACCTTGGGTGGGGAAGGCCTTCTTAAAGAAGTTGCAAAGAAATAAAAGCAAGTGAAGGGGAAAATAAATTTTACTACCCCCAAAGTTTAAACTTCTGAATGTAGAAGACACAAAGTTAACAGACAAGCAACACAACTTGGAGAAAATATTTGCGACAAAGATAACAAGGATTAATATTCACATATATAAACCTCTTTACAAATTAATAAGAAAAAGATGTGACGCATAAAAAACTGGGCAAAGTATATGAACAGGCATTTTGCAGAAGAGAAAAATTCAGATGACCGCTAAACACATCATGAGACACTCAGCTTCTCTAATAGTCAGGCGACGCTAATGAAAATGAGATATTTTCTCCCAGCAGATTGGCAAAATTAAAGAGCGATGAATCAACTGATGCTGAGGTGCTGAGGAAATGAGAACTCAGATATATCACTAACAGGAGTGCAAAGTGGCATAATTACCTTGGAGGGCACTTTAGCAGTGTTTATTAACACAGAAAATCCTGCTTCCAGAGAAATACTAATGCATATTCACAGAGATCTTCATGGTGGAGAACCAGAACCACTGAAATATCCACCGGCAGGAGGATGTGGTATAAGCATACAATGGAATACTATTCGGCAGAAAAAATGAACGAGCTACAGCTGCACTTGTATACATCTCAAAAATAAGTGAAAAAAGAAAAATGCAAATATATTAATTGATTATGATATAATTTATGTAAGAAAATCATTCAGGCTGAGCAGGAGTATCACTTGAGCCCAGGAGTTTGAGACCAGCCCTGGCAACACAGTGAGACTTCGTCCCTACAACAAATAAAAAATTAGCTGGGCATGGTAGTGCACACCTATAGTCCCCCAGGTACTTGGGAGGCTGAGGTGGGAGGATCACTTGAGCCTGGGAGGTCGAGGCTGTAGTGAGCTATGATTGCACCACTGCACTCTAGTCTGGATGACAGAGTGAGACCCTGTCTCCCCCTTCCCCCAACCCAAAAAGAAAACTGTTCAAACAACACCCCTGGGTTTGGGTTTGTGAGTTCCCTCTACATGGAATGCCTTTTAGTATTTCCTTCTTTCTTTCCTCCCTCCCTCCCCCATCCCTCTTTTCTTCTCTTCCTTCTTCCCTCCATCCTTTCCTTCTTTGTTTCTCCCTCCTTCCCTTCCTCCCTTCCTTCCTCCTTTTCTCCCTTTTTTCCCTCCTCCCTCTCTACCTTCCTTCCTTCAGCAAACATGCTTGCTCTGTGCTGACAGGTGCTGAACATGAGGTCAAGGCCCCAACTTCTATCCTTGCTATGCAAGGAACTCCCCTATGATTTGAGCCCCAGAATGACCCCTGACCCTGGCCCCACACTAAGCTCTCACCTCACACAATGTGTCACGCTTGCTTGCTCTCTGGTTCTGTGTCCTGCTGGCTGCATGGGCTGCTGAAAGGTTCAGGGGAGAGTGTGGACGAGGTGGGCTTTGTCTCCTAAGTGATCCCAGCCTCCGCTGAGGAGGCTGGCTGGTGGTGCCGAGGCCCCCGCCTTCCTTTCCCTCCTGTTCTCTCTATTACTCCTGCCATCTTTTTCTCCTTTCCTTCTTCACTCTGCTTTAGTGCCAGGCTTTGGAGCCAGGGTAGGGTGTGTGAGGAGGGTGCAGCTAGATCTCTGGGCCCAGAGCTGCAGAGCTAAGCCTCCTGGGCTGAAGTGGGGAGGCAGATCTCTTAGGCCATAGGTAATCATGAGAGCAGGTGGCCACCTCCTTCCAAAAGCCAAACAGCTGCGAAGGGCAGCCACCATAATCATGTCCAGAGCCTCAAATGGCCACAACAGGGCCCTGGAGAGAGGGTGGCTGAGGACAGCCTAATTAGGCATGACAGCAGCCCCATGAGGCGTATGCAGCTTGGAGCCATTAGGGAGGCTGGTGGAGGAACAGCCAGAGCTGGCCTGGCCACTGACCCCCCACAAGGATGCTTGGCTCTGGGGCTTGAGACTGCCTGCCCGAAGGAATGTCTGTCAGCTGGGACTGCCAGGTGCTGCCCCAGCCATGCCTACTAGTCCTGCTGGGAAATGGCATTGGTGGCTCAGGGCATCAGTTCTAGGCCCTTTTGCACTTTTGCTTCTTGCTGTGCTTCCTGGGGTGTGTGTAGGGGGCAGTCTTTCCCTCCTCTGGGTCTTATTTCTACTACTAAGAACTAACCTGCCAGCCCTTTTCAACCCACTCTCTCTTCTGATCCTGAAAACCATCTACAGGGCAGTGATTACCGTGCTCTTCCGCTAAGCTAGAGGTGGAAAAACTGAGGCCCAGAGAGGGTAGATGACTTGTTTGAGGCCACACAGCTCACAGTTAGCAGATCCAGGATTTGAATCTTGGGTCTCTGACACACAGCCCCTGTTTGTGACACAACAGTATTTCCTCATCTTCGTGGGGCTAGTGGTGAGGGGAGGGTGGTGGTGCCATATTCCTAGGAGAGGAAAGACACCAAAGGAAGCCAAATCCAGCCTGAGTCCTACTGCCAACTTAGCATGCCCCCAGCAGGTCACACCCCTTCTCTGGGCTGGACCAGATGACACCCAGGATTAGATACTCAAGTCTCTGGTTCTCAAGGCCTTTCTCAACACCACCTCCTAGCTAAGTAACCCCCTTCCACTTCCATATCTGTAAAATGAAACCAGTTGCTCTTCACCAATGTGGTTATGCAGGTAGAGTGACCAGGTTTGTCAGGTGCCCAGTACAGGTCCTGGCACACAGTAGGTACACAGTAAATGGGCACTTTCTTCTTTTCCACACAATCTCTGAGCCTTACACACCACCACCCCTGATCTCCTTGTTTCCTTTCTGGCTCAAACCTCAGACTTTGCAGGAAGTTCTATGAGGTTCCAAGAGTATCTGCATTTGACAATTCACTCCTGCTTTCCTCCGTGTGTAAGACTAATGCCACCACATCTGTGCATCAGTTTACAAAGCCCTGTCCCACCCATTAGTTTGTGTTACACTACCAACAACCTTCCTATTATGACTGAGGAAATTGAGGCTAGAAATACAGTCCCCAGGTCACTCAACTTCTCTAACCTTCAGTTTGCTCACCTTTAACATGGGAATAAATATTAGTACCTCCCCTGTAGGTTGCTGCTTAGAAATAAATGGCATAATACATCCAAAGTTATTAAAAGGGTGCCTGGTAGATGGTAACAGAGGCTCAAATCCTACCTCAGATATTGCTCAGATTTGCACAATGCCAGGGCCAAAGCTTCTGACCTCCCAGTTGGGTCCCCAGAAAACCACACAGTCCTGGAAATGATTCATGAAAACTCTCAAGACAGAACCGAGGACAGCACCCCCAGGCGTCGGGACCAGGCCAAATCTCTACCCTCTCTATCTTCAGCACCACGGACAACACCCCTGACATCAGCACTAAGGACAGAGGCAAACGAGTGCCCCGCACCCCAAACAGCACAGCTCAAAGGTCAAAGTGTCAAAATCCCCTTCCCCCATGCTGAGGTGGCAATGAAAGCTTCTTTTTTTTTCTAGCTAGTTACTTGCCCCACATTTAGTAAGGCCCTGAGAAGCTACTTCCAGGTCTATTTCTTTTTCTTTCTTTTTTTTTTTTTTTTTGAGACGGAGTCTCGCTCTTTCACCCAGGCCGGAGTGCAGTGGCGCTAAGGAGTGCCATGAGGCTCACTGCAAGCTCCGCCTCCCGGGTTCACGCCATTCTCCTGCCTCAGCCTCCCGAGTAGCTGGGACTACAGGCGCTCGCCACCACACCTGGCTAATTTTTTGTATTTTTAGTAGAGACGGCGTTTCACCGTGTTAGCCAGGATGGTCTCGATCTCCTGACCTCGTGATCCGCCTGCCTCGGCCTCCCAAAGTGCTGGGATTACAGGCGTGAGCCACTGCGCCCGGCCTTCCAGGTCTATTTCTATTTGCATCTCTTTCATTCCAGAGACCAGTTTTCCTGTGTGTTTCTCACCCCGTGAAGTTCCTTGGATTGGGGTAGCTCAGGAAGGCTTTCTGGAGGTTCTTGACTAGGAAAACCCATCTTCATAGGCCAAGAGAGCCTCCCAAACCTTCCCTTTTTAACCTACTGGCTTCATTTCAGACACAAGCAGGGACGGTCACTGGATACAGTGTTACAGCCAAGTGCAGCAGCAAGGGACAAGCCCAATGCCACCTCATCTCAAGGGCTGGGCTTGTTGCCCTGTTCTCAAGACAGTGAATAAGGAGAAACACTGCTGATCCTTCAGCCTGTCCCACTCCATCACTCATCCCTGAGGCCGTCTTTTATTGGCTCCTTGCCCATTTGATGAGGGCTAGATTTATTTCTGCCCTGATCACCTCTCTGATATCACTGGCTGCCCACATGGTCTCAAAGTAAACAGCTTGAGCTGCCTTGAGCCCTTCTTTAAGGACCCTCAGGACTTCAGTTCAGTGGAGACCCCAGCGGAGCCAGCAACTCTGTGCTTCTAAAGCAGCCTAAGGGGAAGATGGGGCACAACAGAATACCAGTGTCCTCCTCTGATACATGGGAAGAAGGCCACCTCCTCAGAGTTGTGGTGCATTAAGATGGTGTGACCAGCACCAAGTGTGGCACATAAAAAGGGCTTAGTAAACAGCTTAGTAAACATTCCCCCTTCCCAACAAGGACAATGTAATGATAGCAATGATGATCACTGCTCATGTTGAGTGTCTACTATGTGCTAGGTCAAGATATTGAGGGGTAGACAAGACAAGGACAATTATACCCATTTTGCTGATAAGAAAACCAAGCCAGCCAGGCATGGTGGCTCACGCCTGTAATCCCAGCACTCTGGGAGGCTGAAGTGGGTGGATGGTTTGAGGTCAGGAGTTCGAGACCAGCCTGACCAACATGGTGAAACCCTGTCTCTACTAAAAATACAAAAATTAGCCGGGTGTGGTGGCACACACCTGTAGTCCCAGCTACTCGGGAGGCTGAGGCAGAAGAATCACTTGAACCCGAGAGGCAGAGGCTGCAGTGAGCCGAGATCGTGCCACTGCACTCCAGCCTGGGTGACAGAGTGAGACTCTGTCTCAAAAAAAAAAAAAAAAAAAAGAAAAAAAGAAAGAAAGAAAGAAAAGAAAGAGAAAAAGAAAACTAAGCCAAGGCAGGAGGATCGTTAGAGACCAAAAGTTTGAGACTAGCTTGGAAAACAAAGCAGTACTCAGTCTCTACCCTGCCCCTCCACCCCCACCCCCTAAAAAAGGCCAGGCACAGTGGCACTACTCAGCCACTACACAGTGGCTAAGGCAGCCGGATTATTTGAGCCCAGGTATTCAAGGCTGCAGTGAGCTATGATTGCCCCACTGCATTCCAGTCTGGGAGAGACAGCAAGACTCTATCTCAGAAAAAGAAAAGGAAAACCAAGGTTTCAATGGGCCAAGAAATGTCTCAAATGTCACATAGCCAAACAAGTGACAAAACCAGATCTCTGCCCTCAAATTCCAGGCTGCTTCTCCACCTCCAGATCTCCCATAATTGCAATCATCCTCACTTCTCACCTTGGGGTACCCAGCACAGCCCATTCACTGCTTGCCAACATCCAGTGCTGGATGCTCCATGCCCAGCTGGCCAGCTGTCAACAAGCTGCCAGACTCAGACACTGGGGTGGGCAAGGATGGAAACAAGGCCCAGATTCTTTGCTCTCCTGGGACCCCATGAGATTCCAAGGGGATCAGATGCAGCCCACTCCCATCGCTGCCACAGGTGTCTCTTCTCCTAACATGGCAAGGAGAAGCCCCCATCCCAGCTCTACATCAGCCTCCTACACATACAGAGGAGAAGAGCTTATGAGACACCCACCATCATCACCAGCATCAGCGATAGCCCCACCAGGACCCATCATACCTGTCATATAAGTAAGGAAATGGAAGCCCGGGGAAGGGAAGGGGCTTACCCCAGGACACCTGAACAGAATGTTCTCAGGACTCTAGACTCCTCCAGTGCCTCTGCCCCTAGACTGGGGGCTCAATGAAGACAGGAGTCACAACATTCTTGTTCACTGCTAGGTCCCCAGCACCCATCTCAATGTTCACCATAAAATGACTTTCTTTCCCTGCTTCTTCTGAAGGGAGGCATGATGTGTCACCCACTTTCTCTAACCAATCCAGAGTCTTGTACATGGTAGGCCACTAGTGGGTATTTCTTGAACTATCTCATTCATTCAATAACTATTTATTTTGTGCCTAGTGTGTCCCAGCCATTGCTTTAGGTGGAGAAACCACAGTGGTAAGAAAACACAGACAAAAATAAATCCTCTGTTTTGACACTGATTGAAGTAGAGTGAATTTGTTTCCTTGCCCATCTTCCCTATCTGTTGTGAGTGCCAAAGGGGCAGGGACTGTCACTGTCATGTGCAGTACTGTGTTCAGTGCCCAAAACACAATATATGCTTGCTTGCTTGCTGAATGAATGAATGAATACATGTAGGTAGAGTAGTAGAATAAAGGCAGCCACCATTTATTGAAAGGTTGCCGATTATTTTATGTACATTAAATATCTCTTAGAATCTTTCCCTGTGAGGTGGGTACTTTAAGGTGGATCATGCTAGCTATCCTGCTAGCTATTCTTCCCTTTTTCCTAACAGAAGGGCTCAGTTAGAAATATTCACTTCATCAGCTTCCCTTGCAGCTAGGGTGTCCATGTGTCCAAATCTGGCAAAAGAGAAGTAGGCAAAAATCCACAAAGTGGGGCTTCCAGGAAGTCTTTGTTTCCCTGGTAGGAAAAGGAAACTCGCGAAGCATGCAGGCTTTACTCTCCTTTTCCTGTCTAGAATTCAGATGCAGCACATGGCAGAGGAGCAGCCATTTTGTAGCCATGAGAATGAAAGATGCATGCTAAGGGTGTCAGAGGCCTGGGCCCTTGATGTTTCATCTGAATCACTGCACTGGCCCTGGCTTGCCTGCCTGCCTCTGAGATTCTCTCTCTCTCTCTCTCTCTCTCTCTCTCTCTCTCTCTCTCTCTCTCTCTCTCTCTCTCTCTCTCTCTCTTTAATGCAGACAGGGTCTTGCTCTCTCATCCAGGCTGGAGTGTAGTGGCATGATCATAACTTACTGTAACCTCGAATTCTTGGGCTCAAGTGATCCTTCTGCCTCAGCCTCCCAAGTAGCTGGGACTACAGGAATGTGCCACCATGCCTGGCTAATTATTATTTTTTAAATTATTTTTACTTTTTTTGAGACAGGGTCTCACTGTCACCCAGGCTGGATGCAGTGGTGTGATCTCAGCTCACTGCAGCCTAGACCTCCTGGGCTCAAGTGATCCTCCCATTTCAGCCCCCCAGGTAGCTGGGACTACAGGCACACACCACCACACCTGGTTATTTTTTTTTTTTTTTGTATTTTTTGTAGAGGTGGGGTTTTGCCATGTTGCCCAGGCTGGTCTAATTTTTATTTTTTGTAGAGATGGGGTCTTGCTATGTTGCCCAGGCTGGAATGCAGTGGCATGATCACAACTTGCTGTATCCTTGAACTCCTGGGCTCACATGATTCTCACACCACAGTCCCCTGAGCAGGTGAAACTAGAGGTGCCTGCCACCATGCTTGGCTAGTTGTTAAAATTTTCTGTAGAGACAGAGTCTCACTATGTTGCCCAGGCTGGTCTCAAATTCCTGACCTCAAGCGATTCTCCCACCTTGGTCTCCCAAAGTGCTTGGATTACAGGTATGAGCCATGGCCCTGAGATTCTTGTTACATAAGAATAATAATCTTCTGGGTATTTATACAAATGTTACTTGTTTTCTGTTACATGCAGCTAAATGCAATTTCAACTGATTCGGTATTATTAGAACAGGTGAGGCTTAGGGAGGGAGGTCAAGTGATTTTCCCAAAGTCACAGAGCAAGGAAGCAGATCTGGAATTGGCCACTGGGCCGAATGCCGAAGCCTGTGCTCACTCTACCTGTGTGCTGTCATTCCCACCTGCAGCCCAGGCTGCCAGGAAGCCCCTCCCCACAACCAGCACCAGGCTCTCCTCTAAAACTCTTCCTGACTACCCTGAGGTCTGGGTCTAAGTTTCCCTGATGTCTTCTCTCTTACCTGACCCCACCCCAGCTACACACAGGTCCAGATCCTCCTTTCAAAACATATGTGCCTCGAGTCCCAGGATTCCGCTCAGAGCCTGACCCTGTGAGATGCTCTCTGCTCATCCACTTCTCCCTGGTCCAGAATTCCCCCCAACTGCTCCAACAGCATGTGCGGCAGATGCTCAAGGCATCTCTGCAGACAGGTCTCCTGGTTCCATCTCTTCCCCCTGACAGGATCCCGCACCCACCACCAGAATAGTCTTTCTCAAGAGCATCTCCCATGGGCCTGGCCCTCGAGGCCTCCAGGGTCTGGCTTCGGCCACCTTCCCAACCTTTGTTCTCGCTGCCTCCTCTGCCTCCCGCCACTTTACCCATCCAGCATTTGCAGGGCCAGCTCCAGTGTGTGCTTGAGAGGACAAAGAGGGCCTCTCTGACCACCCTGTCTCTGGAAGGTACTCACTACCACTGTCCTGTGGCCCCCTCTCTCTTGGCACCTGGGGCTATTTGAGCATCACCCAGAGTGTCGCTAGCTTACTGCTAGCATGTTTGCCACTGCCTCCCTGTCCCAGAACCAGAGCTTGTTGAGGGCAGGAAGCGTGCCCATCTTTTCCAACCACTTCCCCAGTCCCTGGCACGAGGCCCGGTACTTGGGCTCACTCAGGAGGTGCTGAATGAAGCTCAAACTTGCTTCCCACGCCTTCCCACCACCCACTTTCTACTCCAGCCAAATAGAATTACTCCAGCTTCCCCGAACCCTCCTACTGTGGCTGACACTCAAGCGTCTCCTGCACTCTGCCTCCAGCCAGGCCTGCAGAGAGCCCAGGCCTTGCCGGGCCTTCCTCTTCCCTTTCGCCCATCAAAACCAAGCAGAGGGCAACTCCAGACTCAGATGGGATGCATGAGATTTTGGGACACAGGTGCGTGCGTGCATGCATGTGCGTGTGTCTGTGTGTATGGAGGGACTGGTGTCTACATTCTACCCTGGATGTGGCAGCCTCTGCCTGTCCTTACTCTTGCATTTCTGCCACTGGTTACACCAATCTGAGCTAAGTCTGAAATGCCCTGGTATTCCTTGAGTAGCCACAGCTGTAGGAAAGGACAAGGGAAAAAACATTAACATTTACTGAGCCCATATTAAGTGCTAGGCGCTGTTCTAGCCCAAATAATAATGATAACAAGGATGATGATAATACTAGTGGCTAGTATTTGTTGTGCATTTAGCATGTGCCAGGCACCATCCACCCTAAGGCTTTTAACCAGACAGATCCTCCTATTATCCCCATTTTACAGATGAAGAAAAAGAGGCTCAGAGAGGTGGAGTCACCTGAGATCACAGAGACAGGAAGTGATCTGGAGCTTGGTATCTACCGTCCCAAACCTGCTCCTCTGCCAGGTTGAGTAGGGTAACACCCAGGTGTCTTGGCGTAGGGGGAGGAGCTTCCCCTTGCAACTCCTGCTGCCTCTGAGTGAAAGGCTGGAAGCAGCAACTTCCCCAGGGGCTCTCCTGGGGGACAGCTGGGCTGGTAAGACTTACCCTAATCAGCAAGGCTGTAGAACAGTGCTCCAGCCCCCTGGAAGGACCAGGCCCGAGGAGTAGCAGGGTGGACGGAAGTCGTTGAGCCTGGGCTCCGCTTCCTCAGTAAGGCTGAAGATTTTCCCAAAAGCCTGGGCCAAATTTATCTGCCAATCCCCCGAAGAGCTGATTCCAGCGTCTGTCTGGAAATGTCAGCCCGTGTGGTTGGAGGAACGCGGGGAGAGTTTTCCTCTAAATAGCAGGAAGCATATGGGAGGCGGATGGCATCCGCCGCCCCAACCTGCCAACTCTTGCTCAAGTGGGAGCTAAAAGGGGCCCAGAAGGGTCTGGAAATCCTACCACCTCCCAGGGAGGTTGAAGGGGGAGCTGGAGACAGAGACGGTGGCAATGAGAAGGGCAGAAAGTGGGTCCCGAAGGGCAGGCAGGCAGGAGCACCCTGATGAGCAGAGGCGCCTGAGGCTCTCAGATGGAAGTGACACGCCCAGGAATCTAGCGCAACATCCACAGTAATAATAGCCACCATTCACCGAGCGCTTGCTATGCGCCAAATCTGGGTTAAGCACTTTATTTGGATGATTTCACTTAAACTTTGCAACCAACTCTAAGATGGGGGCTGCTGTTATCCTTGTATTACAGATGAGGAAACCAAGGTTCAGAGAAGGAAGGACCTGAAATCACACACTCTCTGGGCTGGAAAGGACCTTCCAGATCATCAGCTGAATCACAAATCCTCTACAGACTCTCTGCCAAGCTATGGTGCAGCTGCTGCTTGAATACTCTCAGTGATGAGGAGATCGCTACCTATCACCCAAGCTAGCCCATCTGCAGAGAATTCTTTGTATCCAAAAGGTTTTCCTAGCCTAAGCTGGGATCTCCTTCCCTGGAGCTTTTCCTGTGAGTGCCAGACCCAGACCCTGCCTCCTCCAACAGAGATGGAAAGGCAGGAAGCCAAGCCCCTCTCTGGTTTCCCTTCTCCAGGCAACACACTCCAGGTCCTTACACAGTTGCCCAGGTGGCGATCTGGAGCTCCAGTGCCAGCCAGCTCTCTCACCCACCTCTGCCCCTGGACCGTGGTAACCAGAATTACTTCCCGTCACCAAGCACTTCCTATGTGCCAGGCACCGTGGAGAACCTGCCCTTGACACGCTCTCCTCCCACCTTCCCCACAACACCTGGGGCAGCACTATCATCACCTCTGCTTTACATAGGAGAAAACTGAGGCTCCACAAGGGGAAGAGACGCGGGACCCTGGAGGCCTCATCAGGCTGCTGCTCTAAGTCTCACGAAGCTGACGAGGTCCCTGCGGGCTCCACCTGGGGACACTGACCCAAGCTTTGCCAGCATTCACCTCAACATTGGTCCACAGGGCCCCCAAGCCCACATCACCCTCCTAACTCTCTCTCTCCCCTTGAGCAGCACTCAGTCTCCAAATCTTGTTGAATCTCCCTGCTAAACGCCACTCTGTGCCATTCTTATGGTCCTGTCCTACCTGCTGTCACCCCCAAGACCAGCCCAGGATCTTGATTTATTTTTTTAAAAAATTATATATATATTTTGAGATGGAGTCTTGCTCTGTATCCCAGGCTGGAGTGCAATGGCACAATCTTGGCTCACTGCAACCTCCACCTCCCAGGTTCAAGCGATTCTCCAGCCTTAGCCTCCTGAGTAGCTGGGATTACAGGCGCCTGCCACTGCACCCAGCTAATTTTTGTATTTTTTAGTAGAAATGGGGTTTCGCCGTGTTGGCCACTGAACTACTGACCTCAGGTGATCCACCTGCCTTGGCCTCCCAAAGTGCCGGGATTACAGGCATGAGCCACCACACCTGGCCTTAAAAAAATATTTTTAAAGAGACAGGGTCTCTGCTGGGCACAGTAGCTCAAGCCTGTAATCCCAGCACTTCGGGAGGCCAAGGCAGGAGGATCACTTGAGCCCAGGAGTTAGAGGCTGCAGTGAGCCCTGATCACGCCACTGAACTCCAGCCTGGGCAACAGATCGAGAGACACTGTCCAGAGATGGAGAGAGAGACAGGGTGTTGCTCTGTCGCCTAGGGTGGAGTACAGTGGTGGGATCATAGCTCACTGCAGCCTTGAGCTCCTGGGCAAAGCCAGGATCTTTCCAACACCCAGACCTAACCTGCCGTTGGCTCCCTTTTACCTTAAGGGTCAAGTTCAAACTCCCCAGCCCAACAGTTGAGGCCTTTTAAGCTCCAGCCTTGGTCGACCTCTCTAGCCCTGTGTCTCCCCACCATCCCTCACTCCCTCCTGCCTAAAAGCTCAACAGGAGGCAGGTGAGATCTTCAGAGAGCCCCTCCCAGTTGCTTCTCCCTGGAGAATCCCTATTCATCCTTCAACACTGCTTGGAGGAACAGAATCAACTGCTTTGGCTCCAGAGATCCCTGAGTGATCAGCACTTACCTCTCATATCTCATGCCTCACCTGTCATCGCTGATGGAGATGCTTCTCTCCTGGGCTGAATTGAGAATTTCCCCTGGGCAGGGGCAGCTCTGATTCGTCCTTGTAGCTCCAGGTCTAGTGCAGCACCTGGCACATGGTAGGCACTGATAAATGTCTGTGGAGTGTGGGGATGAATGACTAAATGAAGGCCATGGGGCATGATAAAGTATTGGAGATGACCCATAAAACACAGCTCGTGCAAGTCATAACTTTGCTATATCAGAAACAAAAAATGCTGCTCTCAAAACAGTCACAAAACATTTGAGGATTTAGAAGAGAATCAGGGGATGATCTGGCAATGACTGGAGTTTCCAGAAAAAAGCTGCCCAAACCCAAGCAGATGAAGTGACCAGCTCCCACCTGCAGGGTGGCAGGAGACAAGGAGCAGGGCCACAGAAGGGACAGGCGGGGGAGAGGCTGGGTCCATGTCCCAGCCCTGCCTCCAACTTGCTCTGCGTTGTCACATAGGCGGCTTGGCCTCTCTGAGCCTCAGTTTCCTTCTGTGTAAAATGCAAGGGGCATTTGTAAAATTGGCTGAAGCAGCAGATGTATGTCTAAAGGCCTAAACACTTCCTCTACTGTCAAGGTAATGGGACTCTCTCTGCCCTCCATTCAAACTCCCAGCAGGGTTTGCAGACATCCAGGGCTTCCTCATCTTGGACCCCCCTGACCTGGAAATGCAGGCTTCTGCCTGCCCTCCCAGCAGGTCATTTGGGGGACAGCCTGCAGTGCCGGGATTGTGGACTTGGTCCTGTGAAAAAGCTTTCTAACTAGCAGTGCAGAAAATGGAGAGTGAGCTCCCCATCTCTGGAGGTATGCAAGCAGTGGCTGGGCATCTCAGGACAGGAATTCTGACTCAGGGTGGGAAGGAATTTAGACCATTAGATATCTAAGGCTCCCTTGAGGGGCATTGGGTCCTTTTTCTCGTTCCCCATGTGGGGCCTTGATCTAACTCCTCCAGGCTATGCTTCCAGCACAAGGCAGAGTGAGCTCACTGACACTTCCTTCATCCCACAATATCCCCCAAAGGCTCCCCACTGCCTTCAGGATCAAGTCCAAGTTCTTACCCTGGCATTCAAGGCCCCTGTGGTCCGGGCCTGCCTCCTCTCATCCTATAGTTGCACTCCCACCACATGCTCTGGGACTTTGACACATTGTTTTTCCTGCCTACAACATTCTTCCAGCACTCTGGTTGGCTACTCAGTTTAGGCATCACCTCCTCCAAGAAGCCTCTTCCTTGTCCCCAGGCTGGCCTTTTCATTCCCACAGCCCCTATATGCACATCCACCTTAGCACCTCTCACATTCCAGACAAATCATCCATGTGCTCCCCTCTCCTCCAAAGACTGCAGTCATTTGGAGGGCCAGGACAGCTCCCTGGCAGGACAGAGAGGGTTGATGTCTCCCTAGTGAAATCGGTACTTCAGAAATTCCAATGTTCTGACTCCAGGAAAGTCGAAGGCTGCCTCAGTGAGCTTCTGACCGTAAGATCTGGGTTCAAGACTCCTTTATTTTCTTTTTCTTTTTTTTTTTTTTTTTGAGACAGTCTCACTGTCACCCAGGCTGGAGTGCAGTGGCACGATCTCGGTTCACTGCAACCTCTGCCTCCAGCATTCAAGCGATTCTTCCACCTTAGTCACCCGAGTGGCTGGGATTACAGGCGCTGGCCACCACACTGGGCTAATTTTTGTATTTTTAGTAGAGACAGGGTTTCCCCATGTTGGCCAGGCTGGTCTTGAACTCCTGTCTGACCTCAGGTGATCTGCCTGCCTTGGCCTCCCAAAGTGCTGGGATTACGGGCATGAGCCACCGCACCTGGCCAGGACTCCTTTCAATAGTTGCATTGTTTTTTTTCTGATTTTGAAAACCATGCATCTTGGGCAATTCAGATAATTACAGGAGGTGGGGGTTGCTGGGTTTGGCTACCATTTGGTCTACTTTAGGTCATAGCCTACATCTACTTCTGGGGAAGCCACTTTTCCCCACTCTCCACTCTTGAGGTTCCAGTGGTATTGACCCCACCCCCAGCTGGTGGTGGATGGTACACAGGCCCAGGCTGCCAATCAGAGCACCAAATTCTCCTTAGCAACAGCAATTGATTGAGGGGTGGGCACATCCCACAAATTTGACAAATCAAGGCCAAGACTTAGTTCTGGGACTTGTGTTTGAGCAATCAGGGAAGAATTCTTGCTTATTTCTTTGGACAGAAATCTTATTACCTGTACATGAGAGCTTAATGAGAACATGGAAACAACCCAGAGTTGAGAAACAGAAATCAAGTCCTGGTGGCCCTGAGGTCCTGGATCCAGCTGAGCCTGAAGCCATCAGACCTCTGAACTTTACAGTTACAAGTCAATCGAATCTATTTTTTGTTTAAACTAGTTTGGGGTGGGTTTTCCATCACCTTACTTGAAAAAACTCTGAATGATAGAAACAAAAATCAAAATAGAGCTCACCTATATCTCACCATCCAGAGGAAGCCACTATCAACAGTTTAATGACTACTCTTCTGAGCATCTCCCTAGGCAGGAGCACGCATATGTTTATATATATTTTTCATAACAAAAGTGAAAAAAAAATCAGTAGATACCTAAGTAGATATCCTGTTCCTCCCTGCAAATCCTAACACTCAGGAAAGATTCCAAATCCGGATGTCACACAACATACATCAATTTTTAACCTCCTGTTTTTCCCCAACAATGCGCCATGGACAAGTTTCCATGTCAACAAATAGAGATTTACAGCACTGTTTCTATAGCTGCGGAAAATGGCATTGCCTGGCCGGATGTAAGTTATTTAACCAACTCTCACAAACAGAGAATTGGGTCGTTTCTAATTTATCACTGTAATCAAGAAAGGTGCAGTGAACTTACTTGCAAAATGCATATGTTTGCAGTTGCCGGATTATTTATGACTAAGATTCCATGATTCAGAGAGTTTGACTTCACGAGTGTACGTTGTTCTGCCTGAGATTTAAGATTCTCTTAGTGGCTGTAAAGTAGTATCTGTTTTCCTGGGCAGGTATACTAGTTGTGAAAAAAAAAAAAAAAGCAAATCCTGGGCCAGGGTGTCCCCATCACAGCTTATCTAGCAAGGATGCTCACTGGCAGATGTGAGGGAGGTGATGGGGAGGGAGGTGGTGGGGAGAGAGGCGGGGTGTGGGTTGGTGCTGACCTGAGGTCCAGCTGGCCTTGTGCCCAGCCAAGCTGACAATGTGACAAAGCCCACCCTGGGCCTTGTCTCCTACCTGGGTCTGACTCCCAGTGACGGAGGGAGAGGTAAGCCTGGGGAGCCCTGGCAGGACAAGCCGACACACGGTAGGTGCCACCTTTAGCAGTCACAGTCATAACAGCAGCAGCACCGTCAGGGATGCAAGCCTGGTACTGCCCTAGCCCTCCACATGTTTCTACTCACTTAAGCCCACACCTACCCTCGGACGCTATTCTTATCTGTTTTGCAGAAGAGGAAACTCAGCCTCAGAGAAGGCCAGTGACTTGCCCAAGGTCACACAGTCAAAGGGATGACCCAGATCTGCTGATTCCCCAGCCCATGCCTTATCCCATTGAGGTGGGTAGCAGGAGAGAAGAAGTACCCTAGGCAAGATGGTGGGAACCCTAAAATCCTCTGTTCCTCCCCACAAGTCCTAAAACTCAGGAAAGACTCCAAATCCAGAAAAGTAGAAAGAAGAAGCAAAGATCACCCATGCCCCCACTTCCCAGGAAGAGCACTGTGCAGTTTCCAGAAACACATATAATTCTTACAGAAATGATATAATGCTACCCATGCTGTTTTATAACCTCTTTTTAAAAAAAAAAACAAAAACCTCTACGACACACTATGAAGTTCTTTATGCAATAATAAATTTAGCTCCATGGCCCCGTTTCTAACAGCTGTAGCAGGCGCCACGGTGTGGCTGCAGTAAAATGGCTTTAACTGGTCCCGTGGTGATGGACAAATGGGTTGTCCCCAGTTGTCCTGCTAACAGCAACGATGTTACATGAGCACTGTCCAGCACGGCTGGATGCACGTCATCCTTTCGGGTCTCAGCTCAAGTGCCATCTCCTTAGAGAGGGCCATCTTGGACAGTGCCATGTCACACAGGTCTCCTACCGGTTCATCTTCATGATGTCACCACGTTAATTTCCCTCACTGCACCAATGGAGTCTCTCCTCATTCTGTGTATGTCTTTGGGTGACTGTATAATATCTGTCCCTCCCCAAGCCTGTGTGCTCCAGGAAGGGTGTGGACTAGCAGGGACTAGACTCAAGAGATGTCCTTGGAACGCATGAATGAAGAGATGCTCCGTCAGCATAGCAGACTACCCCGCTCCATGACATGTCCCTAGTGTCAGTTCAGGGCCCCACAGAGCTGCCTTGGAACTCACTTCCAGCCATGTGCTGCTTGGAGCATCTATGCCCAGATGCCTGCCCTGCCAGGGACCCCAGCACCAAGCAAGGCTTTCTGCACGCACAGGATACAAGGCACTGGAGTCTGGCAGAGCAGCTCCACTACCCACTGTCTGTGTGGACTTAGGTCTCAGTCCTCTCATTTGTAAAATGGGGCCAATACTGCTAATCCCACAAGGTTGTTCTGAAGATTAAAGAAGGGAACAAATGTGCTTAGCACAAAATAGGTCCTCAGAAAATTGCAGTTTGGCCCCCCATCCAGTGAGTTCACAGGTGGGTCTGACCCTGTCTCACCTGGATGGCGTTTTTTACCTTTAAAAATTTTTTAATGTTATTTATTTATTTAGAGACAAGGTCTTGCTCTGTTGCCCAGGTTAAGGTACAGTGGCATGATCATACTTCATTGCAGCCTCAAACTTTTGGGCTCAAGTGATCCTCCCACCTCAGCCTCCTGAGTAGCTGGGACTACCGGCACATATCACCATGCCTGGCTAATTTTTTTTTAATTTTTTTGGAGAAGGGGGTCTTGCTATGATGCCCAGGCTGGTCTTGAACTCTTGGCCTCAAGCCATTCTCCCACCTCTTTTATTACTTTAAATGAGACCTGAGTATGCCTTGGCCTTCTCCCCAGGCCTGTCCCTAGGAACGTCCCACTCCTATCCTTTAATACTTTTTTTTTTGAGACAGGGTCTCACTCTGTCACCCAGGCTAGAGTGTAGTGGTGCAATCTCAGCTCACCATAACCTCTGCCTCCTGGGCTCAAGTGATCCTCCCACTTCAGCCTCCCAAGTAGCCACCACACTCAGCTATTTAAATTTTTTTTTTTTTTGGAGAGATGAGGTTTCACTATATTGCCCAGGCTGATCATGAACTCCTGGGCTCAAACCATCTTCCTGCCTCAGCCTCCCAAAGTGCTGGGATTACAGGTATGAGCCATTGCACCCAGCTCTTTGATACTTGTTAAACAGCTAAATGCTCTGCTCTGTCCCCTTGGAGACCCCCAGGCTCCTCATCTGCTGCCTATGACTGCACACACCTGCCTGGCCTCCCAAGCCTTAAAAATAGAAGAGGCACAGACATGTCTGAGGAAAAAATGGAGGAGTCCCTGGCCCTTTGCGGGGAACTTCCTGGACCCCGATCCTTGCACATGAGGCTTAAGTCAGTCTGTCTGGTTTCTCATCTCACCTCCTCCACTCTTTGGCAGCATGACAAGTAGTTTTACCTCTCCAAGCCTCACTTTCCTCCTCTGTAAAATGGGCAGAATAAAAGAATCCAGGAGGATTCAAGGAGATAAAAAATGCTTAGCAAACAGCCTGTTAGTAAGTGCTCAATAAACATTAGCTATTATTTTTACAATTGTTTTTTAGCCGTTTTACTGTGATATGTAATAGAAAGAGTAAAGTGCACAAAACAAAAATGTTTACTGCAGTAAAATATCAAAAGGAAATAGTCATGTAACCACCACCCAGGTCACTGCTGGCCCCTCAGAAACCCCCTGAGGTTCCCTTCCCAATGTTCTTTTCTCCACCAAGGCAATCCTTGTCCAGCCTTTATGGTGCCATTACTATTGTTTTTATTATTTTTTGAGACAGAGTCTGGCTCCATTGGCCAGGCTGGAGTGCAGTGGCTACTGCAACCTCTGTCTCCTGGGCTCAAGCAATTCCCCTGTCTCAGCCTCCCAAGTAGCTGAGATTACAAGCGCCTGCCACCACACCTGGCTAATTTTTGTATTTTTAGTGGAGACAGGGTTTCACCATGTTGGCCAGGGTGGTCTCGAACTCCTGACCTCAGATGATCCGCCTGCCTCGGCCTCCCAAAGTGCTGGGATTACAGGCCTGAGCCACCATGCCCGGCAGCCATTACTATGTTAATAAGTTGATTAAAAAAAATAAATGACTGTGTGGCCACTCTGCTGTGATTCAACCAGGTCTCTGGGTCTCAGGACCCAGCACTCCTGGCTGCCTCTGCCCTGGAGACACCTCATCCCATTTTCTAGCTCCGGCTTCGGCTGTTCTTTAAATAACCAGCTTGTTAGCAAAATAGCAGCAGTAACACCTCCCTCGCTGCCGCCCGGGCCTCCATCTTTCCACGCGATGCTGACGGCTGCTCACCCAGCTCGTGCCAAGGAATCCCGTTCTCCGTCACTGGGCCACACACGCCAGGGGCTGTCTGCTCTGCTGCGTTCTCAGAGCCTGGCCCGGAGGGTGGAGGTGGGCACTGGATGGCAGTAATTTTCAGGAAATGCTGGCTGTTAACAGATGAGCCCTCACCCCTAAGTCCCTGCCTCAGTCTCCCCCTTCACCTTCCACAGGGTTATGGGGGAATTTAATTGAAATAACGAAAAATGCAAAGCATTTAGTGCGATGCCAAACACATAGTAATTGCTCAAGAAATGCTTGCTGTTATTCAGCTGGCCCTCATTACACATTTAGTCCCTGGAGAGGCCCTTGCATTCCTTGAGCACAATAAGGTGTGTTTGCAAATGATTAAATCCCACAGACACAGCTCTCAGACCAAGCCATCCTTATCACCTGTCCTGCACCAGCTTCTCAGCCAAAAGCAACGGCTATTTGCAGCCGCAACAACAGACTAGGAGCTGGGTCGGGAGAGCCAGGTTGTGGGGCAGCTAATTAATGGGGCCCTTTTCATGGTTAGTCATAATAAGGCTGGCGCCACCCCAGCGGGCAGCTCCTTGTTCTCACAGAAGCACTTCTACATACGTTATCTACAGTGAACTTCAAGGGTTAAAGAAACAAAAGATCCCATTACATTTGCATATTATACATATTTACGAATCTTTTCCCTTCTCATAACCATCCCATCAGGGAAGCTGGGCAGGCTCTAGCAGATGAGAGAATTGGGACCAGAGGGGCTGGCCACCTTGCTGAGGGCATGGGCTCACCGCAAGCCATCTGGGGCAGCAGGGACTGGCACTGGCCAAAAGGCCAGGAGGCGCTCAGGTCCTGCTGGTGTCTGGGTGGAGGGAGGTAAGAGAGGTTTCCCTTCTTCTCTCCCCCTTTCCTTCCTTCCACAGCTATTTACTGGGTACCCACTGTATGCCAGGCACGGGGCCAGCTGCTAGTTGGCCAGAAGGGAATGAAGTGGTTGTTCTTTGTCCTTGCAGAGCTAAGGCCAGAGAAGGAGGCAGATTTTACCCCAGTGGCCCCATGTAGTGCTTCGTGGTGGCTGGGTGAGCCTGCACGTAGGCCTCTTGACCTGGTTGAGCCTCTGTTTCCTCATCTGTGAACTAGATTGTTATGCCAGCAGAGCCTTGGGAGGCGGAAGGTGAAGAAAAGATGCAAGCAGCATGGTGAAGTGGTGGCACTGTGGTTGCACCCCCAGACAGACGGTTGGAGACGGGGCAGGCCCAGCACCTCATCCTGATGGCAAAGTGGGAGCTGGAGGAGCATGGGGAGAACAGGCCAGAGGGGCAGGAATGTAGGGCCCCCCAAGATTCAAGAATTCTGATGGCCTCCCCTCAAGCCGCCCTGGGGGCCCCAGAGGTTCTATGGCCTCCAGCACAGCTCATGGCTCCCTTCCTGTCCTGAGCCTATGTGCACAACCTGTCCCCGCCTGCTTGGGTGTGGCAAGAGCTGGCCTTTGAGGTGGACAGAGCTGGGCTTGCTGTGCACCCCAAGCAGGTGGCTTCCCCTCTCTGAGGCTGACTCCTCTGGAAAATGGGCGTGATCACCACACGCACCTCCTGGTTGTTGGGAGGACTGGCTAAGACAGGCCATTGAACTATAAATGGTGCCCAGACATATACAAACTCTGACTGAGGTCCCTCTGCCAGCATGTGGGTGCCAGTGGAAGTGAGGCTGGGCATTTCCCAACTGTGCCAAGCATGGGGGGCTGGTGAGGAGACAAAGCCTGCGGACGCAGTTACTTACCAACCAGGGAGCTACAGGCACAGGAAACACGGCAAGCTGTCGGGGCCCAGCAGGAGTCAGCTCAGGAGCGGGCACTGGACCGAGGGCTGGCACACACATCCCTCTAGGCACTTGATCAGAGGTGCCGGCAGGAAGCAGCTTGGGACAGGGGCTCTGCCACCGCCCGGGGGCCACCAGGTCCTGGTCACACACAAGGCCCCAAGGTTCCTGGCAGAGGGGAGGCACGGGTGCCTGCAGGAATGGGGAGGAATGGTGATTAGGAGGTGCTGGAGGTAAGCCCTCCACCTGAGACCCTTAGACTGGCCCTGGGGACACGAGGGAAGGAGACGACATGGAGCAGTGGTCATAGAAACCCAAGTGTTTGCACAACACTACATTTTCCAGAGCACCCTGGCATCCCGGCTCATGTGAGCACCCACATTGTTTTTTTAGAGGCAAATTTGCATGTCATGCATATTTACAGTGCCTTTCCCACCACCCACAGAATCCCCACAGCAGTCGGGAAGCTGGGTTCCAAAGTCTCAAATCCTTCCCTGTCTTGCTTCTTCCTCCTTTTCCCCGGATGGGAGAAGTTGGGAAAGGGGTAGGAGTCATGCAGTCCTGAGTTCAAATCCCAGCTCAGCCTCTCACATGCGGGGTGACACCAGGGAGGCAGCTTCCCCTTTCTGAGCCTCAGTTTCCCCACCAGCCAAATGGGAACAAGAGTGCCTTCTCTGAAGGCTACTGTGAGGACTGAGAAGACAGTGCAGGTGAAATAAGCCCAATAAAGGCCCTTCTAAGAGGCCCTTCACTGCATCACCACCTCCATGTGGCACTCTCGTGTGAGAGCGGAGGGAAGCCAGGTGTCCCTCTCCACCCACTTCCCCTGAACAGGTGTCACTGCTCCTGCCTGGATCTTTAAATCAGCAGGAACCAGGCTGGGTGCGGTGGCTCACGCCTGTAATCCCAGAACTTTGGGAGGCTGAGGTGGGTGGATCACTTCAGGTCAGGAGTTTGAGACCAGCCTGGCCAACATGGTAAAACCCCGTCTCTACTAAAAATACAAAATTAGCTGCTTGAACCCAGGAGGCAGAGGTTGCAGTGAGCCGAGATGGTGTCACTGCACTCCAGCCTGGGCGACAGAGCAAGACTCCATCTCAAAAAAACCAAAACCAAAAACAAAAAACCCACGAATCAGCAGGAACCAGTCCTCTAGGGAGAAGAAAAAGGCCCCTCTATTCCACACCCCTCCCAGAAGCCTTTTGGCTGCCCTGGAGGCCTCAGTGGAACACCCTCCCCTCACCCTCCACCCTCTCCCCTCCAATTTTACAGGTCAAGAAACTGAGACACAGAAGAAGCCTAGCTGGTGTGGGGACACAGAACCCGAGTGGTAGGTCGGGATTTGAACTCAGGCTTTCCACGTCTGAGCCCTGAGAGGAGAGGTCCAGGTCTAGGGGGCTCTGGGATGGGAGGAATAAGGAGAAAGGGACAGTCGCTGGTCGGGGAGGCTCACCTTTCTCCCCTTGCTATCTCAGGGCCCTGAAAGGCCTCACCATCTCTCCTTAGCATCTGATCAAGAACCAAACCTCCAGAATCTACTCAGTGCCAAACCTGTAACAGGCTTTACCTCATTTCCTTCCTGCCACAGCCTTACAATGTCATCTCTATTTTCCAAAGGAAGCATCCAAGGCACGGAGAGCTTCGACAACCACACACCCAGGAAGAGGCAGGGCAGGGCCTCCAACCCAGGCACCTGACTCCAGGACGATGCAGCCTCCCCCAGGGACAACATCACCAAACCAAGAAAAACAGGCATAGCCACCTGAATAAAAGTGTTAAGGAGCAGAAAAAGAAAATACAAACCCCAAAACATTCTGAGTCAGTAGACACAAATTCTCGAAGATGCATAAAAGATTTCAAGATTCACCATAAGGTGTGAAAATTGCCAGGGCGGGAAAGACCGGTGTTTGAGAAGATGCGTTCCTGACCGAGTTGTCACTTTTAGCCAAATTCACCCAGAGCCCAAAGCTGAAGGAAAAGAAGTGGCAACCAAGGGAGGTGGCCTGTGCCCAGCACGGCAGGGTGCCGCAGGGCCCTGGCCTAGGGGCCCGAGGCCTCCTCAAATTCCCCACCTCTTCCTTGCTGACAGAACGGCAAGTCTCCTCCTTGATTCCCCCTTCTTCTTCTTCTTTTTTATTTTTTGAGACAGAGTGTTACTTTGTTGCCCAGACTAGAGTGCAGTGGTGCAATCATAGCTCACTGTAGCCTTGACCTTCTGGGCTCAAGCGACCCTCCTGCCTCAGCCTCCTGAGTAGCTGGGACTACAGGCATGCACCACCACACCTGACTAATTTTTGTATTTTTTGCAGAGATGAAATGTCGCTATATTGCCCAGGCTAGTCTCGAACTCCTGGCCTCAAGTGATCCATCCACCTCAGCCTCTCAAAGTTCTGGGATTACAGACATGAGCTACTGAGCTTGGCCCCACTTCTTTATAATGGTCGGGAAGCACCATTATACAGTCTCTTGGGTCCGGGCCATCTGTGATGCTGTTGAAGATTCTGCAGCTTCCAACATGGATGAACTTTGAAATGTGATGCTAAGTGGAAGAGGCCAGACACAGAAGACAGCACATGGCATGACTCCATTTCAATGAAATATCCAGAACAGGTGCCACTGTACAGACGGAAAGTATATCTGGGCTGCCTCAGGCTTCCCAGTGTGGGGACAGGGACTGAGAGATGGTGACAGCTAAGGGGTGTGGGGTTTCTTTTTGGAGGTAATGAAAATGCTCAAAAATGGATTGTGGTAACAGATACACAACCCTGTAAATATACTAAAAGCCATTAACTATACACTTTAATGGGTGAGTTGTATGGTATGTGAATTATATCTCAATTCTTTTTCTTTTCTTTAGAGATGGAGTCTTGCTATGTTGCCCAGGCCTGGCCTCAAATTCTTGGGTTCAAGGGATCCTCCTGCCTCAGCCTCAAAAGTAGTTGGGACTACAGGCATCAGCCACCACACCAAGTTAGTTTTTTAACTTTTGTAGAGATGGGGATCTCATTATGTTGCCCAGGCTGCTCTTGAACTCCTGGCCTTAAAGGGTCCTCCCACTTTGGCCTCCTGAATAGCTGGGACTACAGGTGTGTACCACCATGCTCAGCTTCTATATCTCAATTATTAACACTTAAACAAAACAAAACAAAACAAAACAAAAAGATTCTGCAACTTCCCAATAGGCAGTTATCCTCTGGGAACCTGTGGTCCTTTGTGGTCCTTGTATGTCATATTCTCCTCCTCCAGGAAGCCCTCCCTGGCCCTGCAGCACCCTTCCCTCCTGCCCGTTACTGGCTCCTAGAGCTCCCTCGGCTTCTCCTCACCACTGCTCATGCTGATGTGAGGTAACCATTGCCACGATCATTGGCTGACACAGCCTCCTCCATCAGCCTGGCACACAGGAGGTGCTCCAGAAATGTTTGTTGATTGAATAAATGAGACAAAATTCCAAACCCTAGGATGCACATACGGCTTCTGGCCCTGGCTCTATTACCTTCCAGCCAAGCAATCCCAGGCAAATCATGGAACTGCTCAAGTTTCAATACCTACCTCAGGGTAGCCAGGGATTCAGAGGGAAATGGACATGGAAAGTTCTTTATGAAGTGGCTCCTTCCACAGCTGCCCCCATCTCAGTCAATGGAATCCTGCCCTTCCAGCCACTCAGGCCCAAGCCAAACTTGAGGTCTCTCCCACCCTCCCCTCTCACACGCAAGCCATCAGCAGTGCCACCGGTCCTCCTTTCCCCACCCTGCTGCCACCGCTGTGGACCGAGCCACTGTCACCTCGTGCCTGGATTATTCATGCCCTCTCTGGTGTCCTGCTTCTGACCTTGCTCCCAGCACAGAAGCCAGAGGAAATGCTCAAGGAGTATAAAGCTGCTATGACTCCTTGTATTCAGCTCCACACTCCCCATGGCCTCACTGCACCTCAAGTAAAAGCTAACAGCCCTGCAGACGCCACAGGCAGCCCTGCACCACCTCTGGTTCCCTCCCCCACCTGCTCCTTTTGCCCTAGCTATGCTGGCCTTTGGGCTGTTCCTCAAATATACCAGGCACGTGCCTAGCTCAGGGCCTTTGCACGTGCTCTTGCTCTGCCTGGAATGTTGATTGTGTTCAGATGTCTGTGAACCTTACCCCCTCACTTCTTTCAGAATCTTTGCTGAGACCTGATCTTGTCATTGAGAGGGAGTTTTACCCTAGCAGGAGGACTCAAAAGTATGAACTCCAAGTAAAAATCCAGGCTCTGCCAGTTACGTGGCTGCATGACCTTGGGCAAATATCTTCTCTGCAACTCAGCTGCTCATCTCTAAGATGGGGGTAGTTATAGAGCCTTCTTCATATGGTGGTTGTGAGGCTCAAATGAATTCAGCAAGTGTGACCTGTGTGTCTGCTACACTCCCCAGCCCTCCACAGCACATTCCCTGAGCCTGTCCCTGCCTGCTTTCCTGTTTTTCTCAGCCCATATCATTATACAACAGGCCACGTAATTGCATAATTTATCCTGATCATTGCCTGCTCCTCTCACTAAAGTGTCAGCCCCGAAGGGTAGAGAGTTCTGTCTGTTTCATTGCCACACGCTGTACCTGGCACATGGAGGTGCTCCGTGAATACTTCATTGAACAAATATTTTCAATACTGGAGATATTCCTTGACCAACTGTCATGAGCTCTGGGTTTTCCCTCCTTCCTTGTCGCAGATGTGACATTTCTCTTTCCAGCCCAGCTCACACCTCTGAGCTCCAAATTCCTACAGCAGCTCTGCTGGCCATCTGTGGACAGACACTGTGTACTCCATGTGTACAGGGCCCAGTCTGTGACCTTCCCTGGAGACCATGCCCTCATCCCAGTATCATCTAACCTGGTCACCCTCAGGCGACCAAGAAGCCAGGAGGCTTCTATTCTTCTTCCTTCTCCTCTTTCACTCACCCAGAAGTAAAGCCCAAGACTATGTCCTATCTTTTTTTCTTTTTTCTTTTTCTGAGACAGAGTCTCACTCTGTTGCCCAGGCTGGAGTGCAGTGGTGTGATCTCGGCTCACTGCAACCTCTGCCCCCCAGTTTCAAGCAATTCTTGTGCCTCAGCCTCCCAAGTAGCTAATTTTTGTATTTTTTCTAGAGATGGGGTTTCATCACGTTGGCCAGGCTGGTCTTGAACTCCTGACCTCAGGTGATCTGCCCGCCTCAGTCTCCCAAAGTGCTGGGATTACAGGTGTGAGCCACCATGGCTGGCAATGTCCTATCTTTTTTTTTTTTTTTTTTTTTGAGACAGAATCTCGCAGTGTCATCCACGCTGGAGTGCAGTGGCGCAATCTTGGCTCACTGCAACCTCCGCCTCCCGGGTTCAAGCGATTCTCCTGTCTCAGCCTCCCGAGTAGCTGGGACTACAGACATGCACCACCACGCTCCGCTAATAATTTTTTTGTATTTTTGGTAGAGATGGGGGTTTCACCATGTTGTCCAGGCTGGTTTCGAACTCCTGACCTCAAGTGCTCCACCTGCCTCAGCCTCCCAAAGTGCTGGCATTACAGGCATGAGCCACCATGCCAGGCCATGTCCTATCTTTTTAAAAAACCTCCTATACATCCCTCAAATCCCCTCCCCTTGATCCCCCAGAGTCGCCCCCGTCCGGGCCAGTACCATCTCTTGTTCGGACACTGCACCAGCTTCCTCCCTAGGTGCCCGGCTGCCTCCCTGGCCCATCTTCTCTGCAGCAGCCAGAAGGATCTTTTCAAAACGCATGTGGAACAAATGAACGCCTCACTCTGCAAGCCTGAAAAGCCAAAATCCTTGCTGACACAAAAAACAAACCAAACAAAGCTTTTCAAAAGAATTCGACTCAGGGTTCCTCGAATAATGAATGGTCTCCCAAACCTTGCCACCTCAGGCCCAGTTAAAATGGTATTTGTTGCACAAAAATTTAATTTACAAAATGGATTTACACAGAACCTTTTAGCTCAATAAATATTTGTAAAGTTGAACTGAAATGGAAAAATAGTTTTTTTAAAATAGCACTGACGGAGTTCCCTCATGCCCTGGGGGCTTCTTACACCCCCAACACCTTGTTTCTCCTCTCCGCAAGACTCTTCTGTTGCTCTGACACTCCTGGCTTTTCTATCTGGGGGACTATAATTCTTCCCCCTCCTTTGCTGGCTCTGAGATGTGGCTGTTCCTCTGTCCTGAGTCCTTCTCACCCCATGCCCAGCTCCCAGGTGGTGACGCCATTGGCCCCCACGACTCGAATCACCACCCATACTGACCTCCCGAGTCTCTCTGTGCAGCCCGAGGTCACCTCTGAACCTGAGGCTCATCTCCCCAGCGGCCTCCTGAACCCTTGGCCCGTCACACCCCCATGTCCAAAATGGACCTCATCCCCTTCTCCCCTAAACCCACCCTGCCCTGATGACACCATGATTCACTCAAGACCCCAAGCTAGAAAAGTAGGCATCACCCTAGACCCCTCCCTGCCGCCATCCCTCCCCATGTCCAGCCCCCCATGCTCTGCTCAGGCCCCGCCCCACTGAGGGCACTGCAGCACATGCCACCCACCCACTCTTCCACCAGTCTGTCCACCCGCCCCTTGGTTCACCCTTCATCTACTCCCCCCACCCTTCCAGCTACTCATCACCCACCCACCAAGCCGCCACCCACAATTCGCCATGGCCCTGACGCCCCAAGCCACGTGCAGGACTTTATGACATGAAAACAACTTAAACCCATTCCCAGCCTCGGGATGCTCACACACCAGAACGGGGTCGTGGCAGGTGAACAGGAGTCTGCAGAGGCTGGAGGGGACCAGGAGTGTGAACAAGGGCACAGACATTGGAGGGAGACACCTGGGATGTCTGAGGAACTTGACCAGAAGATGAGGAGTGACAGAGATGAAGGTGGAAAGGGCAACTGAGGCTGGCTCCACACGGCCTGGAGGACCGGGTCAGGGGCTGGACTTTATCCCAGCATTGACTCTGTGGAGCTAAACAGCCTGGGGTCAGATACCAGCTCTACCGCCTCATAGCTGTGTGACCTTGGACAACTGGCCTCAGTGTTCCCTGTCTGCAAAATGGGAATAATAACATACCTATTACAAAGGGTTGCTGTGAGGGCAGAGCTAATGCATACACATAGTATATCTCTTAGCACAGTGTCTGGTAGACAGGAAATGTTCAAGGAGTATAAAGCTGCTA
This sequence comes from Homo sapiens, assembly GCF_000001405.40. Classification (NCBI taxonomy): domain Eukaryota; kingdom Metazoa; phylum Chordata; class Mammalia; order Primates; family Hominidae; genus Homo; species Homo sapiens. The sequence goes on along the minus strand of NC_000020.11, from coordinate 36,360,059 downwards.
TGACTCCTTGTATTCGTATTATGATCCCCTAATCAGCTAGTAGACAATGGAGTTTTATGCAGAGAGGACGCATGCCCCTACCCAGGATTCAGCGGGCTGGCCCTTCCTCCCAGCCTTACCAGTTCTAGCCTTGACCTCACCTACCAACTGCTCCAAGCCAGTCACACCCACTGGCCACTGCTCCAGATCAGCCCCCAGTGCCCGATGAACTCCCAGCATGCCTTGCCTCATTTTGAGAAGCTTGGGCAGTGGCTCCAAGCTGCAAGGGCCTGGGAGGCGTCCCCTCCGGCAATGTTCTGATAGGAACAGCCTGTGCAGTCTCTCACAGCTCTAGGAACACCGCTATGTGCCTCATAGCAGGTCCTTGCACGCAGTACCAACTGGGAAGCCCTTTACCTAGCTTTCTCCTTGAACCCACAGCTTTGTGTAGGCCACAAATGAGGACACCGAGCCTCAGAAAGGAGAAGGAAGTTCCTTTGCCTCAGGCTACACAGCAAGCAAATGGCTGAGCAGGGATTCGAACTCTGGGTCAGATTCCAGAGCCCCAGATCTCTCCCTAAGTCTCAGAAGCCCCTGCGGAAGGATCAGGGCTTAAAATAACACATGGGCACGGATTTTCAAGGCATGGAGGAATGCTGTCCAAAAGAATTTGTGCCATGATGGAAATGCTCTAATCTGCACTCTCCCATAGGGTGGCCGTGAGCCACGTGTGGCTACTGCACATTGGAAATGTGACTAGTGCAATTAAAAGACTGATTTTTATACAAAAATTAGCCAGGCATGGTGGTGGCATGTGCCTGAAATTCCAGCTACTTGGGAGGCTGAGGCACGAGAATTCCTTGAATCTGGGAGACGGAGGTTACAGTGAGCCGAGATCGTGCCACTGCACTCCAGCCTGGGTGACAGAGACTCTGTCTCAAAAAATAATAATAATAAAAATTAAATAAAATACAAAACTGATTTTTAAATTTAATTTGAAGTTCAATAGCCACATGTGGCTCATGGTTACCCTACTGGATAGCTCAGGGCCAGGTAGCTTTTAGCATTCTCAATCCCAGACTGGAAGGACTGGAACTGCTTGAGTTCCACTTCTTCTTGAGCATTTCTGGCATGCTCATATTTTTTAAAAACTCACAAAACATTTTGTCAATTTGTCAGAAAGATTTCTACCATGATCTACCTGGTTCCTGCTTTTATAAACTGAGGCTGACCAGCACCTTCAAGTTAACTTTTTCTTTTTTTTATTTTTTTTGAGACGGAGTCTCACTCTGTTGCCCAGGCTGGAGTGCAGTGGCACCATCTCGGCTCACTGCAAGCTCCGCCCCCTGGGTTCACGCCATTCTCCTGCCTCAGCCTCCCGAGTAGCTGGGACTACAGGCGTCCACCACCACACCCGGCTAATTTTTTGTATTTTTTTAGTAGAGACAGGGTTTCACCGTGTTAGCCAGGATGTGCTCCATCTCCTGACCTTGTGATCTGCCCACCTCAGTCTCCCAAAGTGCTGGGATTATAGGCGTGAGCCACTGCGCCCAGCCAAGTTAACTATTTCTTTACAATTCAAAGTCCTTCAAGAAATAGTTGCCGAATCCCTGCTCTGGGCCAGGCACTGCAACACATGTTGGGGACAGGAGCCCAACATGCTTGTCCCTGTCCTCAGGTACTCAGGGTCTGACAGGAGAAGAGATGTGCCATACATTATGTTCCACAACAGAGTAGCGTAAGAGTGAGGTTCATGCATCAGCTGGGGAGCCACGAGGACGGGGATGGACTCAGCTGGAGGAGTGAGAGGAGGGACAGTGATGTGGGGCCACCGCACTGCAGTTTGCATTTTCATATCCACTGTCTCATGCGTGCCTCACTGTGGCCCCATGGGGGAGGTCGGGCCTTGACTGGTTTCTGGTTTTCTGTGTCCTGGATTCACTTCCAGAATTAGCAGTGAGTATGGGCCACAGCCCTAAACCCCGGGACATGGCAGCCAAGAACCATACAGCCAGTGACAGCAGAGCTGGCTCGGACTCCCTGTCCAGTGCTCCCCTGAATCCACCACAGTTGCTTCTTGGGAAGGTTCACTCAGGACCCAGCCAGCTGGTACCCAAATTTATTTTCAGTTGAGAACCTAGAAGTCAGATGTTCCCTAAGCCCTCCAAAGGGCTAGTCTTGTAAAACCTTAAACTTTCCGACGGGATCCGCAGCCCCCTCACCGGCCATCTGGTCTCCTCCCGTCCCACTTGCTGACTTCCAAAGTCTGTGGAAAATCTTCACTTTAATGACATTTCCCTGTAATCCCTTTGTTTCTATTCCGCACTCTCAGGGCCTGCCACAGTGGCCCACTCTCACCTGCCCTACTTTTCTTTTCTCGGAACCATTCTCCGACCTCATCGTTGGTTCATTTTGTTCATCTTAGGAGGCATTTCTATGCACTTCCTAAAGATGCTCCTGCCTGGGGTCTTTGGGCCTTGGAAACTCAAGCAGTTCCAGTCCTTCTATGTCCCCTTGTTCACACCGAGCTCTGACAGTCCACAGCCATGCTCTTCCTCCCTGCCTTGTTCAAACCTTCTTTGGATTCCTCACAGTGGCTTTGCAGCAAAAGGCAGAAATATTGTATTGCAAACCAACACTTCTTGAGCCCCAAGGGCTTATGGGAGCCCTGACCCAGGTTGGGGTGATTTTAGAAACAACAAAAAAGGAGGCGAGGCTTTGGCTGGGCCTTAGAGGATACACAGGTGTCCACTAGGTGGGCAAAGTGGGAAGGGCATTGGAGGCAGAAGGAACAGCTGGTACAAAAGGCGGGAAGAGGGACAGAGCACGCCATGTTTGGGAACTTCTGCACAAGTCAGGTGCTGGTCTGTGTGCTCTGGGGGAGGACGAGAGGAGAGAGGGGAGAGACGGGGCTGGAAATGCAGGTGGGGGCTCGCTCACGAGGGTCCTGCAGTGCCAGTCCAGGGAGTCTGGCCTTTACCCTGGGAGCAATGGAGGCTTCGTCAAATGTGTGTGGGAGAAAGATCACCCAGCAGCTTTGTGGGGTAGTCTAGAGGTGGGTGGCGAGATCCAGGCGAGAGCTGACAATGGTTCACCTAGGATACTGGGGCCTGAAGACAGCAGACAGATTCAGGAGACACGTAGACTAAAAAATCAATCCAATTTGGGGCTGGTTTGATGTGGGGAATGAGGTAGAGGGAGGATTCAGGGATGATTCCCAGATTTCTGTCCTGATGACTGGGGGATATACTGAATACTAAGCTTTTGGTTATAACAGGGGCCTGAAACTTTTTCTTAAAAGGCTGATGGTGAATATTTCAGGCTTGCAAGCCATATGGCACTGCAAAGCAGCCATTGACAATACATTAGTAAGTGGCGTGTTCTAACTTTTTTTTTTTTTTTTTTACAAAAACAGGCTGCCCATAGGCCATAGTTTGCTGACCCCTGAGATACAAACAAAAACAACAACGGGCCAGGCGCGGTGGCTCACCCCTGTAATCCCAGCACTTTGGGAGGCCGAGGCAGTGGATCACTTGAGGTCAGGAGTTCGAGACCAGCATGGCCAACATGGTGAAACCTCGTCTCTACTAAAAATACAATAATTAGCTGGGCATAGTGGCAGCTACCTGTAATCCCAGTGACTCGGGAGGCTGAGGCAGGAGAATTGCTTGAACCCAGGAGGCGGAGGTTGCAGTGAGCCAAGATCGCACCATTGCACTCCAGCCTGGGTGACAGAGCGAGACTCCGTCTCAAAACAAACAAACAAACAAACAAACAAACAAAAACAATGAAACCATCTCAAGCTGGCTTTAACGATAAAGTGAATTGATTGATCCATGCAACTGTCTGGATTTGTGGTGTACTTCAGGCACAGTTGAATCAGGGTTCAAGCTTCTTAGCCCTGTCCTCCTCCATGTGTCAATTACATCCTAAAGCTGGCTTTGCTAATGCACACAGGGTGTCTGCTCCAGATTTAACAAACATACTATAAGGGGCATGAAAAAGGGCAGCTGTTCCAGCGCCAGTCCTAAGAGTCACTCTGATTGGACTGGCCTATCTCACTTGCCCATCCAGGAACCAATCATCAGGCCTAGAGGATGGAACACACTGATTGGCCTAGCCTGGGTCATGAGCTCTATGCCCATTGGCTTACCCTGGGGCCTGAGCTCTATCCTCACGGGAGGGGTGGAGTCAGTTTCCCTACAGCTGTGTGGCTCCTCAACAGGAATCAAGGTCTGGTGGGATGGAAAAGGGAGGTTATATGGGAGAAATGAAAACATATGTCCCCATGAAGACTTGTACGTGAATGTTCATAGCAGCATTATTCATAATAGCCCCAAACTGGAAATAATTCAAATGCCCATTGACCAGCAAACAGATAAGCAAAATGTGGAATGTCCATAAAATGGAATATTACTCAGCACTAAAAAGGAATAAAGCACTGATACATGCAACAACATAGATGAACATCAAAAACATGATGCTGCTGGGCTCAGTGGCTGACGCCTGTAATCCCAATACTTTGGGAGGCTGAGGCAGGAAGACTGCTTGAGCCTAGGAGTTTAAGACCAGCCTGGGCAAAATGGTGAAACCATGCCTCTACGAAAACCACAAAAATTAGCTGGGCATGGTAGGATGCATCTGTAGTCCGAGTTACTCAGGAGGCTGAGGTGAGAGGATCGTTGAGCCTGGGAGGTCGAGGCTGCAGTGAACCACGATCGTGCCACTGCACTCCAGCCTGGAAGACAGAGTGAGACCCTGTCTCTTAAAAAAAAAAAAAAAGAAAGAAAGAAAGAAAAAAGAACAAGAAAAAAAATCATTATGCTGAGTGAATGAAGCTAGACGTGAAGACTACATGTTATATGTCTCCATTTACTTCCTTTTTAGAAAAGGTAAAACTATAGAGACAAAGCAGATCAGTGGTTGCCTGGGGCCAGGGGTGGGAGTGGGGACCAACTACAAATGGACAGAGGGAGCTTTTGAATTGTGGTGTTGGCTGCACATTGCATAAATTTATTAAAACTCATCAAAGAGAATGCTTAAAATAGTTGGATTTTATGGCGTGTAAACAGCCCTTCCATAAAGTTGCTTGTTTTGATTTTATCTGTTTTGTTTTTATCTGTTTTGTTTTGTTTTCTGTAGACAGGGTCTCACTCTGTCACCCAGGCTGGAGTGTAGTGGGGTGATCATAGCTCACTGTAGCTCTGAACTCCTGGGCTCAATCAGTCCTCTCACCTCAGCCTCCTGAGTAGCTGGGACTACAGGCACACGCCACCACGCCTGGCCAATTTTTTTCTTTTCTTTTTTCATTTTTAAGAGATGAGGGGGGTCTCACTATGTTGTCCAGGTTGGTCTCAAACTCTTAGGCTCAAGTGACTCTCCTGCCTCAGCCTCCTGAATAGCAGGGATTACAGATACAAGCCACTGTGCCCAGCAATACAGCTGTTTTTTAAAAAGGCTAGTGGAGATGCAGTGAGGGGATCCTGGGTGCAGCCACGAGGGTCAACTCCAGATAGTGCCACTCACTAGTCAGGGGACAGAGTGGCAAGAGAAGACCTATGGACAAATGCAGGAGTCAGTCCGGATGTGCTGAGCAACTACAAATGGACAGAGGGAACTTTTGAATTGCGGTGTTTGTTGTGCACTGCAAAAATTTATTAAAACTCATTAAAGAGAATGCTTAAAATAGGTGAATTTTATGGAGTGTAAACAGTACTCAAATAAAGCTGTTTGTTTGATTTTGTTTGTTTTGTTTTCTACAGATGGGGTCTGGCTCTGTCACCCAGGCTGGAGTGCAGTGGGGTGATAACAGCTCACGGCAGCTTTGAACTCCTGGGCTCAATCAGGACATTGGGAATGCGGTCCAGGAGAACCCCAGGGAAAGGCCAGGGGTGGAGCTGCAGGTATGGGGACTGTGGGTGTTCAGAGGGACACCAGTGGAGTTGACAAGTCCCCCAGAGAGAATGTGGCCTGAGGCGGGAGGCCGGCCGGCACAGAACTCTGTCCTTCCTACGGCCATCCCCACCTGACCCCTGCTGGCCTCCCGTTTTGTTCTCCACAGTTGTCAAGGGGCAGCTGGGGAAACAGCAGGCGCTCGAGGGAGCTGACCTGGATGCAAACCCACTTCTGCCCCTCATTTGCTGGGTGACCTTAGGTAAGACGCTCAACCTCTCTGACTCAGATGGACATGATGATGGCACAGCTGTGGACAGGAGCACACAGGACATTCTGTACAGAACTGGATCTATAGGAAGCCCCTGGCAGGTGTGGCCTCCTGCCCCTTGGGCCAAGCCAGTCATCAGAGCTGCTGCAACTTCTCACTGCCTTTGCCGGCTCCTCTTCCTCCGCTGGTCCCCTAAGTTCCTCAGAGTTCTGAATGGCAAAGTGGCGGACACAGGTTGGAGCCCCAGCTCTGTTCCAACTCTTGTGACCAGGGCAAGTCTCTCTCCAGCACCAGGCCTCAGCTTCCCCAGCTGTACGGCTCCTGGGCCCCCTGTGGCCTGCATGTGCTGAGTTTGTAACCAGGTGCTTACAAGAAATGCTTCTGCCCTTCATGGTGAAAAGAAAAAAGAGTCCTCAAAAAGATCAGCAGCAGAAAAAAGGCCCCAGGGCTGGGGAGACAGCAGAAGGGGCCTTCCCTCTCCTGCCTGGCCATGGAGAAGACGCACCTGGGCACTGAAGCCCAGCCCAGCCCAGATGCTGACTCAGCCACTTTTCAGGGACAGCTGAGGTCACCGTGTGACTCCTGCCAGAGCCGCCCCCTCTCAGTCATCCCAGCAGGACCTGCCGCAGGGCAGTGTGGGTTGGAGGGGGTCTTCCTCTCTCTGAGCCATGGCTGCCCTGTCTAAAACCCCTCCAGGAAAGCCGCTCTGCAGGCCCAGCTTTCTCCCCACCCTCTGCTCTGAGCTCGTCGGGTACCCCTGGCCACCCCTTCTCCCCATTTTCCATGGTTCTAGGCCACCTGAAGTCTCTGAGGCTGCCCCAGCATCTCCATGGGAGATGCCAAAAGGATGATTCACCAGAGTCAAGGAATCAAGGTCCAGAGGGGGCAGGTGCATTAGCAAGGCCACACAGTGGACGCAGGAGGAGGTGAGGGCAGCGCAGAACCTGGGCCTGCTGAGCAGCCACTCATTTCCGTAGCCCCCCTCTTGTGGATGTTATGACAGCAAGAGTCCCGTTCTTTATGTCTTTATAACTCAGACCAACATCTAGACTTTCAGTTCAGCAGACATGCTTCCCGTCACCCACACCTCCCTGCCTGAAGAGACCCCAGCTCTCACTCCCTGGCGACCCTTCCAGCCTCCTATCCTGCTCACTGGCACATCCAGCCTGGCCTCCCCCAAACTCTAGACATCTCCATGCAGCACTGCCTGCTGGGCCTGTCCACCTGGATGTCTACAAGGTATCAGACAATTTTCACCGCCTTCCCTTCCTCTCCTGAACCTGCTCCTCCTGTAGTTTTCCCCATCCCACTTGAGGGTAGCTCTAGTTTCTTTTTCTCGGGACAAAAACTTTCCCGTCTTCCTGGACTCCTCTCTCTCGCCCCACACTCAGTCCTCCAGGAAATCCTGCTTCTCTTCCCTTCAAAACATCTCTAGAATCCAGCCGGCCCTCCCCACCCCCACCTCTGCCACCGAGTCCCAGCCACGGTCACCTCTCCCCCAAATTAGAGGCCCCTTGGCCTCCCTGCCTGCACTCATGATCCCTTCAGTCCAGTCTCCACACTGCAGCCAGATAGTCCTGTTGAGACACAGTCTCTGCTCAAAGCCCTCAGTGGCTCCCATCTCACTGAGTGGAGGCTGAGACCTCACCCTGGCTTACAGGGCCCCACAAGGTCTGGTCCCCATGTGCGTCTCTGCCATCGCCCACTCTCACCATCATGCCCTCCTTCCCCAACTCTGGCCTCCCACCTCTTCTTCAGTTGCAGCTGCTCCACCCCAGGCCCTTTGCACTTGCTGTTTCCGCTGCCAGGACCACTCTTCCCTGGATCACCCGGGGTTCTCTCCCTCCCTCATTCCCCTGAGCTTCTGTAGCTGTCACCTCCTCAGAGAGGCCTTCCTGGACCCAGACCAGACACCCTGTCTCACCTGCCTGGGCTTCCTCGCACTTTGTCCTGGTCGTTTTGCCTCTTAGCACTCACACCACCCGGCCGGCAGCACATCACACCCACAGGTGGGTTTGGAGGAGCCCCCATTTCTAAAGCGAGCTCCAGGTGGGGAGACATTGTTTCTCTTCCCCACCAACACATCTGCAGCCCCCAGCACAGTGTCTGGGGCATAGTAATTGCTTAGGAAATATCCATCGAACAAATCAAAGACTGTGACCTTGCACCTGCCCTGCTGTCTGGTAGGGCAGTGGTCCCCAACCTTTTCGCCACCAGGAACCGGTTTCATGGAAAATAGTTTTTCCACAGATGAGGGGGGCTGGTTTCCGGATGATTCAAGCGCATTACATTTATTGTGCACTTTATGCTATTATTATTACATTGTAATATATAATGAAATAATTATACAACTCACCATAACGCAGAATCAGTTGGAGCCCTGAGCTTATTTTCCTGCAACTAGATGGTCCCATCTGGGGGTGATGGGCAACACTGACAGATCATCAGATATTAGATTCTCATAAGGAGAGCTCAGCCTAGATCCCTCACATGTGCAGTTCACAATAGGGTTCGAGCTCCTATGAGAATCGAATGCCGCCGCTGATCTAACAGGAGGTGGATCTAACAGGCCCGCCACTCACTTCCTGCTGTGCAGCCCAGTTCCTAACAGGCCACGGACCAGCACTGGTCATGGCCCAAGGGTTGGGGACCCCTCTTGTAGGGGGTCTGCCATTTATAAGTACGGATGACACCCCAGGTCTTGCCCTCCCAGAAAAGATGGCACAAAGATGGCAGTAATCCCAACAGAGTGGGAGCAGTGGGTGCCACTCCCTCCTCTGTGCCAGGCAGGGGGGCCCCCAACCACTCCTGGAGCAGCCTCTCTTACGATCCCCATTTCACAGAAGAGGAACTGGAAGTTGTGAGAGGTGAAGTCACTCGCCGGAGGGCAGGCGGCACACGCTGGAGTTGAGATTAAAGCTTAGATGTGTCTGGGCCCACAGATACCTCTGAACCAACAATGCAGCTGCCCCGGCGTGGCACCTGACTCCCTAGGCCTTTGGGATTCCAGAGTGAGGGGCTTGTGGTGCTGGCAGGGACAGCCCTCCTTCCCCCAATCACAAGCAGCCTCTGGGGCAGCAGAGGCCCACAGCCCACTGGGGAAGGAGTCAGGCAGTGAGGGACAGTCCCCTCCAGCATCTGCAAAAGGGAGACTGAGCCAAACTGGTCAGCAGTCCTCAGCACACATCACATCTCTGCCATCTGCTGTGAGAAGCACTTTGTGATCACCTACTGTGTGCAGAGGCCTGGGCTGATACTTTTTGGAACAAAGGAGGTCATGATAGGCCCCTTCCCCACCTGCTGCCCTGGTACAGAGGGCATGCCCTTGTCAGCCATTGTATCATCTGATTCACCCCAGGGAAATGACAGATGGACACTATCAGGCCCATTTCACAGTCCAGGGAAGTGAGGCATGCATTTTCATTAAGCACCTGCAAATTGAGATATTGAAGGAAGTTGAATTCTGAGTGTCAGCGGAGTCAGGATGGGGCAGGTGCTGGGGATGGAGAAGGGGCCTCCTCAGGGCCAGGTGGATGGATAAGGTCACAGGACCCCACTGCCCCACCCAGGAGGGACTGCTCTCACCCAGGCACTTGCTCCCGCCTCCCACAGCTGCTGGGCTACTCATCCGCTACCCTATATCCACAAGGAAACTGTCTCTAGCACACAAAGAGAAACTGATGCCGAAGGGCTGGGGGGCCTAAGGGCAAGCTGAGCTCGGGGGACGATCCAGGCTTGGCACCCGCCAGCCTTCTGGGTCCCTGTGCAGATCCCCGTCCTGTCCCCATGGCACCTCCTCTAGATACATGTCTGAGGGACACCAGAAGCCGCTTGAGACCCACAGGCTAAAAATGTGGGAACTGTGAGATGCTGGTGCACTCACCTGCTTGGGAGCCTGTGGGGATGAGGGGCCGGCATCAGCACAGCTGTGCCTGATGGGGCTGCTCCTTCAGGGCGGAAACACGGGGCAGGGGTTGGGAGTATATGGCAGTCAGGGGAGGACAGCCCATCCCCTGGGACGCGGCGATGCTGCTTTCCCGGAAATACCTTGGGGAATTTAGTTTCCCAATAAATAGCTATTATTTATTGATGTGATGACCACATACTTTATCATCCCAACAGGGATACTTATGAGCTTGAAAAGGAAGCTGTTAGTAATTACTCCAGAACTGCCCCGGGCAAATCATGACATGTGGGTACCTTATCTGTTGAACAACCAGGATGAATGCTGGGCACGTCATATCCATCGCCCTTTTTATCCTCACGATGACCCATGAAGTTGCTGCAGCAGCTCCGGCCTCCTTCCTGTTTCTCTGTCAAACCAGGCGCACTCCTGCCTCAGGGCCTTTGCACTTGCTGTTCCCTCTTCTCAGAGCCCCCTTTCCATTAATGGCTTGTCCCTTACTTCATTCAGGTCTGTGCTCAAATATCCCCTCCTCTTCAGGCTACGTTCCCTACACCTAAAATAGTACATCCATCTCACTTTTTTTTTTTTTTTTGGAGATGGAGTCTTGCTCTGTCACCCAGGTTGGAGTGCAGTGGCGTGATCTCGGCTCACTGCAAGCTCCGCCTCCCGGGTTCATGCCATTCTCCTGGCTCAGCCTCCCGAGTAGCTGGGACTACAGGCGCCTGCCACCACGCCTGGCTATTTTTTTCTATTTTTAGTAGAGACAGGGTCTCACCGTGTTAGCCAGGATGATCTCAATCTCCTGACCTCGGGATCCACCCGCCTCAGCCTCCCAAAGTGCTGGGATTACAGGTGTGAGCCATTGCACCCGGCTTTTTTTTTTTTTTTTTTTTTTTTTTTTTTTTTGAGATGGAGTCTTGTTCTGTCACGCCCAGGCTGGAGTGCAGTGGCTCAATCTTGGCTCACTACAACCTCCACCTCCTGGGTTCAAGTGATTCTCCTCCCTCAGTCTCCCAAGTAGCTGGGATTACAGGCGCACACCACCACACCCAGCTAATTTTTTTGTACTTTTAGTAGAGATGGGGCTTTACCATATTGGCCAGGCTGGTCTTGAACTCCTGACCTCAGGTGATCCACCCACATCGGCCTCCCAAAGTTCTGGGATTACAGGCATAAGCCACCACGCCTGGCCCCATATCACTCTTTATTCCTGATTTTTAAAATCATAATACTTTTCACTGCTTGATGTTATTTGTTTGTTTAGTGTCTGTTTCCCCTTCTAGAAAGTAAGCTCAGCCGGGAGCAGTGGGTCACACCTGTAATCCCAGCACTTTGGGAGGCCGAAGTGGGCGGATCACAAGGTCAGGAGTTCAAGACAAGCCTAGCCAACATGGTGAAACCTTGTCTCTACTAAAAATACAAAAATGAGCTGGCCATGGTGGCACACACCTGTAATCCCAACTACTCGGGAGGCTGAGGCGGGAGAATTGCTTGAACCTGGGAGGCGGAGGTTGCAGTGAGCCGAGATCGCGCCACTTTAGAACGAGATGGGCGACAAGAGAGAAACTCCATCTCAAAAAAGAAAAAAAAAAGAAAGTAAGCTCTGCTACAGCAAGGACTTTGCCTTTTTTGTTCACAGCTGGCACAGCACTCAAAAGGTGGCCATAGCTCAGAGTAAATGCTTACTAAATATTTGTTGGATAAATGAATGAAGAGTAATGACCTCTAGTCAGATGAAGAAACAGCATGGCAGGCATTGCTAATTGTCCCCCCATATCTCCTCCTTCCTTCTTCAGTAACTGAACTCCTGATTTTAGCTGGGCCTTTGGCCATCTAGAATAAAGTGTACATTTCCCTCCCTCCTGTGCAGATAGGTGTGGCCATGTGACTACGTTTTTGGTAGAAGGATATAAACAGAAGTCATAGGTGCAGTTTCTAAGAAAATCAGCTTAGAGGTCATACATGCAATATGGCTGGAATGTGGATAAGATGGGTGGAGCTGGAGCAGTCATCAGGAATCATGAGGTGAAGCTCCATTCTATGGAAGGCACAGTAACAACTCTTTATTGAAGAAGTCTAGGTTCTGAATGATCGTGGAGACACCAATTAGGCCCTGAACTGCCTACCCATCTCATATTTGGGAGATAAATAAATTTTCATCCTATCTAAGCTACTGCTGTTATTATTATTATTTAAGTGTCTTGTTCTGTCATCTAGGATGCAGTGGCACAATCATTGCTCACTGTGGCCTCAAACTTTTGGGCCCAAGTGATCCTCCTGCCTCAGCCTCCTGAGTAGTTGGGAGTACAGGTGCATGTCACCATGTTGGGCTAATTTTTAAAATTTTTTTGTGGAGACGGGGTCTTGCTATGTTGCCCAACCTGTAAGCCACATTATTTTGAGGTCTCCTGTCACTTGTAGCCAGAGTCCCACAGCTTTTCCATGAGAGTGCCAAAATTCATGCCCTGACCATCAAGCCTGTGTGAGCATGTTTCATTTTCCACAGCACCCCAGCACAGGGCTTGGCACATGGTGGGTGCTCAACAAATACTAGTTGAATGAATGGACAAACAAGCTTCTCTTGGCCTGGGTTGATGCTGGTGCTCAGTGGCCCATGATCTGGCCCCATCTGCCCCCTGACTCCTCTCTCTCTGCCCCTTCCACACACACTAAAGAATCCATCTTTCCTCCCTCTAAGCCCCAATAGCCTTGCTTCTAATCTGATCCTATTACCTGACTCTAGTCAAGTCCATAGACATAGGGGGTCAGCACTCTTCTGAATGACCCTCTGGCCCAGGCCCCAGCTGGGAGCTGGGGTTGCTGATGATGGACCATCCTCAGCCTTCCTTGAGGTTCTGCCCCCAGGAGATCTGGGAGCCCTGCACCACCACATCTCCCCAACCAGACAGAGCACTCTGAGGGCAGGGACAGTGCCCAGCACAGGGAGTAGCACAGGCAAAGCTTCAGGAAGGAGGAAAAGACTGGAAATGCCCACACCACACACTGGAGTGACAGACCTGTCAATGTTCTCTCAAATGTCCCCAGTGTGCTGCCCAAGTTTCCACCACCGAAGTCTCTGTCTTGGGCCGAGGTACTGAAGGCCCCTGTTACAAGAAACCCCTCCCCAGCCCTGTGACAACTCATTTTTGGCCACTGTGACTTCAGCATGGATTCACTTCATAAGAAACAGATTGAAAGGTCAGGGTATGCATGAGTTTTAAGAGGAGAGAGGTGATGGGAAAGAACTGGAGTAGAGGGGAAGAGTAGAAATTGGGGTCATAGAATTAAAAAAAAATGGGTCCTAAAACACTCAAGTGACAGAAGGAAAACAGAGAGAGGAAATCAAGGGGCTTGTATAAGATGTAGCATTCCAAGTCTTTGACAATCCAGATAAATCCCACCTACTTCTCCCAATATATCATCTACCAGCTCATCCCACACCACACACCAGGCACAACCTGTTTTTCCTGCCTGCACCACTTTGTGGGCTCTGTTCCCCCATCCACAATGCCATCTGCCAATCTCAGCTGGGCAACATCCGTCCCACTCTTTCAGGCCTGGCTGAAACCCACCGCTTCCAGGAGAGTGTCCCGGATGGTTCCTCTCTGGGCCTAGCATCTTGCTTAGGCTTCCAGTGCCTGTCCCAGAGGGCAGAGCTCCTGCTAACAGTGAGTAGGGCTATGTCACCCACATGGTCAGCACAATGGCTATGGCACAGTTCTTCACTGAACCCCCTGAGGCAGCCACAATAGTGCCAGAGCCACGGACAAGCATGGGGTACCCACAGCCGTCAGTCCTTGGACTCTGCCCATAGAGCCCTGGATCCCAGTGGTCTTGGTGAGGCCAGGGATTCGCATCAAGTCCCTCCAAGGGATTACAATTTATGCTAAATTTCAAGGCCCTCTGACAAGGCAGGTGAGAGGTCATTGTCTGCTGGAATGAAAAAAAATGTGAGGGTGGGCATGGTGGCTCACACCTGTAGTCCCAGCACTTTGGGAGGCCAAGGCAAGAGGATTGCTTGAGGCCAGGAGTTTGAGAACAGCCAGGGCAACATAGCAAGACCCTGTCTCTACAAAAATAAAAAAGTTAGCCTGGTGTGGTGGTAAGTGCCTGTAGTCCCAGCTACTTGGGAGGCTGAGGTGGGAGGATCACTTGAGCCTGAGAGGTCAAGGCGGCAGGGAGCCATGGTTATGCCACTGCACTCCAGCCTGGGTGACAGAGCAATACTCTGTCTCAGAAAAAAAAAAGTAATAGGATCAGGAGGAGGCAGCCCCTGATGTCCTGAAGAAAAGCCCTTACAGTGGGGCAGGTGGGTGGATTCTGCTCATTCATTCAACAAATACGTCCTGGGCACCCACTAACAGGTGACTATAGTAACAGCTGACATTGGCTGTACATTCGCCATAGGCAAGGCTTGAGGCTTATACCATCTGAGTCAATCTTCAAAACAAGCCTGGGATGCAGATGCCATCATTCTCCCATTTCACAGATGAAGAGCCTGAGAGAGAAGAGAAGTGACCTGCCCAAAGTCTCACAGCCTTGGCAGAAGCTGGAATTTGAACTTAGGCCAGCTGGCCCCAGAGCCAACGCTCTATCTGCCACAGTGTGTACCAGACCCTGGGATATGACCACAAACAAATGGCCCTGACCTTGGTTTGTCCACCAGCAGGAGAAGAGATACCAAACACAAAAACAACACATGCTTCAAATTATGGCACCTGTGAGGAAGGAAAAAAAGCGATTCCTCCAGAAGCCAATTGCAGGGGGCACCTCTCTGAAGATGGTCCCTTTGCCTCAGTTCTCTCGTCTATATAATGGAACAGTGGGGCCAGCTGATACCTGGGAACCTTCCAGCTGGGACATGTCAAGAATCCAGCCTTCCTTTCTCTAGGCCTCAGTTTCCCCATCTTGTATAATGGGCTGGAGGGAAAACAGAGGCAGTAGTGACTTTAGGTCCCTTCAAATTTAGTCCTGAGCTTCCCAAGCCCAAGTTCCTGAAGTGGGGTCTTTGGGAGTGCATCCTCCACCTGTTTCCATGGTGATGGCAAGGCCCAGGAGGGGTGTGGAGGTGCTGAGACATGGAAGTAGGGCCCTGGCTCCTCCCCTCCCAAAGAGCCTCTGGGTCCAGTGGACTCGATGTGCCTAGGGAAGGAGGGGGGACCCTTAGCTTTGCTGGCTCATCCAGAGTCCTGCTGCCTCCACACGGCCAAGATGAGGTGGAGGGTCTCATCCCACTGAATAGGACCTCACACCCAGGGCCCTAGGCCCAGCCGAGGCCCAGGTCCACTGGGAGCTGTCCAAGGTTCTGAAATCCCAACCAGGCTCCCAAGACCAGGTTCCCCTGGAAAACACTTCTAAGAGCAGCTGGAGGTTGGGGATTAAGAAAGGAAGATGAGTACCTGGGGACAGGTAGGGAGCCATGGTCGGCTGGGCTCTACACACCCCAGCAATGTGATCTCAGGCCAGCTCCTCTTTTGTGCCTCAGTTCCCTCAAATGTAAACTGGGGAGAATAAGGGCACTGACCTCACGGGTCTGTAGTGAAGACCAAGTGCAGATGAGGCATGTGGTAGATGGAGGGGCCCAGTAAGCATCAGCCATCACTGTTACATTGTGGACTTGTTATTATTTCGGGAGGCTGACTTTGCTTGGGTGCTTGCTGTGTGCCTGGTCTTCCAAGAATTTTACCTGCTTCTACTCCCAGCAGTCGGGTAAAGTAAGTACGAAAATGGGGATAAGAATACAGATGAATATTCTGAGACTCAGAGAGGTGAAGTTAACTGCTCAAGGTCACACAGCTAGTGAAGAGTCGGGAGCAGAGATTCAGACCAGGTTAGGTTTGAAATCACTGAATCTATCCCACCACACTCCCACTGTTCAGATGGGGGAAGTGAGGACCAGAGAGGGACCTGATTTACCACGAGTCACCCAGAAAACCCACAGTTCCACCTCCCGGCACAGACTTTTTCCTGATGGTCTATGCTAGGCTCCCCTGGCAAGGTGAACAGCACTCCCCTGCACCCCCATGGCCGGAACAGCAGGCAGGCAGCTCCCTCAGTAGTGATCCCACTGCTCTGCTGGAGGGTTCTCTGTCAAAGGCAGAAACATGAAGTAGCTCAGAGACAATGTGTGTCAGCTGTAGCCACGGGCCAGCAGCCACTCGGGGCCCACCAGTGCCCTTGCCAGCAGGCATCTGAGTACCGGGGAGAGGGTGGCACCAGAGCAGTGCTGCTGGGGCCTCTCCAGCTCTGGCCTGGTTTCCCAGCAAGGAGAAGGCCCAGACATGCACCCAAGCTGCTCCTGTCCCAAATTTCCTGCTGAGTGAAGTGTGTGCATGCATGCGTGCAGACACAGATATAGTTCAAATTCACCCAACGGGGGGTTGGGGGGGGGTACCTGGTAGCCTCAAAAATCCATTTTTTTTCCTTGAGGAGGTGCAGCTTTCACCTCCGGTGGGAATAGGGGCAAATGAGGCATTAAAAAGCGGTGGAACTAAGAAACCCAGCTTCCCATCCCAGCTCTGCTCCTTCCAAGTTGGGTGACCTTGAGCACATCATAAAGTTGGTATGATGTGGCACTGACTCTGTGAAACACGGTTCCTGGGCCCTGGTGTGGGGCATCAAGGGATCACAGTTTTGAGACATTAAAATTGGTCACTACCCAGAGGAGATGAGTGGCTTAAACTAGAATCCCAGGGACAAATTCTAGCTCCCAGGCTTGGGTCTTTCTTGGCCACCCTGGGTCCAAGCCACAGCTGTTCGTTGCCACGATGTCTGCAGCCGTCTCCTCAGACTCCCTGCCTTCCACATGCTGCTCCAATTCACTTTCACAGAGGCCAGAGGGGTCTTTGTAAAATGTGAGCCGGTGAGCTGCCGGCACTTCAGAGGCTTTCCAGGGCACTTAGGAAAAGGCCCAAACTGGGGCTGAGGGCCAGAAGGCCCCTCAGGGCTGAGCAGTCCCCGCTCCTCTCTAGCATCCTCTCCCTCTCCCCTCCCCCTCACTCAGTCCCTCAGGTGCCCTGCCCTCCTTGTTCTTTCCTGAACGTGCCAGCCTCTGTCCCACCTCCAAGCTCAGGCCCTTGCTGCTCCCACCACCAGCTCACCTCCTACCAGCATGGCTCCTTCTCATGCCTCAGGGCCTAGCACAAATGTCGCCTCTGCTGAGAGGCCTTCCCTGGCTACCCTGAAGTCTATAAGGTACCTCCCAGTACTGGACACTAGTTCTGGCTTTTGATTTCTGCTGCCCACTAGAGGGCCTCTCTGCCAGCAAAGGCCCCTCCATGGGCCTCAGTTTCCCCACCAGGACTATGCGGCAGAGGAGCCAGTCTCTGAGCCTTTCCAGTTGGCAGAGGTTACCTCCATCCCAGCCCTGCCCTGCATTGACCCATTTTTCTGAGGCTTCTCTGAGCTCAGACAGTTGCTCCCTGCGGGCCCCAATCCCATAAATCACAGCTGATTCCACTGAGCGGGGTGGCTGCTGGCGCCCAGGCATTCATCAGCATTGGTAGTACCGAGGCTGTCATGGGGCCTTGGTGGGAGCTGGGCCTGGCCTTCAAGGCTGGGAACCTACTGGGCTGAGGCCTCCAGCCCCAAACAGACTCCCCTTTCCCTGATAGGCCCTTACCCAGACACACTCACTGGCCTACCCTGTCTATCCAGCCCCCAACTCCATTCAGCCAACAAGCACTCCCGTTATCCCTTCTGGAGGCCGTGCCTTGGCTTCCAGGTTCTTGCAGTGGGATGAAGAGATAGGAGCCATCTTGTGCCCCACTTTGCCAAAGAGGAGTCTGAGGCACAGAGAGAAGGAGTGACTTGCCCAAGACCACACAGCAAATGTATGGAGGCCCCTGGCTCTAAAGTTCTGACCTTTGGCCCCTCGCTGGGGAGACCCCAGCCCAGAAAGAGGGTGGTGGGGGGCTATGTGCACAGCCTCCTACCTGGACTTCAGGGCTCCACTCCGGCCACCAGGGGTTCCTGGGAAATGAACCCTCTTGTCCCCGACACCCCGATCCAACAGCCTGCTGCTGTTCCCACTCTTCAATCTGCTCAAAGAAATGAGGAGAAAGTCGAATGAAGTGTGCCTGGGGAGCTGAGCCTGCTCTGCCAGCCTGCAGGAAGGCGGGAGGCTGTGGTGGTGCCCACTGAGTGCTGGGGACGGCGCCCCAGCAGCATTAGGAAAATGCTGGAGAGCGGAAGCTGGGACGACAGGCCCGCCCTTCCCCCGATGTCTGGGTGACTCTGGGAGAAGCTTGTTCTCCCATCTGTTCACCCACCCAATATTTGCCAAGCACCTACTGTGTGCACTAGAGCAGAGGGACTGAGGGGGTGGCAGCCCAGTGGGCCACCCAAGTGCAGATCTGGGAGATCAGACACCAACTCCTCCCCGCGGGAGCCGCGTGCCCTTCAGCAAGGCCTGTGGCCCCCTGCACGTCGTTCTTCATCTCTAAACCAGGAAGGATGGAAACCGCACCTCTCTCAAAGGGTTACTGCGGGAACAAAGGCTTTCGGAGGTGGTTGCATGGTGCCTGGCACACGGTGCATATCAGTGAGTGCCAGGCATCACCATCGTTGGTACATGCCAGGCACTTTGCTAGGGGCTGGGGTTGGGGCAGTCAACAAGACAGATGAGGACGCTGAGCTCTTGGCAAGGGGGTGAGACAAAACTGGCAAAACAATTGTAAGTCATGATAAGTGTCCCAAGGGCCTGGGACAGAGAAAACCAGGGGTCAAGACAAAGGTCACAGAAGGCTCCTCTGAAAAGTACACTCGGGTGGAGAGTCTTGATGGATAAGAACTGGGGAAGTGTTCTGGGCAGAAGAGATGGCCGGGCCGAGGTCCTGAGGTGGGGAGCAGCCTGGTAAAGGTTTAAGGACCTGAACAGAGAGCTGTGCAGACAGGGAGGATTGCACAGAGGAAGCAAGTGCCCTCTCTGGCCTCAGTTTCCCTCTTTGTGCAATGGGTGATAGAAATGCCTCCCAGCTCTCCTCAGAGCTACCGCCTGGAGCAGGCCCAGTTTGTTCCAGGAGGAGCATGGGGAGGGGTGGGAGGTGCTCAGGGAGACCAGGCCCAACTTGCTGGCATGTGACCTTGGCTGTGTCCCCTTCCCCTTTGGGGCTGACTCAAAGCTACGAGTGGTGCCTGACTCACTCCTCTGGTGACAGCTAATTATGCCTCCCCCTCCACCCGCTGGATCGCAGCACCTGCATCAAGCTCTTTGGCTCCCGACAGCCCCCCGAGGGACCAGGCTGAACTGGGGGACCCCTGGGGTCTCCGGAGGGATGCCAGAGGGAGGCCTAGTCTGGGCAGCAGTGTCTCCGCCTCTTCTCATGCACTCAGCCCTGCCGCCCAGGAACTCATGCCAGAGGGTGGGCAGGGGTGGGGACACAACTAATGCCGCTGATCTGATGTGGCCATTTCCCTGGTCACAAAGACCAGGGTGCAAGGAGGCCAGCAGAGACCCCCGACCTGGGCTGGGGGCACATAGGTGTCGGGGGCACTGGGGACAGACTGGCGATTGTGGCAAGCCCCTGGTGTTTCCTGCCTGAGCCGACCCACTCCCTGCCACATGTGCCACGGAGAGGGTGAGTCACTGGAGACCCGTGCACGGGTCTCTCCCGAGAAGCAGCCACGTGCGGGGAACCACAGCATGGGGCCGGGCAGCCTTGGCCCAGCCTGCAGTGTGGGTGCGGCATGGGCATCCCAAGGACATCCCCTTCCTCACCATCTCCACTTCCGGAACAGCCAGAAGTTCCCGAGAAACGGAGGGTGTGCAGGGGCTGTTGGGCAGCCAGGAGAAGGGAGGAGCTGATGTTGGGGATGTGGGGCCCCTCCTACCGCACTCATACTTGGGGCTCTGTTCCCAGAGGTGAGGGTATTGGGAACTTAGGCCTCCTTCTACCACAGAGGGGAAAACAAAAAACCCCCAAACCCCACAGGGTTGATTAGCATATTCATGTGGGCGGCAAGATCATGAATATGCTAATCAACACCCCTGGCTACTCCAGGCTCCTCTCCTTCCCCGCTCTGCGGCTGCCTTAGCCTCACTCCCCCAACCCAGCCTCCACTGCCTGTCCAGCATGCACCTCTTGCCGGAGGTCCAGAGCTCAGGCCCTCTGGGATCTTCCCTCCTCTGCCATTCCCACCTTAACGCCTCTGCCGGAGCTGTGCGTCCCCTCCATGAGCAAATGCCAGCACTGGCTCTGCCTCTCCACAGGAAACACAGCCTTCTCAGTCCCCCTCAAATGCCACACTGCTGGTCCTGCAGATGGCCCACTGGGAGTTTGTGCCCCGCATTCCCCTGCTCCACTCTGGCCTCCTCTAACTCCCTTACTCAGGGGGCAGAATAAGCACATCAAAACACACACTGGGTTGGGCGCCATGGCTCAGGCCTGCAGTCCCAGCGTTTTGGGAGGCCAAGGTGGGAGTTGGAGCAAAACTCAGTCTCTACAAAATTTTTTTAAAAAACATTAGCCAGGGGTGGTGGCTGTAGTCCTGGCTACTCAGGAGGCTGAGGTGGGAGGATCACTTGAGCCCAGGAGGTTGATGTTGCAGTGAGCGGAGATCGTGCCACTGCACTCCAGCCTGGGCTACAGACAGAGACCTTGCCTTAAACAAACAAAAAAAACAGGCCAGGTGCAGTGGCTCACGCCTGTAATCCCAGCACTTTGGGAGGCTGAGGCGGGTGGATCACCTGAGGTCAGGAGTTCGGGACCAGCCTGGCCAACATGGTGAAACCCCGTCTCTACTAAAAATACAAAAATTAGCCAGGCATGGTGGCACGCACCTTCAGTCCCAGCTACTTGGGAGGCTGAAGCACGAGAATGGCTTGAACCCAGGAGGCAGAGTTGCAGTGAGCTGAGATCGCACCACTGCACTCCAGCCTGGGCAACAGAGCAAGACTCCATCTCAAAAAAATGAATGCACACCAGATCATATTACCTTCTGCCTAAAACCCTCCGTGGCTCCCTACTGCTCTTGAGATAAAATCTGCAATGTCTCCCGAGAGAGCCGCTGAGTCCCCAGCCCCTCTCAGCCTCCTCCCTCTGGCTCTTGCTCCCTGGCTCACCAGTGTTCCCAGGCCTTCATGCTTGCTCTGCCCCACCTGCCTCGGTGCCTTTGCCATGCTGTTTCCTTGCCCAGAATGCCCTTCTCTCCCTCTTCACCTGGGTGGCTGTCACTCCTTCCTCAGGGTTTAGCTCAAATGGCACTTGCCCAGGGAGGACCTCCCAGCCCCGACTGCGTTGGGACCTTTCACTGTGTGGCACGGTTGCATTCATTTATTCATTTATTTATCTATTTTTTTGTTGTCATTTGTTGACTCCCCTACTGGACCGACGGCTCCCCAAGGACAGAGGCCAGTCGGCCCAGGGCCTTGCACACAGGCGGTGCTCAATACATGACTAAATGAATGACTGTTTTTTGTTTGTTTGTTTGTTTGTTTTGAGATGGAGTTTCACTCTTCTTGCCCAGGCTGGAGTGCAATGACACGATCTCAGCTCACTGCAACCTCCGCCTCCCGGGTTCAAGCAATTCTCCTGCATCAGCCTCCCGAGTAGCTGGGATTACAGGCATGCGCCACCACACCTGGCCAATTTTGTATTTTTTGTTTTTTTTTAGTAGAGACAGGGTTTCTCCATGTTGCTCAGGCTGGTCTTGAACTCCCGACCTCAGGTGATCTGCCCACCTTGGCCTCCCAAAGTGTTGGGATTACAGGCGTGAGCCAATGGGCCCGGCATGGTGTTTCTTACTACCATTCCAGTAGCCTCCAGATGGGCCCTCCTGCCTCCCCCCTTGCACTCGTGGGTGAGTCCCTGCCAGTGCCCAGCTCTCAGCAGACAGAGCTCCCCACACCATGTGTCCAGGGCGTCACACACAGCTTAAGAAGCTCCCCTCCCAACCCTGCAACCTTCCCAGCTTCCTGGGCAGCTGAGGACCATGAGGTTCAGGGGCACAGGCTACTTGCCCACACATGTGGACCACAGGACTGGGGCAGACCCAGGCCTTCCAGACTCCCCAATCCCACTCCTCCCTCCCCTCCCCTCTTGGGGCCTCGGCTTCCTCATCCTGGCACAGGCCAAGCCCCATTCCCTCTTGGCATAGTGGTGAGGCTAAAGGTAGGCAGGGATGGGGAGGCAAGGGCCTGTGGGTGCCCAGCAGGCTGACATCCATCAGGAGGGGTCACAGGCATACCACCAATCCCAGCACAGGTAGCAGGCAACAACCAGCCTAGGCCTTCTCCCACCAGAAGAGGCAGAAAGGGCACAATGCCATGGGCTGCAGAGGGACACAGAGGGGTGGGGAAGTCTGGGCTTGAAACATCCTGGGGGGGAAGCACCCGCTTCCCAGAGGAGGGGTTATTGTGACAACTGCATCCGCTGCAAATTTAACCCTCAGGATCCCAGAGTCAGGAGACCCCATGAGGAGCAGCCAGTGTCCCTGCCTCCTGTCTGTGCCTGAACCCACCCTCCAGAGCCCACAGCACAGGGCAGACCCAGCCCTCTCAGGCCCATCTCAGCTCAGCACTGAGTGGCTTAGGACTCCCTCTTTATCTGGACTCCCTTCCCGCCTTCCCCAGCTGCTTGGAATGCCCACTCATCCTTCACATCCCCAACCTGAAGCCTTCCCTGCACCTACCCAGCGGGCCTTGCCCCCTCCACCACCCCCACCACTTCCCTCCCATCCCCCTCCACAGCCTGCCGCTGGGCATAGCATGTCATTTCCATGAATTATTGAGCGAATGAGCAGTAACCCCTAAAACATCCTGTTGGTTCTGGCTTTGCCCTCAGGGCTGAAGTGAGCCTGACCTCCAGTATGTATGTAGATCACGCTGGGGCTGTATCTGGGCCTTGTCCCTTGGGCAAGTCACTTAACCTCTCTGAGACCCAGTTTCTGATGCGCAGAATGAGTTTGGTCATCCCCACCCACCATGGGGAAATGCGGCTGCAGCTGCTGCTGGGCCCCACCCACTCTCTCCCGACTCCCCCAGCTCCCTCCGCCTTCCTCCGCCGTATCTGCTTTTTATTTTAAGTCCAAAATGTATTTGCTGTAGGAGGAGGGAGAGGTGTGCGCACAGCAGAGAGGGGGCTGAGATGGGAGACTGGGTGCGGGCTGGGGGCCCCTCTGGGGTCTGCTGGGCTCCAGTGGCCCCAGGAAGGAGAAGGGGGCTGGCTGTCTCCACAGCAGGCGGGAGCAAAGCTGGACTGACGCCCACTCTGGTTGGATGCAAGGCCACAGTCAAGGGTGGGCACATCAAGGCAGCCAAGGAAACCAGAGGAGTGGGGAGCAGCTGATGGGGGCTGCCCTCTGGGCCCTCCAGTTTCCCAGTTTCCCTGCCCCTGGGACTGCTGGACCCCCATTGTCCCCTTAGTCCCACACACACCCACAGTTAGGAGAGTCACTCATCCACAAACACCTGCTGGTACTCATGCCAGCCATCATCCTAGGGAATGGAGATAAGATGTAAGCCAAACACACAGGGCTGCTGACTTGAAGTCCGGTGGGAAAGATGCAGATTAAACAAACAAATGTACAACATGTCAGGGTGTGATCACAGCCATAGGCATAACAGAGCAGGGAGAAGGGTGAGAGGAGGGCTCTTTGAGGAGGCGACATTTAACACAGGCGGGAAGCCCTGCAGGTGTCTGGGGGCAGAGTCTCAGGCAGAGGAAACAGCAAGCGCAAGGGTCCTAGGGAAGAACATGATTCTGATGGAGCTGCCAATATTGGTCAGGGGAGGAAATCAGGATGGGGCATCAACAGTTGTCTCCTAGGTGACCCTGGAGGCCAGAAACTTCAGCTCTGTGGCCTTTGTCTCGTCGTCAGCCAAATGGGCATGGAAAGATGTCGTAGGTGGTTACGAGGATGGAAATGGAGGAAGTTCGTGGTGGAGGTGCCCCGCAGCTCAGGGCAACACACTATAGGTGTTCCATGGGCATGGACTGGATTGGCAAACTCTCTAAAGGGAACTGTCCCTCTGGAGGCAGGGGAGGAGGGCCCTGGCCACAGGGTGGGAGCAGCGCTTAGAAACAGGAACCTGTCATCCTTCACTCGACAATATTCCTCTCTGATCTGATCTGCCAGGTCCTGCAGGCCCCTGAGTTTGCAACCCCTGGGAGTCAACAAGTCATTACAGGCAGGGAGACCAGGCCCCTAAGAGGGGATGCTTGGGCAGCTCTGGGAAACCAGGTCCCAAAGGAGGAGCTGGAGAAGGCTTCCCAGAGGGGGCAGCTCCACACCTGGGTCAAAAAGGATGTCCAGGTGGGCAAAAGATGAAGGGAGGCACGACGGATGGGGAAACAGCATGTGCAAAGGCAAAGACGGGTCAAACCTCCTGCACGTTCGGGAACAAGAGGGAGGAAGAAGGGGAGGAGAAGGCAGCAACATCTGCTATAAGAGCAGCTGATGTGTCCGGAGCAGCTGTGTCCGGAGCATCTACCACGTGCTAGGCTCAGACACACAGCCTCGCTTGATCCCCACAGTCTCGACAGTCACAATAACATGACCCCCATTTATTGAGTGTTCAGCCTGGGCCAGGGGTTGGATCATCTCTTTATTCCTCTTAACAGCCCTATGGAGGCAGGAACTCAGCACTCCCATTTTATAGATGAGCAAACAGAGGCTGCGGCCATTTAAGCATCTTGCTCAAGGTCCTGCAGCCAGTAAGCAGCAAAGATGAGACTGAAACCCAGGTGTGTCCCACCAGCTCCCTACCAACAGGTCCATTTACAAATCAATGTCATGCCATCTGTGCTGGGAAAATCTTCTGGTTGTATCACAGGCAGAGAACTGAGGCCTGGCGGTGGCTGTACCATGGTCTCAACGGCAGGGTCCCCTAGTCTCCCCATGGAAGGCTTCACAGCCCCCATCTCAAAAGCCTCCAGCTCTGTAAGAGGTGGGGTGAACGCTTGGCAAGGCTTCTTCCCACCCACCCCAGGGGCTCAGGTGCCAGCTCCAACCTGCAGCTTTAATTAAAAGGCCTTTTCAAACCATTAACAGCAATAATAATAAAATCCCAAATAGGAACAATAAAGCAGTATGACTGTCGGAGAATTAAAATGGGCACCTGGCGTTCTGCCACCCCCGGGGGGCAATCGGGCTCAGGCGGGAGGCATGATTTTCACCTCCAATAGACACGTCGGTCCCAGATACAGGCTGAGAGGCAGGACTGGGGGAAAGGGACCACCCTGTGCCGGCGACCCAGCTGCCCCTAGGCCACTGTGGAGATCCTCACAAAGAAAGCCTTAGCTGCCGTGTCTCCAGCAGCCCCAACTCCCAATCTCAGTAACCAGCATTCCTCACCTCCAGGGCTCAGCCAGACTGCCTTCCTTGCCCTTCACCTAGCCCAGTACAAAATCCAGCAGGCTCTGCCTCTAAAATTGGGTTGGCCCCTCGCCTTGACCTCCCCAGCCCCTGTCCCGATTCAGGCCACCTTCATCTCCCCTGAAAACAGCACCAGCCTCCTACGTGGGGTCTCCATGGCCACCTGGGCCCCTGCAAATTGCACTCCCTGCTGCACACACAGGGGGCTTTTCGAACCACAAGCCAAGCCCTGTCTCCGCTGCTATGCCCCTCAGACCTCAATGGTTCTCCTTTCCCCGGCCCTCAGGTCACACTCCTTCTCATCTGTTCCCTGAGTGAGCTTAGATTCTCTCACCTCGTGGCCTTTGCAGGATGCTGGTCAGACACCTCCCTGACCAGCTCGCCATCAGCCAGCAGAGCTCAGCCTCAGTAATACCCCCTGAAAAGTCTCTGATAACTCTCCCAGCCCCCAGAGGCCCTGCAGACCAACCCCCTAATTGTTGTTTTCCACACTGTAGCATTTTTGTCAATTTCTGGTCTGCCCACCCTCCACCTCTCATGTGAGAGCCCTGGGAGGCCAGGGGCTGGGTCTGGCTTGTTCACCGCTGTGCTTCTGGTGCCCAGCCCTGTGCCTGGCACACAGAGCTCAATCTGTGTTTGCTGAATGACGCAGCACACACGACATCCTTGCTGTCCACAGAGTCGCCACTCCCCAGATACCTGGTCACCCCTGTGGGTTGTGGGTCGCTGGGTGGGGACAGTGGCTTTCCAGCCTGCCTGGGTTTCTTGCTCCTAGTGCCTCTAAAGGCAGGTCCCATGAGTTTCCCAAGTTCTGCCTTAGCTCCATAATGGCAGGGAGTGGGGAAAATTATCTATGTTTTCACCCATTTGGGAAACACCTGTCAGTGCATCCTCAGTAACAGCCCGAAGCTGGGTACCCAAGATCCACACCCATGTGGACCCACCCTTGAAGGGCTTCGAGGCCAGCAGGGGCAGACCCAGCCAGGAAGACCTGGCCTACAGAATGCCGTGTGATGTGCAGGGCAGAAGGGCAGAGTGGTTCGCGGGGAGTCACACAGCAACCCACACATTTGAATCCTCACCCATGCTATGCAGCCTTGGGCAAGCCTCAGTTTCCTCACAGGACTGCTACAAGGAATCAAAGCCATCCACTGGATAAAGGAGGAAGCATAGCACAGCCATGACCACCCAGGGAGTCAGGGGAGGCTTCTGAGAGGAGGCGACATTGGAATCAAGCCTTGAAACATGCACGGGAATCCACCAGGCACACAGAGGCGCATCAGGCAGAGGGGAAGCGTGGGCAAAGGTAGAGTGGCTGGAACGGAGTGAGGTGCTCAGGGAGCTCAGGGGTTTTAGAAAAAAAAACCCTCTATTAACTTCTTAGTATGAAAAATGTCAAGCACACACCAATAGAAGGAGAAGAGCTGCATTTTCATGGTGCATTTGCAGCAGGATGAGTATGCTGCCCTGATGCCCTCTGAACCCTGTCCCCATCCTCTGTGACCCTCAAAGTGGGACCAGATGGCCTCGGAATCCACTGCAAGGCCAAGGTCTCTGAAGCCCCCACAACTTCTCAAACCAACCAGGCAGAACAAATGTTCAGTCGTTAAGAGCCGGAGGTAGCATCTCCCTTTTACTAGCTAGTAAAAAAAGAGAGAGAAAGAAGAAAAAATAAGTCTTTTTCCAGCCAGACTACATCCTGCATCTGAGAGGGTGAGAATTTGCTCTTGGAAGGAAAGAAAGAGCCTCCTGTCTGGAGCTTCCTCTTTGAAGCTCCATGAATATACATGGTGGCAGGCGAGAGTGTTCTTTGAGATGCTAACAAGCTGCCTTACCTTGGAAAATTGAGGTCATGGCTCAGAAGGGGCCTTGACTGGTGGGGGGCTGGGATGGGAGGGGAGGTGCTAGAGAGAATAGAGACCCAGGCAGGCCCAGCTCTGATCCTGGGCAACTCCTTTCCCCTCTGAGTCTCCACTTCCTCACCTGTGAAATGGGGGCACCTCCTCCTGGGGCTGCCGGGACAGATGATGCACAGTGAGGCACCCAAGATGGCACAGGCGGGCGGATCACTTGAGGTTAGGAGTTTGAGACCAGCCTGACCAACATGGCAAAACCCTGTCTCTACTAAAAATACAAAAATTAGCTGGGTGCAGTGGCGGGCGCCTGTAGTCCCAGCTACTAGGGAGGCTGAGGGAGAAGACCTGCTTGAACCCCAGAGGCAGAGGTTGCAGTGAACAGAGATCGTGCCACTGCACTCCAACCTGAGCAACAGAGTGAGACCCTGTCTCAAACAAAGAAACAAAAAAACAAAACAAAACAAAAAAAACAAAAAACGGAACGGGCGGGACAGGGAAAGTCTGCAGGTGTCAAAAGGAGAGGAAAGGAGGGGGGCCGTGGAGATCGGGCCATTTCTTGGTGAAGAGGATGAGGCTCAAAGGCTGGGAAGGACTCATTGGAAGGCTCTGAATCCCTTGCCCAGCCCAGCCTCCTGCCCCTACCCAGACCTCATCCTCTCCATCCCGTCCAGATGACTGGCCCAGCCTTCTCCTGGGCATCCCTTCTCCAGAGGAAGTCTCATGCCCATGAATCTGATCACATCACCTCCCAGCTCCAAGCTTTCCAAGGTCTCTGGCTTGACTCAGGGAAAACCCATGTCCTTCCTATGGCTAGACGCACCCCCTGTCCTTATTTCTCTGACTTCATCTCCCCCTACCCGCCCCCGACTCTTTTCCAGCCGCATCTGAACATGTCCGCCAGCACAACCTCCCCAGTTTGTTCCCTGCCTGGAACCCCCACCCGATCCCAGATCCTCAAAAGACTGGCTCCTTTGTAAGTGTTCAGGTCTCAGCTCAAATGTCACCTCCCCAGAGAGGCCCTCCCTGACCACCCCAGCAGACACCTGTCACCCTGCTGCTCTCCATCACAGCATTTATACTAGCAGCAATTATTTTACTTTTGTTGAGAGCTCTGTGAGGGCAGGGACCACATCTGTCTCCAGGGCACACAGTAGGTGCTCCATAAACATCTGTTAAACACCTGTGAGTGGGTAAGTGAAAAGAGGCCAAAGCTTCCATCTCTGCATCCATCTTTAGTGATGAGGGAGATTCTGCTGCCAGGGAACTCCCTTCTCTGGCCCCTCTCCCCAGAGACAGAGTGAGTCCAGGCTGAGGCTGGGTCGGCAGGGGGCCAGCAGCCCGGGTGACCCCTGCCTGGCTCCTAATGCTGCCCAGACTGCAGGTCTAATTGCTACAACTCCACAGCAAAGGGAGGTAATGAGGTGGATTAATGTTCCCATGTTGGTCCTGCTCCCTCCAAGGCCATCGGTGAGCTGGAGGAGGGGCAGCTGGGGATGCCGGAGATGGGCCTCCCGGTGGCTGGGCACCTGACCCCAAGTTGGCCCTCCCACCTGGCCTCTCACACTCTTCCCCTCGTTTTCTGACAGCATGGGTCCTCCCTGAAGGGCTGGGAGCAGACGCTCAATAGGCATCTTTGGAGTGTGGGCACTGGACAGGAGGACCCATTTATTTCTCACCACGTGGAAGTAGCCATCCCCACAGGTGAGAGAGGAAGCCAAGGCCCAGGGAAATGGGGTGGCCTCCCCCCACAGGCCCCCAGGGGGGATGAGCTGTCTCTCTCACATGGCCCACTTTGTGAGGGACAGCCCAGCCCTCTCTCCTCACCACTTGAATTGGAAGCAAGGGAATGGTGGATGATGATACTCATAATAGTAATAATAATAATAACAACAACAACAGTGACAATAGCTAACATTTACGGTCCACAAGGCACTGTGATAAAAACTCAAAATAAAAACTCAAAAGTCGGCCGGGCGTGGCGGCTCACGCCTGTAATCCCAGCACTTTGGGAGGCTGAGGTGGGCAGAATCACAAGGTCAAGAGATCGAGACCATCTTGACTAACACGGTGAAACCTCGTCTCTGCTAAAAATACAAAAAAGTAGCCGGGTGTGGTGGCGGGCGCCTATAGTCCCAGCTACTCGGGAGGCTGAGGCAGGAGAATTGCTTGAATCCGGGAGGCATAGGTTGCAGTGAGCCGAGATCACACCACTGCACTCCAGCCTGGGTGACAGAGGGGAAAGGAGTTGACTTTCCTCCATCTCAAAAAAAAAAAAAAAAAATCCCAAAAGTCACTGAAGCCTCAGCTACCCTATGAAGTAGGTCCCATAGAGGCACATTTTACAGATGAGGAAACTAAGGCACAGAGAACTGAAGGCACTGAGCTGAGGTCCCACGGAGAGTAAATAGGTCCACCTCTAGAAGCCATATAGTCCACCACCTCCCTCCATAATCTCCACTCAGAGTCCAACCTTGGCTCTAGCCTGGGGCATAGAGGGGCAGTAACCTAGCCCTTCTCCAGTCCTGCCGCCCCCACCACGATAGTTGGAGCCCCCACCAATATGGTCAGAACCTCCCCCACAAAACCCTCCTCTGGCCTGGCCCATCAGGCTCCTCACTCCTTCAAAGGCAGGCTCTGGAAGAACGAGACACACTGTGTTTTAATTGTCATTTTTTTCTTGTTACAAAAGCAATATATGTTCACTGTAGAAAACTGGAAGAAAACAGAACGGCATTAGGAAAATAAAATTATTCTCCCAGAGATGACTGCTTCTGATATTATGGTGTGTGTCTTTCAGTCTTTTTTTTTTTTTTTTGAGACAAGAGTCTTGCTCTGTCACCCAGGCTGGAGTGTGAGATCTTTGCTCACTGCAACCTCCACCTCCCCGGTTAAGTGATTCCTCTGCTTTGGCCTCCCAGGTAGCTGAGATTACAGGCATCTGCCACCATGCCTGGCTAATTTTTGTATTTTCAGTAGAGATGGGGTTTCACCATGTTGGCCAGGCTGGTCTTGAACTCCTAACCTTGTGATCCGCCTGACTTGGCCTACCAAAGTGCTGGGATTACAGGCGTGAGCCATCGCACCTGGCCTAATTTTTGTATTTTTAGTAGAGATGGGGTTTCACCATGTTGGCCAGGCTGGTCTCGAACTCCTGACCTCAAGTGATCCCCACACCTCGGCCTCCCAAAGTGCTGGGATTACAGGCATGAGCCACTGTGTCCGGCTCAGCCTTTTTATTTCCTATACATAATCAGGGATAGAGAGGAAGTGTCAGGACCAAAAGCTTGGTGGAGGCCACTTCTGACTCAGTTTTTTCCATCCACG
Organism: Homo sapiens; assembly: GCF_000001405.40. Classification (NCBI taxonomy): domain Eukaryota; kingdom Metazoa; phylum Chordata; class Mammalia; order Primates; family Hominidae; genus Homo; species Homo sapiens. The sequence goes on along the minus strand of NC_000020.11, from coordinate 36,329,515 downwards.
TCATCAAGACATCCCCCAGGGGCACAAGGTTTGCGCTGTGTCTGGCCCTAAGCTGAATATCTTGCACACATTACTTCAGTTAACCTCACTACAACCAGATGATATAAGTATTAAAATCCCAATTTTACAGATAAGCAAATGAAACTTCAGAAAGGTAGAGTAACTAGTCCCAGGTCACATAACTGGTGACCTGTGGTACATCCAGGTTCAAACTCATGACTGTTTGGCTCCAACAATCTGAACTGTTTTCTTAAAATTTCCTGGAGCTGAAATTGCCAGGCCAAACATAGATAAAATTCCAACCTTGGCCAGGTATGGTGACTCACGCATGTAATCCCAGGAATTTGGGAGACTGAGGTGGGTGGGTCACCTGAGGTCAGGCGTTCAAGACCGGCCTGCCCAACATGGTGAAGCCCCGTCTCTGCTAAAAATACAAAAATTAGGCCGGGCGCGATGGCTCACACCTGTAATCCCAGCACTTTGGGAGACCAAGTCAGGCAGATCACAAGGTCAGGAGTTCAAGACCAGCCTGGCCAATATGGTGACACCCCATCTCTACTAAAAATATATAAATTAGCTGGGTATGGTGGCGCATGCCTGTAGTCGCAGCTACTCAGGAGGCTGAGGCAGAAGAATTGCTTGAACCCAGGAGGTGGAGGTTGCAGTGAGCCAAGATCGCGCCACTGTATTCCATCTGGATAATAGAGAGAGACTCCGTCTTAAGAAAAAAAAAAAAAATTAGCTGGGTGTGCTGGCTCATGCCTGAGGCTGAGGCAGGAGAATCACTTGAACCCAGGAGGTGGAGGTTGCAGTGAGACGAAATCGCACCACTGCACTCCAGCCTGGGCGATAAGAGCAAAATTCCGTCTCAAAAAAACAAAAAAACAAACAATAAAACCCCCCAAACTTTGTGACAATCCTGTACCAACCTGCCCTACAAAAGCAGGGGATTCTGATTTATACCCCTCCTGATAGAGTCTGGGAAGATCAATTTCCCTGCATTCTTGTCTATGCTGGACTTTATTTAAAAAAAAAAAAAAACCTGCCAGTTTTGTATACAAATAAGATGAACCATTGCTGTTTATAATGGCATTTCTTTAATCTCATTGTGTATTTTTAGCTTCTAGGGTGACTCTGGGGCCCAACTTGTCAGGGTCTGATGTCCTCCCAGCTGGACGCCCTACTCAGCACAAAAGATGCCCAGGAGAAGCTGAGTGATCAAATTAAGGGGCACACCCAACCACCTGACACACTGGCCACTTTGCCAATGTGCACTTTAAATTTAGAATTTTTATTTTTTATTTTTTTTATTTTCTTGAGACAGAGTCTTGCTCTGTTGTCCGGGCTGGAATGCAGTGGTACCATCTCAGCTCACTGCAACCTCCACCTCCCAGGTTCAAGCAATTCTCCTGCCTCAGCCTCCTGAGTAGCTGGGATTACAGGCGTGTACCACCACACCCAGCTAATTTTTGTATTTTTAGTAGAGACGGAGTTTCACCACGTTGGCCAGGCTGGTCTCGAACCTCTGACCTCAAACAATCCACCTGCCTTGGCCTCCCAAAGTGCTGGGATTACAGGCGTGAGCCACTGTGCCTGGCAACCTTAGAATTTAACCAGATAATTCTTGCCGGGCGCGGTGGCTCACGCCTGTAATCCCAGCACTTTGGGAGGCCGAGGCGGGCGGATCACGAGGTCAGGAGATCGAGACCATCCCGGCTAAAACGGTGAAACCCCGTCTCTACTAAAAATACAAAAAATTAGCCGGGCGTAGTGGCGGGCGCCTGTAGTCCCAGCTACTTGGGAGGCTGAGGCAGGAGAATGGCGTGAACCCAGGAGGCGGAGCTTGCAGTGAGCCGAGATCCCGCCACTGCACTCCAGCCTGGGCGACAGAGCGAGACTCCGTCTCAAAAAAAAAAAAAAAAAAAGAATTTAACCAGATAATTCTTATCTGGAACAAAGGAATGTCCTGGAATGCAGGTATCCCTCGGCCTAGCAGATGGATAGAGAAACTGAGTCAAGAGTGGCCTTCACCAAGCTGTGGGCTCTGACACTTCCTCTCGTTTCCTGTGCTGCACTCTGCCAGGTGTAAAATTATAAATTATAAATCTTCACATTTCAGGAACTAAATGAACCCAAGGACAAAAAATATGAAGAAAACCTTATGGAGGTAAATCATAACCAAAGCATTCAAAACCAGTGGTAAAGAGTAAATCTTAGGTCAGGCATGGTGGCTCATGCCTGTAATCCCAGCACTTTGGGAGGCCGAGGTGGGTGAATCACTTGAGGTCAGGAGTTCAAGACCAGCCCGGCCAACATGGCAAAACCCCATCTCTACTAAAAATACAAACACTAGCCAGGTGTAATGGTGCACACTTGTAGTCCCAGCTACTCGGGAGGCTGAGGTAGGAGAATCACTTGAACCTGGGTAGCGGAGGCTGCAGTGAGCTGAGATCACACTACTGCACTCCAGCCTGGGTGACACAGTGAGACTGTCTCAAAAAAAAAAAAAAAAAAAAAAAGAGAAAATCTTAAAAGTAGCCAGAAAAGAAAGATATGTGTTACATACTGGTAACAAGGATACACATTACAGCATATTTCTTGTCAAAAACAATGCAAGTGAGAAGACAGTGGAACAACTTTAAAATACAGAAAAAAAAATCTGTTAACTTATAATTCCATGCCCAGCAAAAATAACTTAAAAAAATGAAGGCAAAATAAAGACTTTTTCAGACACATTAAAGCTGAAAGAATTCCTCACCAGCATACTCACACTATAAGGAATGTTAAAATCCTTCAGGCTGAAGGAAAATGATACCAGAGAGAAATATGAATCTATAAAAAGGAATGAAGAGCACTGAAAATAATAACTACATGGGTAAATATATAGGATTATTTTTCTTATTATTTAAATATCTCTAAAAGATAATGACCATCAAGACAAAAACAATAACAATGTAGTGTTGTGCTTATTACACATATAAAAGTCAAATACATAATAATAATACTACAAGATCGAAGAGATGGAAGTATGCTATTGTGATGTACTATACATGAACTGATATAATATCACTTGAAAGTACACTGCAATAAGTTTAAAGTGTAGATTGTAAGCCATACTGCAAGCACTAAAATAAAACAGTTATGGCTATAATTAACAAGAGATACAGTGGAATAACAAAAATGTGATTAATTCTAAAGGTAGCAGAAAAATAAGAAAAGAGAAACAAAGAATAGATAGGGCAAATAGAAAACAAATAGCAAGAGAAAAGATTTAAACCTGGGGTGAATCTGGGGCCCAACTTATTGGGTTTCCCCTGAGTACCGCTTTAACAGCATCCTGCAAATTTTGGTATGTTGACATATGCTGCCTACAAGAAATGCTCTTCAGATATAAAAACACGAACAGGTACAAAGTAAAAGGATGAAAAAATATAGACCATGTTAACACCAATTTTAAAATCTTGAGGGCTACATTAACATCAGAAAAAGTCTGTTTCAGGACAGGCACAGTGACTCATGCCTGTAATCCCAGCACTTTGGGAGGCCGAGCTGGGAGGATCACCTGAGGTCAGGAGTTCAAGACCAGTCTGGTCAACATAGTGAAACCCTGTCTCTACTAAAAATACAAAAATCAGCCAGGCATGGTGGTGCGTGCCTATAATCCCAGCTACTCAGGAGGCTGAGTCAAGAGAATCGCTTGAACCCGGGAGGTAGAGGTTTGCAGTGAGCCGAGATCGTGCCATTGTACTCCAGCCCAGGCAACAGAGCGAGACTCAGTCTCAAAAAAAAAAAAAAAGTATATTTTGTAATATTATAAAATCACTTCATAATGATAAACAGGTCAATGCAACAACAGGAATGATGATCCTAAATATGTATGTATTGAATAACAAAGCTTTAAAATACATAAAGCAAAAAGTGATAGGAATGTAAGGAGAAATAGGCAAATCTCCAATTATAGTCAGAGATGTCTATAGCTCTCTCTCAATAATTGGTAGAGCAAGTGAACAGAAAATAAATAAGGATACAGAAGATTTGAAAATTATCAACCAACTTGACCCGACATTTATAGAACACTCCATCCCCTAACAACAGAATACATACTCTTTTCATGGAACATTTACCAAGATGGACCAGATTCTGGGCCATTAAACAAGTCTCAATACATTTTAGAAGATTAAAGTTATGCAAAATATGTTATATAATCTCAGTGGAATTAAACTAAAAACAATTAACAGAAAGATCCCTGAAAAATCCTCAAATATTTGGAAATTAGATAACACATTTCTAAAAAACCCATGGGTCAAAGAGGGAAGCAAAAGGGAAACTAGAAAGTACTATGAACTGAATAAAAATGAAAATATAATATATCAAAATGTGTGGGGTGCTGCTAAAGCAGTACTTAGAGGAAACTTTATAGCACTAAATGCCTATATTCATGAAGACAAAAGCTTTAAGATTAATGACCTCTGCTTTTACCTTAAAAAAAACAAAACTAGAAAAAGAAAAACAAATTAACCCTGAACTAAGTGGGAGAAAGAAAATAGCATCAGAACAGCAAATCAATAAAAGAGAAAACAAACAATAAGAAAAAATCAGTGACACCAAAAGCTGTCCTTCAAAAAGATCAATACCATTGAAAAATATGTACCCAGTCTGATCAAAAATTAAAAATGAGAAAGAAAGATCAGACACATATTACAAATATCAGGAATGAAACAGGTCACATCACTACAGAGTCTACAGATATTAAAAGATAATAAGTTTCGAAACTTATTACAAAGCTACAATAATCAAGTCAATGTGGAACTGTCATAAGGATAGATCAATGGAACAGAACTGAGGATCTACAAACAACTACAACAACAAATCTCACATTTATGGTTAATTGATTTTCGAAAGGGGTGCCAAGACCATTCAATGGAGAAAGAACAGTCCTTTCAACAAATGGTGCCAGCACAACTTATTGTTCACATGCAAAATAATTAAATTTGACCCCTACCTCACACCAGGCACAAAAAAATAACTCAAAATGGATCAAAGACCTAAATGTAAGAGCTAGAACTATAGAGCTCTTTTTGTTTTTCTTTTGACAGAGTCTCACTCTGTTCCCCAGGCTGGAGTACAGTGGTGCAATCTCGGCTCACTGAAACCTCTGCCTCCCGGGTTCAAGTGATTCTCCTGCCTCTGCCTCCCTAGTAGCTGGGACTACAGGTGCCCGCCACCACACCCAGCTAATTTTTGTATTTTTAGTAGAGGTGAGGTTTTACCATGTTGGCCAGGCTGGTTTCAAACTCCTGACCTCAAATGATCCTCCCATCTCAGCCTCCCAAAGTACTGGGATCACAGGTATGAGCCACCGTGCCCAGCTGAACTATAAAGCTCTTAGAAGAAAACACAGGCATAAATATTCATGCCCTTGAATTAGGCAACTGTTTCTTAGATATGACACCAAAAGAAAATACACCCAAAGAAAAAAAATAGATGAATTGGACTTCATCAAAGTTTAAAACTTTTGTGCTATAAAGCATGGGTCCCCAATTCCTGGGCCATGGACCTGTACCAGTCTGTGGCCTGTTAGGAACTGGGCTGCAGAGCAGGAGGTGAGCAGCAGGCAAGCCAGCTTTACCGCCTGAGCTCCTCCTCCTGTCAGATCAGCGGTGGCATTAGATTCTCACAGGAGTACGAATCCTACTGTGAACTACGCATGCGGGGGATCTAGGTTACATGCCCCTTATGGGAATCTAACTAATGCCTGATGATCTGAGGTGAAACAGTTTCATCCCAAAACTTGTCTTCCATGAAACCAGTCCCTGGTGCCAAAAAGGTTGGGGATCCCTGCTGTAAGGCACTATCAAAAAAGTGAAGAGACAACCCACAGAATAAATAAACTCCACTCGGTATATAACCAACAGAAATAACCGCAAAAGTTTCCCAAAAGACTTCTATGAGAAAGCTCAAAGCAGCACTATCCATATAGTCAAAAACTAGAAATATTCCAAAAGTCTATCAACAATAGAATGGATAACGTATGACATATTCGCTAAGTGGAATACTAGGCAGCAATATAAAAGAAAACTTACCAATACACACAACAGCCATGATGAATCTCATTGACAAAGTGAGGAGCAAAAGAAGTTAGCACAAAAGAGACAATCTGCATGATGTTGTTTATGTGAAGGTGTGAAAAAGACAAAACAAAGCTATGGCTTTAGGAGTCAGAATATTGGTTGCCCCTGGGGAAGGGAGGTGGGGAATTAATTGGAAAAGGCAAGACAGAGCCTTTTGGTATAGCTGGAGATATCCTATATCTTTTTTTTTTTTTTTTTTTTTTTTTTTTGAGATAGGGTCTCTGTGTCACTCCAGGCTGAGTGCAGTGGTGAGAACATGGCTCACTGCAGCCTCAACCTCCCAGGCTCAAGCGATCCTCCCACCTCAGCCTCCTCCTGAGTAGCTGGGACCACAGGCACACACCACCATGCCCAGCTAGTGTTTGTATCTTTTGTAGAGATGGGGTTTCACCATGTTGCCCAGGCTGGTCTCGAACTCCTGGGCTCAAGCAATCCACCCTCCTCAACCTCCCAAAGTGTTGGGATTACAGGCGTGAGCCACTGCACCTGGCCTGGAAATATCCTGCATCTTGACCTTAGTGGTAGTTACAAGGGTGAGATATACACATATATCAAGCTATACTATCTGCTTAAGATTAGTACACTCTACAACACGTGCTATACTACAACTCAGAAATTTCAAATAGAATAATACTCGGTAGTCACTGACTCAGGAGGATGGCCAGCATCAAGGGAAGAAGTAGCTGCAGATGAGCAGGACTAATGTGACCCTATTGCAAAGTCATCTGCACAGATGCCCTCCATCTACAGATGACTGTGACATTATATGAGCTACCATTTATAAGCACTTGCTGTGTGCCACGTGCTGTCCTACGCACTTTATTACCTCACTTCATCCTCACAACAGTCTTATGAGGCAGGGACCATCACTGCCCCTACTTTACAGATGAGGGGACTGAGGCACAGAGAAGTTAGGTAACTTGCTGAAGTCAAGCCCCTAATAAGCAGCAGAGCTGGATTTGCATCTAGACCTTCTGGCGCCACAACCCACGCTCTTATGTAAATCCCCAAACCCTGACCACAGTGCAGAAGGCCCCATACCGTCTGGCCCCCGCCATCCTCTAGTGCTTCACCTGTCCTCCCTCCACATCCCAACACTCCAGCCTCACCATCTTCCTTCCTCTTCCCTGAAAACCCCACCTTCCTCACACCCCGGGGTTTGCACATTTGCAGTTCCCTCTGCTGGAATGTTTTCTTCTGCTCCTCTTTGCTGGGGCAACTTCTCCTCATCCCTTAGGTCTCAGTTCAAGTGTCACCTCCTCCAGGAAGCCTTTGTGACTCCAGTCAGGGCCCATGTTCCTGTGACCCTCCTCCGTGGGCCTCATCACTGTTTTACCTGCTTTTTGAGTTCCCTAAGGGCCAGGAGAGTCCCTTTCACTCAGAGCCATGTCCCCTCTGCCCACCACAGGGTCTGGCATCAAGTGGGCACTCAACAAATATTTGTTGAATGAATGAATGAATCTATCTGCCACAGCAGACAGACTTGGAGAAACCTCTGGAAGGTCGGCATCAAAATGTGGTCACCACTGCAGGTAGATCGAGGGGGATCTGTATATTTGTCTCTATACTTTGGGTTTTATCTGCTGCATATTGTTCTGGTGGGCAGGTACCATTTCCAAGCCCTCAGCATTTCCCACCCTGGGACCCCCACCTTTCCCCCTCCTCGCTCCCTCCCCATGCTCGTTCTCCCAACTCTGCCTACAGCCCCAGTGGGTGGCATATTAATAAGTAGGAGTGAGAAGGTCACCCAGCTCACAAGCACTGAGCCCTCCTAGACTCGGGCGCAGATGAAACGCGCTGAGGCGGGCGAGCGCCTCACCAGGCGCTGAGCACGTGTGAGCTATTTCTGATTCCCACCAGGCTGGGCAGAGCACATCCGAGGTGGAAGCCGGGGCCAGCCTGGCGAGTGGCTGTGGAACCAATGACCAGCTGCCCCAGCTATGCTCACATCAGACCTGGCCACTGCCTTGCTGGAAACTCCCCCGCAGCCCTCCAGGGCCCATGGGGCAGCCGAGGCCCTCAGCCTGGCACTTGAGGCTCTGAAAGACCCCATCCCTGCCCGTCTTCTTGCTCCCTATTCTCCCATGTGCAGCCAGGTCTTCCCTCAACCCCAGCCCTTTGCACGTGCTGTTCCCTCTGCCAGGAATGCCTGTTTCGTCTCCAGGTGTGGGCTCACTCTCACTTAACCAACGGGTGTCAGCTTGGACCACTCCCTCCTCCGAGAAGCCTTCCCTGACCATCACCCCAGCATGGGTGCCCTTGCCCTAGGGCTTCCTGCTGCCATGCGGGTACCTGCTGTTGTCTTTGTGGTCTATGATCCCGCTCCTAGACTGTGATGTGGCTCCTTTGAGGGCCTTCATCTCCAGGTCCTACATCCAGCAAGGACCTGGCCCGCAGCAGGCTCAAATCCTCGTTTGCTGACTGACTACACAGGGGACAAAGTGCTGAGTCCTGGAAGGGGTACAGGAGGGTTCGGGGATTCAGAGGAAGCTGGGGGCAGACAGGGAGCCAAGGACTGATTTGGCTGTGACTTGGAGGTAAAGAGTTAGAGAGATGTGGCCTTAGGCGGCAGAGAGGGTGCAGAGGGAGACCCGTCCAAAGTCGGTAGAGGGCCAGGCCTCTGTCTCATCAGTGTCCCCCTCACCCAGTCAGCAGCCCCCAGAGGTCCCAGGCAGGTGGGCAAAGGGCTCAGGGGGGCCCAGACTCCAGGTACCAGGTGTGGCTGCTCACAGGCCCTGCCTCCCCCAGCCCTGACAAGTACAGTGGATGCAGAATCTGTCTGGAACACAGCATTTCGTCTAAATATATCTGCTTTCCAATGCAGGGCATGCAGCAAGGGAGTGGGGGGCATGACGCAGGCCTGCAGCGTGGGGAGAACCAGAGCCCCCACTCACAGCCCCACAGCCCCACTGCCACCTGCCCTGGCAGAGGGAGTCCACCAGGGCAAGGGTCAGTGTGGGCCTGGCTGGGCCCCTCCAAGCATGGTTCCCATTGCCTGAGCTCCCACCCCAAAGCTGCCACCTTGAATGTCGGCCAGGCACAAACCAGGACAGCAGAGGAGGGAGGGGACACGGGGTGGGGCTGGGGAAGGGGGACACAGAGGAGGGCTTAGAGGAGGGGATAAAGGGAGGCCTGGGAGAGGGAGACACAGAGGGGGGCCTGGAGGAGGGGGACACAGAGGGAGGCCCGGGGGAGAGGGGCACAGAGGGGGGCCTGGGAGAGAAAGACACAGAGGGGGGCCTGGGAGAGGAAGACACAGAGGGGGGCCTAGGGGAATGCGACACAGAGGGAGGCCTGGAGGAGGCGGACACAGAGGGAGGCCTGGAGGAGAGGGACACAGAGGGAGGCCTGGGAGAGGGGGACACAGAGGGAGGCCTGGAGGAGAGGGACACAGAGGGAGGCCCGGGGGAGTGGGACGCAGAGGGAGGCCCGGGGGAGGGGGCCTTGAATCCAAGTTCTTCAGATTCCAGACTCTCCCCGCTACCTTGCTGTGACAGAGGCACAGAGAAGGAGGCAACTCCAACAGGGTCACACAGAGGCCTGGGGTGGTGAGGGGAGGAGGGCCCAAGCACCTGCCTCCCAGGCCTCCTAGGTGCCCTGGGGGCCCCTAGAATTCTCTTTAGCTCCTTGAAGTTCTCCCAAGAATCCCTAAGGAGTTGGGCAGCAAGAAAGGCACTGGACTGTGAGTCACGAGGCTGTGATCCAGTCCCCGCTCCACCCCTGAGGTCTTTGGACCAGTCATCTGTGGCCCCGGTTTCCCACCTCTGTGAGATGGGGACAAGCACTGTGCCCTCTGTGCAGGGCTCTGCCCATAGTGCTCACCCTTGGCCCACTTTCCCAGGCTGGCCCTTCTGTGAGCTGCCCTGGGCTAGGCTAGGGAGGGAGTGCCAGAAGGTTCCGGGGGGTGTGCGGGTGTCAGGAGAGAGCACAGTAACACCAGCTGCCTTATTTTGGGGACTTGCTGTATGCCAGGCTCTGTCCTCAGTCCTTGAACACACAGGACCTCAATTCACCCTCAAACCAAGCCTCTGAGACAGGCAATGACACTGTTATCTCTCTGAGGACAGCGGGGGAAACTGAGGCTGAGAGAGGTTTCTGTGACCTGCTCAAAATCACATAGCCAGTGAGCAGAGTGGGGACTCAAACTTGGGCCACCCCTCAAAATCAGCAGCTCCCTCCCTCCGGGCCTGAGACAGATGCCCACCTTTCCAATCAGTTTTTCTTTTTTTTTTTTTCTTTTTTTGAGATGGAGTCTCGCTCTGTTGCCAGGCTGGAGTGCAGTGGCACAATCTCAACTTGCTGCAACCTCCACCTCCCAGGTTCAAGCGATTCTCCTGCCTCAGCCTCCTGAGTAGCCAGGACTACAGGCGTGCACCACCATGCCAGCTAATTTTTGTATTTTTAGTAGAGACAGGGTTTCACCTCGTTGGTCAGGATGGTCTCCATCTCTTGACCTCATGATCCTCCCGCCTTGGCCTCCCAAAGTGCTAAGATTACAGGCGTGAGCCACCGCGCCTGCCTTCAGTTTTGCTCTTGTAATGAAAAACAAAATCAGAAAAAACCTGCTCATTAGAACAGCTAGTCATCAACAATCACTGCTATGAACACCTCATTTCCAGACAGGCATGAAGACCCCACCCAGCCAGAGCCTCCCTGCCCTCGTCTGTCTCACCCAAGGCAGGAGGGTGCAGTGGTTAAGATCCTGGGCCAGGGCTGGGTGCAGTGGTCCACACCTGTAATCCCAGCACTTTGAGAGGTTGAGGTGGGAGGATCACTTGAAGCCAGGAGTTCAAGACCAGCCTGGGCAGCAAAGCGAGATCCTATCTTTACAAAAAATTTAAAAAATTAGCCAGGTCCAGTGGTGCACCCCTGTAGTCCCAGCTACTCGGGAGGCTGAGTGGGGAGGAACACTTGTGCCCAGGAGTGGGAGGCTGCAGTGAGCCATGACTGCACCACTGCATTTCAGCCTGGGAGACAGGGAGACAATCCTGGGTCCACCAGCTGCCGGATGGGTGACCTCAGGAGTGTCACTCTTCCTCTCTATGCCTTGCCTCCGCTCCTGTGAGGACAGTGGCCCCTTCTGCTTAGAGCCCCAGGGCATGTTGGAGAGACAGCTGGTGTCAGGCTGTGACCCAGGACCTACCCAGAAACAGCCCTTATCACTCTGCCTAACCTGATCATCATGAGGGTAAACTGGATGCCCTCAAAGTCACTCCTGGAGTAGACTGTGTGTGTGTGTGTGTGTGTGTGTGTGTGTGTGTGTGTGTGTGTGTGTGTGAGAGGACACATTTATTACTGCTTTAAGCTGCTAAATGTTGGGGTAATTTGTTCCACAGTAATAAGTAGTGAGTATAGAAGATGAGCCTTGATTCAGGGTAGAATAGAGGCTGGAGAGAACCAGGGCCGGCTTCAGAGGCTGTGCTGGGCCATGCTCCCAGGCTGGGCACACCCAGGGCTCTTTTCTTTAGTGGCCCTGATCTGTCCAGAAGACCATCCCTGCCAACCTCAGCCAGCCCTGTGTGGCTGCTCTTTATGACTGTGCTGGACTCAAGAATGGATCTGACTCAGCTATGTGCAGCACCCAGCTAGAGATGCTCACCTGTCAGTTTTCAGAAAATTCTCACAAGAGTGCTGGGCTCGGTGGCTCACGCCCACAAAACCAGCAACTGGGGAGGCTGGAGAGAAGGATTGCTTGAGGCCAAGAGTTCAAGACCAGCCTGGGCAACATAGCAAGACCCCATCTCTAAATTTTTTTTTTTTTTAATTAGCTGGGCATGGTGATGTGCAACTGTAATCCTGGCTACTCCAGAGGCTGAGGCAGGAAGATTGTTCGATCCCAGAAGTTCAAGGCTGCAGTGAGCTATGATCATGTCACTGTACTCCGGCCTGGGCAACAGAGCTCTGACAAAAAAAAAAAAAAAGAAAGAGAAGGAAAAGAAAGGAGAAAAGAAAGAAGAAAAGAAAAGAAAGAAGGAAGGAAGAAGAGAGAAAGAAAGAGACGAGAGGAAAGAAAGAATGAAAGAAAGAAAGAGAGAAGGAAAGAAAGAGAGAAAGAGGAAGGAAGGAAGGAAGGAAGGAAGAAAGAAAGATAAGAAAGAAAGAAAGATAAGAAAGAAAGAAAGAAAGAAAGAAAGAAAGAAAGAAAGAAAGAAAGAAAGAAAAAAGGAGAGGAAGGAAGGAAGGAGGGAAGGAAGGAAGGAAAAGAAAGGAAGGAAGGAGAGAAAGGAAGAAAATTTTCATAGTAGCTTCCTTGGAGGTTAACATTATTATCCCTAGTGCCTAGAATAGTCTCTGGCACATAACAGATATTCATATTAGTGTAGACTAGGCTACAGTAATAAATAGACTCTAAAATTTCAGAGGCTTAAAGAACAAGAAGTTTATTCCTATCCTGGAGAAAGATTTTCAAACAGCTGAGCTTCTCCCAGTTTGAAAAGCCAGTCCTGGTAGGTGTGCAAGCCAAACAGGCAGCCGGTCAACCAGCTCCCTGTTTGCCCAGCCTCAGTTACCCCCTTAGTGCCAGATCCAGGTGAGGAGGTGGCCCCCAGAGAAGAGGCTGGGGAGGAGAGGAGTGACGGGCTGCAATGGGACGGGCTGGCCTGGGCTGCTGTCCAAGGCACCCCTGGGTGACCCAGCTTCTCTGTGAGGGGGTGCTTGGGAGCACTGCTGAAGGGGACGGGCTGGTGAGCTGGGCTGCCTTTCCACCCCCACCTGTTCTCAGGCCCTTCCTGGACTACCAGGCTCAACAATGCTCAGGTAACACTCACAAGCTGTGCCCCTGCTGTGTGCCAGGCCCCAGCCTCTGCCCGGTGGGAGACCCTTACAGTCTAGTCCGCTGTGGGGGTAGGGTGACCCATGTGGTTGGGAAAGGCAGGGTTCCTGGAAAGGGGAGGTCTGAGCTGAGCCATAAGTAACAAATCAGAGTTACCAAGCAAAGACTGTGGGGAAGGATTTCCAGGGAAAGGGAACAGTAAACGCAAAGGCAGGAAAGCCAGAGGACATGGAAGGTTCTGGGCATGCCCAGTCATTCAGGTGAGCTGCGGGTGGGGTGTGATGGGGGCAAAGCAGGAGGGGGCTGTGGAAGGTGCACAGAGGCAGGTGACAGGGGCAGCAATGGCCTCATTCAGGGCTCTGGGCCATGAGCAGCTGGATGTGGTTACTTAACCTGCGTGGAGGACGCACCAGCAGGAAATCAGGTAGGAGGCGGGGATGGTCACCTTGGCCAGAGGCCATGAAGGCTGTTGCCAAAAGATGCTTGAGAAGGGGAGGTCAATGGGGAAGGAGCCCACCTTCCGCTTTGTGATTGATCCCCCAGACGCATCTCAAGGGCTCAGGATGAGAGGCTGCCTTCCCGCTGGCCTCCAGGACCAGCCTTGTCATTATCAAACCCAGTCTTGCAAATGGTTCCTGAAAGCCACAGGGCTGGTGGGCCACACCACCCCCTCCCAGGCTGCCCACTGCCTTTGTCTCTGCCCGGCCAGTGTCAGCAGAGTGAGGCCACAGACTGAGATGGCAGGGGTCAGTCAGCTCTGGCCTTAGCCTCAGCAGTGGGCAGGCAGCCAACACCCCATGCCAGTGCCGGGAAGGCTTGGGGAGTGGTCGGCCAGGAGAGCATTGTAGGTCTGCCCTGCTCTGGAACCTTCTGTGGCTGCCTAGTTTCTTTCAGTGGGATGCACCCACACAAGAGGAGGCTGAGAGGCTGGGAAGGGGAGGCCCAGCCCCACTCTTACTTGCTGCAGGGCCTCAGGAATGTTGCTCAAATGTCCTGAGTTGGACTCAGTGATGGCCACTGGCTTTGCTAGCTGCGGCCAGGGCAGACCATCCAGCAACCCCAGGGACCCAACCATGGCCACCCAAGTTTCCAGTCCTGCCTAGGCAGGCTGCTTCATGGCTCCAAGCCTCAGTTTCCTCCTGTCACCAGTCCACGTGGTCCCATGAAGCCCACGCAGCCAGCCTTGACTGTTCCTCATCCCAAGCTCCTGGCTGCTCTCTCCAGGCCCGTGACCCATGGCTCTCCGTGCTGTCCCCGCACCGCACCACACCCCTCCTCACTCTCAGGTCTCAGCTCCTGGACACCAAGACAGCTACGGTCTCCTCTTAGCTCTCCTGGGTCACAGTGCCTGTCACTCATGTGAGTTTATATTCATCTGGGAGGTGATGTAACACAACGCACACAAACACACACCACACAGCATACACACACATCACAGACACCACACACACATCACAGCACACACACCACACATCACACACACCACACCACATACCACACATCACACACCACACATCACACACACCATACATAACACACACATCACACCACACACGGGGGGGCGCAACACACCACACACACATCTCACACCACCACACACGCACCACACACACCATACATAACACACACACCACACACCATAGATAACACACCACAAACACACATCACACACAGCACACACACACCACATACGCATCACACCACACATCACACACCACACATCACACACCACACACACCACATACCCACATCACACACATCATAGCACACACACCAGACACCATACATAACATACACCACACACTACACATCCACACCACACACACATCACACCACACACCCACCCCACACACATCACACCACACACCCACTCCATACACATAATACCACACA